>NC_000014.9:32642016-32945046 GCF_000001405.40 Homo sapiens
TACTTGGAGGAATAGAAATGATTAATATAGTCTTCTTGTTCAGGGAAGCTATTCCACAAGATAAAAGGCTAGTAATCTAATAACTAGCATATCAGTATTATTTTATTTGCTTTTTCCTGTTTGCAAAATAACTTCAGTGCTATCTTGTTATTGTTGTTATACTTGGCTAGTTATACATCTATGATAAGAGAACATAATTAATGTGAAAAATTATACCAAAATGGTTGTGTTTATTTTGTGTCACTTTAGCAATGCCCCTTCAGGAGTGCTCTTCCTATTTTCCACTTGCATTCAATAATAGGCTTGCAGCCAGTGGCATTGTATTTACACAGTTTTTGTCAAAACAATTTTATCGCTAATAGATTTTGATCTACGTTGGCTGAAAACTTCTGTTTCTGTTTAAAACTTTAATGTAATTTCATGCGTCTCTATTTCAGGCAATATAAAAACTTTTGAACTTACATATACTTGGCAGCTGTATAGTTTTTTCTTTCACTAAGTTGATTTATTTTTTACATAGAGGGAAAATGTCCTTAAAATTAGGCATCTCATTTTTAAATGGGCTCAGAGGAGAGCAACAAATTTGAGCATAGTCTGTTTCGTTCATTCACCGCAGAAAGGAGCATTTAAAAAATACTCCACATGCTGTGACCTTCAGGTGATTAGAATTGGTTACAAATATAAATGAATTCCCCATAAACATTAAATGATCCCTCAAGAAACCTTATTTGAGAATATGTAGAGATATATTTTCATTTCGATGCACAAGGATTTACATGTGTGATTCCCTATTAACATTACTCAGGTAAATCCCATTAAAAAATGGATATGCCTTTGTGTGTATAAATTTATACATGAAGCACAGTTAAAGTATATCAGTATTAATACTGTACCATGGGAATACCATATGACAAGGAAATTGGCAATACAATTAGAGTTTCACATAGTATTAGAATGTTTTCATTACAATAAAAAAAGTTTTCATGACAGCATAAAAGAATAAATCGAGACTTACTAGGACAACTAGAGCAAATCTGTACATTTCAATATAACTCTTATGAAACAAATGTAATAAGTAAGATTAATGCTCTGAATCTCTTAAAAGGGACTCTATTAATCATTGTGTTGTCCTAATGGATGACTGAAATCTTCTAGCCCTGAAAGTAGAAAGCAGGAATCAATGGTAAAACCCATCTACCAGGATGGATATTATCTTGAGAAAGGTATTCTGTTTGCCACCTTCTCTTCTTTTTGTTTTGCCTCTCCTTCTTCATTTTCTTCATACATTCTTTTCTTTTCTTTTTTTTTTTAGACGGAGTCTCACTCTGTCACCCAGGCTGGAGTGCAGTGGCATGATCTCGGCTCACTGCAACCTCTGCCTCCCGGGTTCAAGTAATTCTCCCGCCTCAGCCTCCTGAGTAGCTGGGATTATAGGCACCCACCACCATGCCCAGCTAATTTTTGTATCTTTAGTAGAGACGGGGTTTCACCATGTTGGTCAGGCTGGTCTTGAACTCCTGACCTTGTGATCTGCCCGCCTCGGCCTCCCAAAGTGTTGGGATTACAGGCATGAGCCACCACACCTGGCCCATACATTCTTTATCACCTGCTTTTCTCCTTTTCCCTTTTCCTTTTCTCCCTCCTGATTTATGAGCATGTTTTCTTTGTTGTTGTTTTTAAATATTTGAGCTATTTAACAAGAGTTACAGGTTTTCCTTATGCCAACTGTATGTCATCAGGAAGACATAAAGACAGAGACGTGTCCTTTATGAAAATGGACATGTGAACTGTACTGACCTTGATACTTAGTCTTGATTCTCTGCTCAGACTAAGCCATCTGAGATAGAAATTAAAAATGCATAGTTCTTCATCTTCTGTTAGGATTCAATCTGTAGGCTTAAATAAACTCATAATGCTGACTGCAGTTATTTGCCTTTTCCCCCTATTTCTTGTAGATATATTCACCTGACACACTGAAATATTAATGAGTCTTGTGATGCTCATGTGTGTACATTTAGAGAGCACATAATTTTGACTTATGAAAGTTACTCAGTTGCAGACCCTTGAGGATGAGACGTTTGCTGGAGTAGACCATTTCTAACAGATCATTTGATGTTAAATGGTCTGATTTTGTTTGGTGATCTACTATTTGCCACAGAATGATACAAAGGCACTGTAAGTGCAATGTCCACACAGAGCTTAGTCCAAATGGAGTTGGAGTTATTCTTCAGGAATTTGAAGGGGTGTTAGGAATAAGAAATTGCTACTCCAAATGCTGTCAGATAATATCCAGAGAAGTGACATTTTCTGTGAAGGTCATTGCTCTCTCTCTCTACCAAGTGTATCTAGGCTAGCATCAGAGAGGAAAGCTGTCAGTAATTTCTAACCTAGCTAGGTTGTATCTGGCAATGCTGGAGCAAAGAATTAACATGGTGCTGGTTTCTTGAGACATCCATTTGATCTCTGTAAATAGTGCCCAGGGGAGTTTGTTTCTAGGATGTTCCTGAGAGTTCTGCTGACCTAGGAAGTAAAAAAGGTTTTAAGTACTCAAAATCTTTTTTCCTAGTTTGCTATAAAGTTGCACAAAGTCTGTATAACAAGGCCGTGGATGGCTTTATTTCTCTATTGCATTTTGGGGACCAACATTTTTTTTAATCCCTTAGCCTCTGTTTCTCTCTGCCTCTGTTTCCTTTTCTCTATTCTCTCTCCTCACCAACCATCACAAACTGAAATGTCTGCATTTCTCTAAATATATAATTTATTTTTGTCCTTCTCAATTAATGTCCCTGATTGCATTCACAAAGAGCTCAATAGTTCTCCATATGATTACCCAATAAAATTCCCTTCAGTCTTTGTCAGGATAGACCTCTGCTTTTCTAAAAAGCCAGCATGATATTTCTGGTCTTTGACAGACTAACGGGTATATATACCATAATCAATGGATCATTCAAACACTGAAGTTACAAGCCAGTCCTCTCTCATTTATGGATTTATTTCTGTGACCAGCCTAAATCTTCTATCATCTTTGCTATAAAACATGCATTAGTACACAGCTAAAGGTGGTGCTATTATCTAACTAAAGAAAAAGAATGTTTATTTTTTATAGGGACCTGATCTTAAAAGGTTAGATTCTATTTAAATTTTGACTCTGTATATAGGAAAATTAGGTTATTAAATAAAAACCCAATAATTTTTTGTATATATAGTATTAGGCAAAGCTATTTCGTCCTAGAAGGAATACACTTAAAAGAGCAACGTAGCACCGAGGACATTTTCAACCTCGAATATTTTATGTGAATCCCATTAAGCTATCAGTAATGTTTGTTGCATTTATTTTCCCATCATTGCTGATTGTCAATATATTTGTGGGTAAACAGACAATCTATTTCATAACTGGGCTCCTCTTGTCATTTATGTTTCTATTTTTTAAATTTATTTATTAATTTTTTACAGACGGAGTCTCACTTGTTGCCCTAGCTGGACTTGAACTCCTGGGCTCACGTGATCCTCCTTCCTCAGCCTGCTGAGTAGCTGGGACTACAGGCTTGTGCCACCACACCCACCTACATTGTATATTTCTTGATGGCACTGCCTAGAATGAGTGACAGGGGAACTTACTCCTGTATTGATGAGCTCACATGCCTCAAACCAGGGCTGTGTTGAATTCAAGTAAGTCTGGCAAGAGGAGCAGGTGGGTGATAAAGGAGGCAGACACTGTTTATACACAATTCTTGGGAACCTGGCAGGAGGATCAGAGCCTGGCAGGGAAAAGGAGTCTTTGAGAAAAATATCACACAAGGCTGAATAGCACTTTTTAATGGAAAATTCTTGTTTTGACTCTAATTTTATGCTTAGATGCTTTTAATTTGATCCACATTTAATTTGCCATTCCTCGGAGAAAGCATTGATTATATGAAAAACTATCTGCTCTATTGCTAATGAAACAAGATTGGTTTCAAGGGCTACCATGATGGCATTATATTTTAATGGTGCCCACCTGGAAACATGGAAGCATGCACCACTGGAATCATCTTATCATCTGCAGGCCAACTCTTCTGGTTGTGATTGCTTGATAGATTTGTTAAAGTCATAGTTTTGAAGAAAAGTGAGTCAATATTGAGTATTGAAAAAGTGGGTAAAAAGCTAAGTTTGGACATTGGAGCTATAAGACATTATAAAGGACCATTTAAAAAACTAAAGGTCAGTTGTGTATCTGAGAACACCTATAATAATATATAATACATAATAAGATATAATAGATCTATAATAGTACATAACAGATATATAGATTCTCACAAACCCAATCATTTTGACACTGTGATGAAAAAAATAATGGTATTCAACACTAATATGACAAGTTTCAGAGAGACATAAATAGAGATTCTGAGTTTAGGCTAAGCAACTGTGTAGTAACAATTATTTTCGTTAGAAATCTGAAGCTGCACGCAAGATCTACCATAAGCGTTATATCAGAAAATTCAAATCTTTTATGTTTTAAAAATTAGGCTGCCATTATTCCTGAAATTCTAATGGCTGAACTAGCAACAGTAAAGATGTCCAGATTTCAATGAAATATATTTCATAAATTAGCTTATCATTGCACTGATTTAGCATGCCTAGCAGGTGAGAGACAAAAACATGTGTTATCTTCCCTAGGGAACCTTCAATGAATGTCATTCGGGCTTCATATGTCTTTCTTTTCTCCCCTTCTTGAACTGATATAAAATTCTAATGTGTGCCCTCTAGTTCCATCTTCATTGAAATCTAGCAAAACTGCTGAAGGTAAGGTAGTGGCAATGGTGCATGAAAAAAGGGAAAAGGAGTACAGTGATTCATGGCATACTTGAGGAAAGTTGCAATTGTTAACAGCTCTACTTTTGTATATAGACAAGTTAAAATATGTCATATATCACTGGTAAAAATAAAGTTACTAATCTTGCTAGTTTCTTAAAGTTCATAGGAAAGGCACTACAACTATTTTGATATCTTGAAAGTATTTCCATATGCATTTGAGGGCATACCATGTCACTGTATCCCAAAACAATAGTCAAGAAAGTAAATTTATGGTAGAACCATTAGTAATCTTGACAAGTGCATGCTGTTTAAATACCAGGAATAGTAGGTATTATGAAAAACCGTGCTTCATATATTATTATAAAAATGAAATGTGACAATTTCCAAGTATATATTAGCTCAGGCCAACATCCCTTATCTCTGAGTCTTTGTTCTTCTGTGCAAATTTGAACCTCTGATGCAATTGTAATTTCAGAAATGGTATTCATTGGTCTTCAGATCTGCAGATGCCAGTGCTTTCAGAGCTGGAAGATTGTTCTCCTTAGGCATTGTTTCCATTTGGTAGATGAGAAAACTGAGGTACATGACCATTTCTGTTTCCTTTAACTGGTAAGAAAAATAAGAGCTGAGAATCCCTCTCACTTTCACTTTTTGCAGTCTTCTTTTTGCCAATGGATACATCCTACCCTTTTCCCTTATCTTCTAATAGGAAGACTGAGCGGAATTTAAGTGGCATCTTCAGCTTTTAAGTGCAGCTGTCTAGCAAAAGCTTTGGCCAAAGTTTTCTTCTGATAATGAATAAGACAGGATAAAGGGGCATCAATGATTTCTAAGTCTTTAAAAAAAATCCACAATGTTGAAATCAGACTGCTAAAATCTAGGCAACAGATATTGGCACCACATGAGTGCTAAGTTACTATTCTTTGGAGCAATTGAAACACAGGACTTCATGCCTGTGGGACATTAGGCCAACATAATTCTAGTCTGCCCAACTCTATGAAATATGCCTTGTTATTCAGAGCACAAACATAATCAGTAGCCCTCCTGAAGTTAATCAAACAATTCAAAGTATCATATGATCAGCATGACTGTACGGGCTTTTCTCCATCACAAGAGTATTCCCTAAAAAGGTATACCATTAAGCAATATAAAAAATGCAAATTGTGCAAAAGGAAGTGTACCAAAATAGGGCTTTATCAAGAGTCTTTAGATCAGTATAATTCCCTTAATTGTCTTTTCATTTAAAGTAATGCAAAAGGAGGCTGTTAGTTCGCCTCAGTATCATAAGCATGAGAATTGTATGTGTTCCCATTTCTGTGACTTCAGCAATTTCCAGCTATGCATTAAGTCCCACACTTAGCTGGAGGAGAATTTAGAAGGAATTGTTTCAAAAACAGACGTTTTAGAAAAATGTTTATTTGAGCTGGATTTGCTTAAAAATTACAATAAAAATATCTCATTCTTGAGTAATATTCTGTTTCTATTGGTTGTCTCTCAGGTTGTGGCTTTCTTGTGAATTATGATTTGCCTATATAGAAATTAGTATTTTAGCACTATGTTGTTAATAATAGCGGTGATCATTTTCAGAATTGCCTTTTTGGTGAGCACATAGGAGGGTATTCCTCTTGGTAAGCACCTTAAGCAAGAAGGATTGGGTCTTCCTTTCTTGTTTATTACACTTCTCACTCTGTCATTATCAGCTCTGATGTTTAGTGAAAATGGTTTCCAATTGCCTAGATGTGCTTTGACAGAACTGACAGTAGAAACTGTATCTTAGCTTACTTGAATCAGTGCTGTAGAAAAGCACCCAGGCATGCTGAAGACAGCTTTTATGAGGTACATTTTGTCAGTGTAAACATTATGAAATCCAACACATTTGGAAAAGCATACTCTGTGTTTGTTAGGATGAATGAATCACTAATAGATTAAAGAGCACAGCCAAATAAACTTAGACTAGTCATAAGCATATGTGGCCTAATATTCAAATGTAGGAAATCCAATTAAGCTCTAGCTCTCCTTAGTTTTTCATTCATGAGGCGGTACCTCTACTGAAAAAGCAAATAACTAAAAAGTTTCTTTTACCAAAAAAAAGACATTGCATTTTTAAAATATAAGTTTGAAGTTAGTCTTCCACAGATAGCCAATTTAATTATGCTAAAAATGACATTTTTAATTAAACACCAAGGTAAGCATAAATGGATTTCAAAATAATTAATCAAACATCAAAAAATTGAAACCTTTTTCTGCTTGAGCAGCAGAAATGAAAGAACCAGTCTTCGGGTCTCATAGAGATTCAATCTAATTTAATTCTCTGTCTTCTCTAAATAAACATTCCTAAAACCTTTTTTTCATCTGGGGGAATAAGGATGAGAGGGGTAATCAATATTTCTAGCATTTTAATTAAAACCGTTAGTGGAATAAATCCATTTAATTATCAGTTAATGAAATACAAGGTCATTTACCTGACAGGAACTTTGAGGGTGGATTACTAGCTGGAATAAAGCAGAAGAACCCAATGTCACAGCCATTTAACTTCTGTCAAATTTAAGGTTAAAATCCTTTTAGACTGTTTAACCTATTCTCTACCATTTTCCTATTATGTATGCCGATTGGCAGGAGAAATGCATGTTAAAACTTATTTTACATTTAATTATGCTACAAAGTTTTCATTAAATTTCTAGAAATTTCTTTATATTTCTAAGGCATAAAGTGAAAAGTTACAATAAACTCCAATGTAATTTTGTTGTTATTTTGTGTTTATTATTTATAAAGTTAAACTGACATCTTTTTCCTTACTGCAAATCTTATGAATTGTTTCTTTTTTTGTAAATATGAATTAATAAAATATAAGTTTTAGTCTGTAAATTTAGGATGCAAACATGGAACAAATGTGCAATAATAAATCACTTTACATAATTTATGGTTAATTTTATATATAGCCCCTTTTTTGAAGTAACCTCCATTTCATCAGAATAATATAAAAAAGTAAGAGCTGGTTGATCACTAAGCTAGATTTGCAATTGGTTTGGTAAATGGTTTTAAGTCAGTTTAACAAATGACGAGAAGGCACAAGATTGTGTTGTAGAGGAAAGTTCCTTTTCTTTGATGGTGACACTGGATTTCTCTAGGCAGCACACACTGCTCATATTTTATATAGATCACTTTTAGAAACAGAGGCTGAAAAGGGCTCTTGTTCTTCCTTTCCCCAATAAAGATGTTGAATTAATTATCTAGGGTTTGGATTTTTATTTTAATTTTGTATATTTGAGTTTGTCTCACAGCTATAAATTTCAGAGATAAAAAAGATAACTTGTTTTGGGTTCTAGTTCTTCCTTTCTAAAATGAAACTCCCTAAACACTAAAGTAGTGGTTCATGCAAATGAGGATATCCAGTTTTAACCTGTGCTGCTTCCCCCTAATTCACCTTAGCTGTGTACCATGCAAGAAGCCCAACATAACGCATAGCGGTTTGTCTTTCAGACATACCAGTGCGGCATTCTGACTTCTAGATGCTAAATACAGCCGGGCGCAGTGTCTCACACCTGTAATCCCAGCATTTTGGGAGGCTGGGGCGGGCGGATTGCTTGAGGCCAGGAGTTCAATACCAGCCTGACCAACACGGTGAAACTCCATTTCTACTAAAAGTACAAAAATTAGTCGGGTGTGGTGGCATGCCTGTAATCCCAGCTACTTGGGAGGCTGAGGCAGGAGAACTGCTTGAACTTGGGAGGTGGAGATTGCAGTGAGCCAAGATCATGCCACTGTACTCCAGCGTGGGCAACAGAGTGAGACTCTGTTTAAAAATAAAAAAATAAAAATAAATGCTAAATACCATTAATTTACCAAAATTCATGTCACCTAAAAAAGAAAAGTAAACCAATGACCAGTTCAAATGTGTTTTAACTGGACCAGGGTTCCCCAAGAGGTGGAATAATAATGAAAGCGGCATTGTTCACCCTGTTTTGCGTTTACCTAGACTATGCATAGATTTTTAATACTTTGAGAAAGTAACAAAACCTGTTTAAAAGACTTGTTTAGGCTGGGTAGTTCTGATAACTCTATTTACTCTATTTTATATTTTTATAAATGTAGATTTTTATAAATGTCCTTGTGACTCACCAAAGAGGATTGTAAAGTTTGCTTCTTTTAAGCCGTAAGGTAAGACATATGAAGGAAAAAAGTATCCATGATACCCAATTATTCCATCTTTGATTGAAATACAGAGAGACAACTAGAGATTGTGTTGCAAGAACCAGAGGGCTTTGGGACTTGTGTAGGTTATTTGGTGCTCCTCATACTGACTGGTCATAGGAATCTGTGCAGGCCTCTTTGCCTTTTAACATATATTTTAATGGCTCCCACCTTGGGTACCCACTGACACAATTATAAACTATGCAACGTCTGCCTTGCTCACTCCTCCACATTCCCACTACTTTCTAGTTTTTAAGCAAGGTGTTCATGATTATTGTAGTGTCACGGCAGCCAAGAATCATGGGTTTAATAGGTTCATCACTCTTCTAAATTGTTTGACCGGCTCTTTGTCACTATGGTGGTAATGGAGTATCTAATTGTTGCGGATAGTCTAGGCTATGCTATGTAGGGTTGTATTCATTGTTTGTTTTACTATAATAATATACCTGAGACTGAGTAATTTATAAAGAACAGAAGTTTATTTTCTCACAGTCTGGAAGCTGGGAAGTGAAGTCCAAGGTCAAGGCACTGGCAGGTTTGTTGTCTGATGAGGGTCCAGTCTTCACTTCCAAGATGGTGCCTGGTGGCTACATTCTCCAGAGAGGGTGAACTCTGTGTCCTCACATGGCAGAAGGAATGGATAAGCAAGAGCACACTCCCTTTGACCTTGAATCTTTATATAAGAATGCTAAGCCCTCATGACTTAATTACCTCCCTAAGGCCACACTTCTTAATACTGTTGCATTGGGGAGTAAGTTTCAGCATAAATTTTGAAGGGGACACCATCATTCAAACCATAGTGTGGATTACTTGTACCTCTATGTATTGTAGAACATCCACTTACTGTTGAGATTATTAACAATAAATCATTGCAATTTCCTTTTGGTCCCCTTACATCTTAGGCCCATTTTTTATTGAGTACTCTTTTTCCTGCCACCCTTTGGCTGTGGATTCTAGACCATCTGTTCTTCCTTATATAGTATGCATATTCCCTTAGGAATCTTATCATTTGGGATGATTTTAGCTACCACTATAGGCAGTGGTGTCCGGATCTACATCTTCGGTTTAGTGTCCACCCACTTTGCATGCTATGGTTCCATGCTCAATTGACTCTAGAAGACTGCTAGTTTTATATACTGTTGTCACCTAAAAGTTTCCATAATAATGAAGTTTACCACTTTCTTTTCTCCCATCTTTTCCGTCATTTTATCCTTCCAACATGCCAGGCTCCTTAGCAATAGAAGCTGAAAATAATTTTCACTGTTCTTCTCCCCTTTTGTTCCCAAATGGGAGCCACCAGCCACCAAGAACTGCTGCATCTTCCTCGACTAGGCCTCTTGGCCTGATTATGTTTTTCTATTTCCCCACCTGGCCTAGGAGCCCAGGCCTTTATCTATTTATGTCTAGATTACTCCACCTGCCTCTTACCCAATTTTCCTTCACTTTCTTAGAAATCCAGAATATCAGGGAGCTGGATTATTTTTAAGCATTCTTTTGCCTTCTGATCTTTATAAAATCACAAAATTTCTTACAAGGAAATTCCATCCATTATAATCATATCAGATTAAATCAAATATATTTTGCATTTTCTTTAAAGATACTGCCAGCCATCACACCAGATTAATTTTTCATTTCCAGCCAGGAAGACTTTACTCTCCATTCAAGCTACAGCTCTACTGCTATCCCCTAGGCTTGCTCACCTTTCTCCTGAGTTGCTATTTTCTTCCCATTCCTCTTTCTGAATGCACATCTCTAAAATGTCCATCATTAGAGTGGTGCAGTGGCTCATGCGTATAATCCCAACACTTTGGGAGGCCAAGGTGGGAGGAATACTTGAACCCAGGAGTTTGAAACCAGCCTAGGCAACACAGGGAGACCCCATCTCTACAAAAAATTTAAAAATTAGCTGGCCATGGTGGCACATTCCTGTAGTCCCAGCTACTCAGGAGGCTGAGGTGGGAGGGTCACTTGAGGCCAAGAGGTCAAGGCTGCAGTGAACTGTGATTGTGCCACTACACTCCAGCCTGGGTGACAGAGCGAGACCCTGTCTCAAATAAAATAAAATAAAAATAAATAAATCCACCACTTATTTACAGCCAGGGACAACTTTGCATGTCATAACATTTAAAGTGTGGAAGAGTCACTCAATTAGTTGGCATATATGTTTGGCCTCGAGTTAGGTATTCTGTCATCAAAAATTTAGCTACCATGTTTGGCCATTTTTTCTCCTTTCCCTTTTATTTATTAATAAGTGTTGTGATATAGTTTGGATTTATGTGTTTGTCAGATTTGAACTCCACCCAAATATCATGTTGAATTGTAATCCCCAATGCTGGAGGCAGGGCCTGGTGGGAGGTGTTTAGATTATGAGGGCTCACTCATGGCTTGGTGCTATCTTTCTGATAGTGAGTTCTCATGAGATCTGGTCATTTAAAAGTGTTTGACACCTCCCCTCCCCTCACTCTCTCACTTGCTCCTGCATTCTCCATGTGACACACCTGCTCCGTCTTCATCTTCCACCATGATTGTAAGTTTCCTGAGGCCTCCTTAGAAGCTGAGCACCATGGTTCCTGTAAAGCCTGCAGAACCATGAGCCAATTAATCCTCTTTTCTTTATTAATTACCCAGTCTTAAGTATTTATAGCAATGCAAGAATTGCCTAGTACAGTTTGTCATCAATTTTCTTATCTATAAAAAGGGAATAATAATAATTATCTTGAAGAATACAATGAAATCGAGAAGTATTAAGTAATAAGTTTGTATTCGTTCATTTGCTTTCTCTGGTCTTTGTGTTAGTAAAACTAGGGCAAATAAAATATTGCCTCATTTTTATTTATAGTCATGATTTGAGTTCAACAGAAAAACATAGTAATTGATTTCCATCATTTCACATTCATGTAAGTTGAATGAGTGGCACTTTCTGAGTTTCTGCGTATTAAAAACCTATACAGACTCATAGTAGCAAATCAGATGGCCCATGTCTTGGGCCATTTGGGTTCTTCTGCCATGCGCACAAGTCTAATTTGAAATCATTGTACCTTAAACTCTTAACTAATTGCTCAAACTTAAAGTCATTATTTCAGATCTTTATTAAAAATCAGACTTTGCCCTATAAAATGCCCATAATTTTTAGCAGCTATATATCTGCTGTGTAATTTTCTCTTTCAAAAAATGTCATACTCAATTTAATATTGGTGTGTTGTTTGCAACTGGCTGGGGGAGCTATGTGAAGCCATTACAAACTCTAGTTTCACAAGAATTGGACTCTGAAGCCTGCACCACTGAAACTCTGGGTCTGTTTTTCTGACACAGTCCCACAGCATATTTCTCATACCCTGAGGGCTACCCTAGCGGATGTTCTGTTGTGGAATGAAATGGCATTGACTAAAATGAAAATTTTCTTCTCTGTGAGAAAATGTATTGAAAAGAAACCAATCACAAATGCAACAAACCAATTAAATCAAAACAAAACACACAATTCTGTGAATTAATTAGGTAGGGTGAAATATACCAGACTGATAGTCTTTTTAAAAGATACCTTGTACACAATTAGAAATATTATGGGCTGAGCCAGCTGGCTCAGGCCTGCAATCCCAGCACTTTCAGAGGCCGAGGCAGGGGATTGCTTGAACTCAGGAGTTCAAGACCAGCCTGGCAACGTGGCAAGACCTTGTCTCTACTGAAAAAAAAAAAAAAAATTAGCTGGGCATGGTGGCACATGCTTGTGGTCCCAGCTACTCAGGAGGCTGAGGCGGCAGGATAGCTTGAGCCTGGAATATCGAGGCTATAGTGATCTGTGTTTGCACCACTGCACTCCAGTCTGGGTGACAGGGCGAGACCCTGTCTCAGGAATAAAAAAAAAAAGTATTATGAAGGAGCTATTTTTACACAATATATAAAGGATACAAAAAAATCATGCTTTAAGGACTTCTATAAAGTCACAAAATAATGTTTGCAGAATTTGCAACCACAATCTTGTTTATTACACAATTTTTGGGTGGTAAAATATTTTCATGAGGAAATCACAACTGAGAAGTTGTTTTCAGAAAAATTCGTCAAATAGGAATAAGATATTAATGAGTAAAATTGATTAATGAAGTAAAAATATTGACTATCAGGAGACGAGTGAATATGCAGCAGATTAGGAAACAATTGACTGTACCAAAGAATGACTGTATCACCACAGAAATGAATTTTATTTCAGTTAAGGTATGAAGGCCCTACTTACCTAGTCATTAACATTCTTTTATTTTCCTTATACCTTGATGTCTCCAGTAAACTGTGTGAAACTGGATGTGATTTCTCCACTAGAGCGTAGATGCAAGATGTTAACTGTAACTGATACTAAGTGTTAAACCATATGGTATATTTGAACAATTTATTATTGAATCTCTTAGTAAATCTTTTTAAATGTTGAGGTCAAGTTTTCAAGTAACTCTGATGTGTCAGGCAGGGTCCTAAATATATTGGGAAGTCCTTAACTTTAAGAAGCTCATAATTTAGTTGGGAAGCTAAGACTAGCAGATAGATCTCTGCCAATGCAAGGTGGTCAGTGATACATAGTGGATGAATAGAGACATAGAATTGGGGAAATGAAAGAGTTGTTCGTGTTGGCCCTTAGAGGACTTTTTGGTTTCATCGAAGTAAGAGAGCAGATTAGAGAAAGCGTTTCATGCAGAAGAAATATTTGCAAAAACTCAGGGTCAGGAAGCCTTTCTATTTGGGAGCTGGTGATAAATAGACAAATTGCCTGGGGAAGATGGTTATGTAGAAAGTAATGAGAGATAAAATTTTAAAAGGAGATTAGGGTCAGACTGGGGAAAGCGTTTTTTACCAATCTAACTTTTTTGTCTAGGTAGGTTGCATGGACCATATTGTCCCAGATTTATGGTGATCATGTTATAGAATATAATCAGAAATCTAAAGAAAGTCAATGTATGTTAGATCTGTCTCTCTTAAGATAAATCTATCTGTTTTTCTCAAGATAAATATCTCTCGTCTAGATATTTCAGTGAAAGTCAGAGTTGGTTGACATGAAACATAATAAAAATCTAGCCATCTAGTGATAAAGTAAGTATTAAAAGTAGAATACCAACAGAACTAATTTGGATTTTTTTAAATAAATGTGTTTGGAAAAATCTCATGCTTAAAATGCACTCATGAAGCAATATTTATAGCGTGTATGACTATAAAGATATATTAAACATAAACATAAATCTTTCTGTTTTATGTGACTTTTATTATCTGCCCATCAAATTTAGTTAATTATCAAAGGTGACTCTATTTAATGAAAGCTGTGTCCCAACAAAACCTATTTTCTTCTCCCACAGTGATCTACAAAGAAGTTATGAGATTAGGTACAGAGTATTTTGCTCACTTTCATGACCACTGCCTGTAGTATGAGAAATAGAAGACAGTGGTTTCTCTCCTTCTTAGCAGTTCTCCAGATTTACTCTGAATAAGCATCACCTGGGAGTGCCAGCCAAAACTGACTCACCTGGGAAACTAAGATTTATTCAGTCCTCACTGGGCCTGGGAATCTGCATTTTAGTGAACCCACCAGCTGATTCTGAAGCTGGTAATCTGAAGACTACTTTCTGAGACCTAGAATGAAGGGGAATACATACGTTTAGTGTAGAGCAATCTTTCGCTCATAGGCAATTGTTTTAAATATTATTGACAGTTAAGTAAATGCCTGTGTTTATACCCAGTTAAGTAAATGGCTCAGTAGTTGATGCTATTGTTCCACTCCTACATCTCTGAAGGACTTCTCTAAGGAAGGCCCTATGAACTTAAAACCTACAAGGAAGTTCGTGAGGGTTTGTCACATGTTTATAAAGCAGGGTTCTATGCTTCTTAAAGCCCTGGCTGTAAATATGCTTCTCTCTGTTTATCCTGCTTATACCTTTCCTGAGTGAAAGCCCAACTGAATTTAATTAGCAGAGCATAAATAGTACTGACATATGGCAATCCAATATATGGAATTTTGTCATAATACAGTTTATAGAATAGGGGAAGAATTTGATAAAGACTCCACAAATTCACGTAAACAGAACTGAGAGGTGTCCTTGCACCTATTTACAGGGTACTGCCCTCAGCGCAGATCCAGAAGAATGGCCAGATCCTGCATGATCTCCTGGGAGCCCTGGCTCTGATTTGACATAGGGAAAAAGGTCAAGAAAATCACTGTAACTTGGGGTATGGCTTTGCAAACCCAAGAAACATTCATTTCCCCATTTGTTAGTTGAAAAGGAGTACAGAGAAGATGCTGACTCATGCTGACCCTGTAGTGGCTGTGATGAAATAACCCGTGGCAGGAACAAGAAGAGAGAAGCGCAACCCTCGGTAGAGTCAATGGAAGCAATTCCAATGTTAGTAACAGCTTAAAGCAGCAAATGAGCCTACAAATCTGTGAGTGCTGCTCCCTAGCTCTTTTTCTCTCATTACACCAACATTTACCACAATGGACCTAATTTTTGAGATTTTCAGTTTAGATTTAAACGAAAGCTCATGAGATCCAGGACACTTTTTGTCATGGTCTTTCAGATTTCTCTGTGTCTAAATATTGCCTTATATCCAGCACGGGCTTACTAGAGACTTTGTTGTTTTTAATTTTGATCTATCTGCAGTATTATGATTGTTTTTCTTAATGCTTAATCAGGAAGGATATGATTACTTTTTCTGTGAGTGTACATGTTTTTAAAAGCTCACCATTTTTTTTTTTACCATAATTTTATCATGTCTTGGGATAAAAGAATACAATGATCTGCTACATGGATACCATTTCTACAGTACTTCTATTCCATATAATGATGATGCTGTTTTCATTAAAGTAATAAAAAAAATCTATACAGCATATGAGCAGGATTTGAAAGTTGGCACATCTAATTATCATAGTAAGGAAAGAACATGAATGCCAATTTTATATTTAACAAAAGTCATCCTTAATTGTTGGTGGTCGCACACATGGTAGATTGACAATAAAGAACTAGTCTAGCACATTTGGATCTTAAACATAAAACAAGGCAACGTAGATTGTTTTAAAAATGAAGTTTGTGCTAGTCTGAGACCTCAGGTATTAAATGTCTTCAGAAACTGGTGCTTTCTTTGATCCCTGAGAAAGATAAGAAGAGGTTAGGAGGTAGATGGTCACATAGATAATGCTACTCTATATAGTGATTGATTTATTACATATAAGGAAGACGACAGTCTATGGGGATTTTTCAAGCCAAAAGTCTCCTGCCTTGCAAATGATCATTGAGAGATTACAATGTAACTCCTGTTTAAAATGTGAAAGCTGTTGGCTCTATAATTTCTAAAGAGCATCCTTTTTTATTTTAATGATGTTTTCACTCATATTGTACATATCTCCCTGTTTAATATTCTAAATTTGATGTGTACTTCAGAAGTGATCACTGTTTTGTGATTTACAACCTTGGAGAAAAATAACATAGTAGTCATAACTTTGCAGTTTTTTGTGATGCATGAAGATCAGATTTTTTAATGTTGGTTAATGCTTTGCTAATTAAAGTATGCATGTTAATTAAAGCAGAGGCTAATGTTAATTACCTATATTAATGGAATCTCATGTAGCACCTGCCTGAAGCAATGGGTTCAATTTTCAAAATATCTCAATTAAGGCTGAAACTTTTGATTTGCATCTAGTAGGGTTTCAATTAACTGCATTGAAAACTTAAATAACACTCTTAGGGGTGCAAAATATCAGTGATTATATGAAGCACAGTGGAGTTTGGTAGGTTCATTTTTAAAGTCTTCTTTAAAAAAAAAAAAAAAGCCTAACTATATTTCTTTCTTGTTTACTGGCCAAAATTCTGTTTACTCACCAAGACCCAGTGAAAACACCACTTCTTCCATTAAGTATTTTCCAATTCTCAACCAACTACCAGAGCTTCAGTTTGTTGTTCTTATTTATTTTATATTATTCTGTTTTGTATTATAGTTAGTTGTTAGAATTTGTGTCCTTTGCTAACTAGAAGCACCTTGTCTTTATCACTTACAAAGACAAGCACATTTGACAAGACACTAGCATGTTTTGTAAGTTGAAGACACTCTTTAAATGTCTGTAAAACCAGTAAGTACATTTATTGACTAAAGTGGATATGAGTGAACTTTTAGCACACGATGATTCCGCTGTTGCTACATTCATGGCTGCTCCAAGTAAAACATGAAGCTGCTGTTTGAGATCTTATTGCTTTTCAAATAAAAGATTGGCGTTTTCATTAATTTCTGTTAAATCTAAGCTGGAATGGGGAAGAAGTTACCTGTTCAAGTAAAAATAGTGTTATGAAACCAAAGAACATGTGTTTGTGCTGTCAGGGATGATGTTAACATCCTCTTTTGGTCCTAGATTTGTATTCTGACTGTACTGCAAGCAGATCTGCCTTGTGACCATAAGCACAAATACTTTAAACAAGCTGTCCATCTAAGAGAGCCATCAAGGGTTGGTGTTATTTCGGAAGATAAGACATGGAGTCATCACGTGGTGACAGCTCAAATCTTAAAATAATTAATTAAAAATATAGATTACTGGAGACAAGTACATTGTAATTAGTATGGATATCAGTTTTCCTGAACTTATTTTTATGTTTGCCAAAGTCCCAATAACAACCATTCCCACTGGGCCTTTGGAAGGGATTATGAGCTAATGGTACTAACCTTTTCGACATCTAGCATAATGATGGTTTCAGAAAAATAGTTTCCATAATTGAAGGGAGCAATAATCTCCTCAATAAGTATATACAAATAGATTACACACTGATTTACAGTCCCTGGAAATCTGCATTGATAACTGCTGTGCCTTGGCAGACTTTGACTCTGATAACTTACCATCAGTCTCAGAGGGCTAAGATTTGTCTTCATTCAGCTGTAGAGAATAACAAACAAACATAAGATTTCCATGTATAAGGTGTAACCGACAAGGTGACACAAAAGACACATAACTGCTTACTGTACTGATGTGCTATTGGCATGCTGGTTAAAAAAAATATATATATAAAGAAAGGTAAAAGGGAATCGTATTGATTGGACAAGAAGATGTTAGCTGTTGTCTTAATGGCAGAACCTATGATAGCTGGAAATAAGACGTGAATGTGTCCATTAATGAAGAGTGATGCAGGTTTAGATTTGGTAGTGAGAGCTCACATATTTCATGTCACACCGGTTTAACATTGGCTAGTTAGTAGATGGAATAAATGCAACAACCAGTTGGAGGAATGTGACAGATGTGCATATCAGACTTTCCAGGATGAGGCAATGGGCCAGGTCTTTATAACTTGAAGAGCAAAGTCACCAAAGCAGCCTTTCCCCATTGTGCCACCATTAAGGTAGCAGATGGCAGAGCATTAGCAAAAAGAAATTGAGAACAGCTGGACAACATCTGGTAGGAAGTGACAACCTAATGGGTATGCTGGGTTGTTCCTAATTGTGGGCAATCACTCAAAAAGCCTGGAAAGAAACTTCAATGTGTTGGTTGGTGGGAGGAAGAAGTTCGTCAGAGCAATAAATTCTAGTTCAGGAATTTGAGGGAATTCTGAAAAGAAGTGACTTTAGAGCCTGGCCAAATGAATTATGGAACATTCATTTGTTTCCCCCCAGGTTCTAAATAAGAACAAACTTTTTAAAGGAGTTTGTGAGGCCTATCTGGACCTGGAATCTACTTTAGGTAGATATTCGATTCATGAATACTATTTAAAACGTGAGATTCTGAGAGTATATGGAAAGGTTAGATGTTCACAGAGAATATGGAAATGCTAATTAAACTGGGGTGAGGGAAGTGGAGTATTTAACAACTCAATTCACCATTCCTGTTTCTTAATTTACTATCTTATGGCTTTTCTGGGACCTAGATAAAATTTAAAAAGCTTTTTGGCTATTTCTAGCTCTATATATTTTCTTCCCCGCCACCCCCCCCCCTCCCAATTCCAGCCATTTGTCCTTGTGTGTCTATATCTCATTGCTCCCTCTCCTGCTTTCTCACAAGGATCACCTAACTTTTCATGACCTCTCTATCTTTCAAGACTCAGCACTGGGAGAGTAACATTTCATTTTGGGAAATGTAGAGAAATAGTGACAAATAGGTAGAAAGGAGGTCAGAAGGAACAGGGATAGTGTCTCCAGAAAGGAATAGTAGGAAGTCAAAATGCAGAGAAGCCAAGGGCTCAACATGTGCTGCAACTCCAGCCCTAAATTTCTAAATTACTACAGGACCTCCTATAAATCCTACATATCAGTAAATCGTGATAATTGTATAATAATAAATCCTGCTGCTGATTGGGAACTAGCAATCAGAATTGGAAAGGAAAAATTCTCACAATGAGGCTTCATTGCTTACCACACCCTGGATATTTAAAGGGAAGGAGTGACAAAGCGGTTGCATGGTAAGCTATAACAGGGCACGGTAATCAGAGTGTGCAGACAAGGAATGCACGATTGTGCACACTGCCAAAGGTGCAGAATCAGTGTCATTCCTGGAGGCAGTGGGAGCAGAGAGTTTCGATTAAGTCCAAGACTCATAAGACAAGTACATTGGGCCTTGCAGAAAGTGACCCAAGTACATACCTTACTCAGTAGACTTGATGCCATACCCCGGCTCTTTTAGTTGTCCATGTCTGTGCTGGCAGCCTCAGTCAGGGACTAGCTAGAGACTGGAAATCATGGTTTCAGGACTACTGGTTAGAGGCAATACCTAGGATGGTGAGTAGAAAAGCACTGGAGTTGGAGCCAGAAACCCCTGGTTCTTCTTCTCATTATCTATGTGACTTTGGACAAAGTAATTTATTTGACCTCTGGCTTCTGCATCTGCTAAATGGGGATAATGACACCTGATCTACCTGTGCATAGCACAAGGTTGTTGGGATTATCAAATGAGATAATATACATGAAATCACAAGTTATGAAAGTATGAATGTTATTATCAAAGTATCAATATCCTATTACCAAGTGATTCCTGATCAAGCAGAATATGACTCTCAATGATGATTTAAGCATTTATCTAGGTACCTAGTGAACAGTGAACTGAAGTAGGTGAACCCAGGATTACCACAGCCAATGAATCTGTTAATTTGCATACTCTTGCAAATAAAAGGACAAAATCAATACTTCTTTCATAGTATAATAGATTATTTGGAATGAAACTATAAAATATAAATAATTATGTAAAATATAAAATTTTATAGTTCTCTTTAAATATCCTGTAAAATGGCAGAGAGGTTCATTTTGGGCATGGGATTCTGACTAACAGTAGAATGTTTGTCATTTTAAAAAAATACACTTCTCTCTTAGGACTGACTCTCAAGCTGTGAAGTAGCAGATTGCCAATATAAAACATGACTTCATTTCTCACTGTTGTCTTTTATTCTGACACATTTCATTCTATCTCAGAACCTCACTCAAACTGAGGTCCTAGCAGTTGTTAAATACCAATCTGAAGAAACCAGATGAATCATCAGAATGTTTCATGTTCTAGATTTGTCTGATTGTCTCCTCGTGGTGTGTCTCTTAACTTTTTCCTCTATTCACTATTCCCTACAAACTAGAAATGTGGTCCAGAGGCTTGTTTGGATTCAGATTAAACATTTTTGGCATGTGTACTTCAAATGGCATCCCATTATGCCAGGCTATCCACTGTTTGTGATGCTAATGTGGTGATGGCCAGACACAGTACCTCTTTCTATAGATGAGATTTTCTTTATAATTAGCAGGTAATCTGTAGGATAATGCTTGGGCATTCTGTGAATGTTCTGTTTTCCGTCAGATATTTGCTTAAGAGTTTTAGAATACATTGATGATTCTTGCTAGAATCAATTCTTTCTTTAGGGGTGGTAAAATGATGGTATCCTAATTCTATTATTTCTCCCACATTTTTACTTGGCATTTTTTCCTGTAGACTTTCTCTTACCAACATCAGATGAGCTATAGTTCCTCTTTTAAAAAGTAAGTGAAATGCTTTTCTCGTTATTTACCAATTTTGGTGGTAAGAAGTTAGTGTAATTGTCACCCTCAATGGCGGCATGTTTTTTTCTCTTTTCAGTATAATTATAGGCTAATTGATTTTTATTTGTTCAATATACAACAATCAATTACAATAATTCTTCTTTTTTAGTGCTTATATTTCCCACATTTGCCAAAAGGGAGCCTCTTCATATGACACTTGTGTCCTTTTGACAGATCCCTATTAGTCAAGGAATGCTTCTTTGTTTTCTAGTACAAGAAGATATCCCAGGCTCACCTTATACTTTCCCTGCCTTCCCTTTTAAAAGGATTTTAAAAATAGTATCTTCAGCTCTTCCTAGATGGAAATAAGCCATATCAGACCCCCTGCTTGCCTCACTCATTCTTTCAGTACATACTTATTGAGTGTCTGCTGTGGGTCAGGAATCTGTGGGTGATGTCAAAAGAAATCTGGTTCATATCATACTCTTGGGGAGCCTAAAATCTAATAGGACAGAGGAGTCCTGTGTACTATAAGGTGAAGAGAGATATGTTTTATATTAGAGGGACAGATCACCATGGGAAGTAACACTTAAACTGAAACTTAAAGCATATATAGGTGCTAGCCACATGAAGAAGATAGGAGGAGAATTCCAGGCAGAAGAAACAACGTGTCCAAGGTGGGAAGGAGCTAGGTTCATTCAAGGAATTAAAATGGAAAGAACCTGAGAATCTGTGTGTGGGCAAAGGCAAGAGCAGCTAGGGAGGAGGCTGGCGTGATGGACAGCAAAGGCCAAAGAAGGCAAGTCCTGGAAGACTCAGATACCCAAGGAGAGGTATGTCTGCAACACACTGGTTGAGGCTGAGGTCAGATCTTTCCTTTAAATAGATTTTGAGCATAGCATCTAATACCTACCATTGTGTTGTCTTCCTACATAAGGGGGGGAAATAGTATAATAAATGGAGCAATTTTTGTTGAAATGTGTCTGCTTTGGACAATATCAATGTTATGGAACCTTTTTATAATTAGTCTTTTGGCTTGGAAGAGTTTTCACTCTAGCCCAAAAATAAAGAAGGAGCAGAAAAAAAATAATAACTGAGATAAGCAAAAGTGAGATAAAGCAGGAGGATATCATTTTGCTTAACCTGTCTCTTACTTAGAATATCAATATGCCTAGTGGATAGGAACCATGACATTGAAGAGGAAAAAAAATGTATATTTGTATTTTTTAAGTCTCCTCTGAATATAATAGCAAAGAGGTAGTGAGAATTTTCAGGAACAGCTAAGCAATAAGTCAAGCTTTACAAGGTCTAAGCAGCAGTGATGATCAATCTATACAGTGATAAAGAGGATACAAATTCATGGGAATCATTGTTGTAGAGTTGTGTGTATGTGTGTGCATGCTTGTGTGTGTGCTTGTGTGTGGCTTTGTCACAGATCTACCAGAAAATACTGTAGCTTCCTTTAACATGTGATGAACTTGTAGAGAAAACTGAAGAATATTGGTTATGTTTTTTGAGTTTTAATTTAGGTTCTAGAGTTTTACTTTTGAAAATATTACTGCAGTGTCAGCCTACAAAAGAATTTTAAGTCACAATTTTGTTTAAGAACATTCCTTTTTGGGTTCTATGGGTATATTTGTGATAATTGTTATTCACATTCATCATACACGCATGCTCTTTTCACCTTCCTCTTCCATTCTGCCTTTATTCCGTTCACGCTGTGTTCCTTTATTGGGTCTTCTCTCCAGCTGACATGCATACACCAGCTTCTGAAGCTCTGTGATCTTCTCTGACTGTGCAAATTAGGGCCCCATAGGAAGTCTCAGCTTCACATGGTCTACTCCTGTCTGAGATCCAGACCCCTAGGAACTGGACCAGGATGAGTCTCAGGCATAGATAAGAGAGGTAAACACTCAAGACTTGGAGGTACTTTTTCATGCTCTACTCACCCCTGCTGTGCAAATAGATTTCCACCCATAGCTTTTCTTAAAAGTGTCTTGTAGATTAATGCATTTCAATCTTTAAGTGAAGAATATTGAAATTCATGTACTTGGAGATGTTCTGTGTTAAGATATGTGTAGAGAAAACTTGAACTGTGATTTTCCTCTACTCTCACACCACAATAATCATCAATACAGAAGACTTCTGTGACCATATTTGGGGGTGGGGAGAGTTCTCCCCATACACCAAGCAGTGGACACCAACTGAGAGGCCTCTAATTCAGTTCCAACATTATCTACCCAGAGACAGTGTCATATCCCACAGATTGATGGCTCAGTCCCCAAGACTTCCCCCAACCCCCAACACACCAGTCGAAAGTTCGGCCCTCCAGAAATTCTAATCAAAGTGCCAAACTTTTGGCTTCAAGTTGGGGTTCCCATGACCCCTTCTTTGGGTTGGATTAATATGCTGGAGCAGCTCACAGAGCTCCGGGAAACACTTATTTACATTTACTGATTTATTATAAAGGATATTGTAAAGGATACAGATGAAGAGATGCATAGGGCGAGAAATAGGGTAAGGGGCACAGGGCTCCCATGCCCTTCCTGGGCGTGTCACCCTCCAGTAACCTCCATGTGTTCAGCTATCTGGAAATTCACTGAACTCTGTCCTCTTGGGGTTTTATGGAATCTTCATGATGTCAGCATTCATTCCCCCACAGTATAGGGTGGGACCCTCTCATGGGAGAGTCTTAAGACTCACAATCAGAAAGGCAGGCGAACATTAGAGTCCTGCTTTAGGGCAGGTGAAAGCAGAGCAGAAAGTCAGAGGCTGCCCCTGAGGCCTAACACACCCAGCATTATAACCAAGGAATGGCTATGGGAGTTAGAAGCCAGGAGCTCTGGATGAAAACCAGTATATATCATAACACTGCAAGATGTTAATGCCTGTGTATATTTGGTATGAATTAGTATATCAGATATCTTTCCAATTCAGCAGCTAACAAGAATGGGGATAGGTGGAGATGGACACATGTAGTGGGGAGCCTTTGTGTGGAGGCTGTTACATATGACTTTGAGAATTACTAGAATATTCTTATCTAACATTTAAGGCCCTTAACTTACTCATAGTACGCATCTTCTGCTTCCATTAGAATTTTAAGTAAACACAATTATTTGCCTTTACATTATTATTATGACTTCAGTAAATTGGTTAATAACCAATATATTAAAAAGCAAAGGGTTTTGCTAAGAAAAATATTTTTGATATTTTCTACAAATATAGTTTTAAATAAAATATCTATTATAAGTTTTAAAATGGCTAATCTGATTTTTCTGTCTTTTCTTCATCTTTATATGTTTGTCATTTATCAGTGGCTCACATCTCAGTATAATATCTCGATAAAATGTATTTTCTCCTTTTTAAATATTTTTATATTCTCATCTGTTTTTATGGCATGTTACTGCATGTCTCCAGAGGCACACAGCATTTTTATTTTCAAGTAAATTTATATTAGTTACAGTCTCCAGCTGTTTTAGATATAGGATCATTTCCTGTTGGTACTGTTTCCAGGACAATTCTTTTTTTCCCCTCTCACAAAAATGAAAAATGTAATTTAACAAAGACATCCTATAATTGCCTTCATATCTAGCAATCTAAATACTTTATTTTATTTAAAACATCTGTCTACATAATATCTAGTGATTATCCAGGGGTATATCATTCTTGAGAAAGGCAGCTGCTGTCATTTTTATTTAATTTATAAGGAACCATCAAAAATGCATCCTTAATATAGAGTCTTATGCCACTATGTCATATATAAGATTTTTTAATGAGGATATCTTACATTTTTGGTGCTTGCAATTAATTTAGGCTTTTTTTCAAATTGGAAAAGACCATCATTTTAAAAATCACTATGGAATTATTTTGTAAGAATAGTAATCTTTTGCTACAGATATCAAATTATAATGAAAATGGTGGTATGCTCCTCTACTCATGTAACTAGCCTTACACAGGAATCATATTTTAATTGCTAAGCTTTTTTAATGTCATTTGTCTATAGTGCATTTTCTTTTCATTTATAATAAAAAGTGAAGTCTTTTTATTGTGATGTCTTTCTGCTATATAAGCAGTCAGTTGATATTTTCTTGTTATTTTTCAGAAAATGCATGGAGAAATATAGCAGCTTCTATAAAAGCTCTTTGTTTTGAGGGTAATACTGAAATTTGCTTGTAGAGGAACCCATTTATAAATTCTGTTTATCGTGCATGACCCTCGGAGCCTAAAATGGAGTGTTTAACTTTTAATAGATTGTATCAATTTAGGCTCAGCTGAATGCCAAAAACAACAGACACCCAGGTTTACAATAGTGTGTCTAAATGAGAAAGTTTACCTTTTCCAAGGGAGTAATCAAAATATTCCTTTTTGGAACACTAAGAGTATGAAAGGGAAATGATTATGGTTCCCTACTGACACACTGTTATGATTGACAGGAAAAACCAACATGCATGCCACCTGAGACATCTTGTTCAGGAACTTTCTGGAGGGTAGTAAATTGGTGTTGGCACAAACACAAAAAAATAAAATGACTTGATTCAGCACTTTTCAATTCTAAATCCCCAAATACTAAAGAAAGAAGTAAATATTCATCAAATGATCAAAATTTATATTGATTTTTATTCTACATTAGCAGCTCAAAGTCGAGATTCTTGACAGGGTGGGTGTCGGTTTGAATGATTCTCTTTGAAATGAGGATATAGGCACTGAGCTGAGTGCTACTGTGCATTCCTGAACCATAGGTCCTGATTATTAGAACCCTAGGAGGCTAAATTTTTAAAAGAACAGTATAAAGGCACACTTGTTTGGTTCTGTTTTGATAAATAAATTGTTATTATTAGTATGTAAAGTAATTCTTGTTGTTCCTGCTTCATTCTTTTCTCTCTATCACCATTTAAGGACAACTATTTTATAGAATTTCAGAGGAACTAGTGTGCATGTCTTGCAGTCATAGAGTTAATAGCAGTGTTTGCCAGCATAATTGTACTTAGGAAGGAAGTGCCAGTTCTACAGGGCAAGAGAAACTAAGATTGTATCTTCCTATTATACATCTTTGATGTTTAGTTTCTACCAGAAAGTAAATAAGGATTTGCTGTAGAGGAATTTAGAAGATGGGAGTAAGGATGCTGCCATAGAATATAAACAGAGGATGCCTATGTCATTGTGCAGAGATTTGCTAAGGAAACAGTAATGGAGTGACATCAAAAATTCTAATCATCGTCTTCAGTCCACACAGTATATTTGCACTCCCTTCCCACCCTAGCTCATGACATAAAATGCGGAATTTTTAATGATTTTTAACTACAGGCATTACAAAAAGGAGAGGGTGGTAGTAGATAAAAGCTCTTCACAAATGCAATAGTTTGATATGTTTGTTTGATATATTTGTTCTTCATGTTTGTTAGGTGGAGGTGTTTTGTTGCTGTTACTTTTAATAAACATCTCATCTGTCATTAAAATGGAGGAAAGGATGTTTTTCTTTATGCACAAAAAGAAGAAATAATGGAAATGGTGTTAATGTTAATTTCTCAACTTTGTGTTTAAATGTTTACCATTTAACAAATATCATTAAGGAAACAGCTTTAAAATTGAATTTCCTAAACATTATAGTGAATGTTTCTAATAATTTGCAAACAACAGGTCAATAGAAATAAAAATGAATTTTTAAAGTAATGTATTATTTTTTACTTAAATCATTTATCTTTTGCAGTTGTCCTGACTTTATTAGACATGAGATTTGTAAATAAACCTTGAGAACCTAAGGCTAGGTTTTTTTGGAACTGCCAATATGATCAGTTTTATGATTAGTTTTGTGATTATGATTAGTCTTCTGATAATAGTTTTATGATCAGTTTTATGATTAGTTTTATATCCTAACCTACAAAGATTAGTATATGCAGTGGTCTTTGCTGAGTAATAATATTGAAATAACTTTGATATTATTAAATTTTTGATATATACTTAATTTTTGACAAGGGAAGATATTTACATTTTTTAATACTTTTAGAACTCTCTTATACAATAATTAAAATAACATTCCAACAAACTTAGTAAGTCTTTCTTTGGCAATATCTTTGAAGTATAATATTGGTCTTACCCTTGAATGAATATTTGAGCTACTATTATGTAGTATAGTTTTTCTGTGATTCTAGGTTATACATTCCCTGAGGGTTGATACTGTGTCTGATCCAGATTTGTTTGTATCATGCACAATGTCTTACCCCTAAGAGACACTCAAGATGTATTTGTTGAATGAATAAATGAAGGGCCTGAATCAACTTTACTCCAAATAAATACATTGCTCCTTTAGTCCTATGACTCCCTGCTCTGATTCTGTAGAAGGAAGCTTTGGCATCCATGCAGGACTAGAAGAACAACATGAGATTCTCATTCATTGTAATACCAAATGTTATTTGTATTTAGCTAGAATGTAGCTAATCATGGTATGTGAATAAATGCCTGTAGAGAGTTTGTTTCTGGACAAAGGAAGTGCACTTAGAATAAGGTGAGTTATTTTAGGAAATTATGAACCACCAACAATGACAACAAAAGCAAAAACACACAAAATAAACATGATCTTAGAAAAAAGCAGTGGAAAGGTAATAATTCTAAATCCTGGAATGAGTATGGGCACTCTGCCAAACAAAAGAGTAGATATTTCCAAGTGTATTCATCCATTCTCACGCTGCTAATAGACATACCCAAGACTGAATAATTTATGAAGGAAAGAGGTTTAATTGACTCACAGTTCTGCATGGCTGGGGAGGCCTCAGGAAACTTACAATCATGGCAGAAAGGAAAGTAAACACATCCTTCTTCACATGGCGGCAGCAAGAAGAAGTGCCGAGCAAAAGGGGAAAACATAGGTGGGCATGGTGGCTCACCCCTGTAATCCCAGCGGTTTGGGAGGCTGAGATGGGCAGATCACTTGAGGTCAGGAGTTTGAGACCAGCCTGGCCAACATGGTGAAATCCTGTCTCTATTAAAAATACAAAACTTAGCTGGGTATGGTGGCGGATGCCTGTAATCCCAGCTACTGGGGAGGCTGAGGCAGGAGAATCGCTTGATCCCAGGAGGCTGAGGTTGCAATGAGCCAAGATCTTGCCACTGTACAGCGGCCTGAGTGACAGAGTGAGACTCTGTCTCAAAAAAAAAAAAAAAAAGCCCCTTATAAAACTGTCAGATCTCATGAAAACTATCACAAAGCCCCTTATAAAACTGTCAGATCTCATGAAAACTATCACAAGAATAGCAGGAGGGTAAATGCCCCCAGGATTAAATTACATCCCACTGGGTCCCTCCCATGACACATGGGGATTATGGGAACTACAATTCAAGATGAGATTTAGGTGGGGACACAGCCAAACCATATCACCAAGTGTAGATTCTAATCAACCCTGGAAGTCCTTGGGAGGGTCCATGAGGGTCTTGAGACCTGAAGGTCTTTCCAGAAGAAGGAAGCATTCTGGACTAGTTGCTAAAGGGGATACTATTAGGAGGAAAGAAGGGAAACATAGTAAGTATTTTTGTAAGGAAGCAAAGGAAAAGACAGGTGCTTAGATATACTGCATTGAAGGTAAAAAAGATTGTGTAGTAAAAGAAGGAAAATGTCCCCAGTAACAAAATTATTACCAAAAAAGTAGGGTTTCCTCCCATTATATTGAAGGATCCCTGTGATCTTGAGCTAGTGTGGACTCTTCCAAATACAAACTCTGCCATTGTTGGTGTCTCCTCCAAAAGCCCAAATGGCTCATGAATTAAAGAAGCTTTTTTTTCTTCTTTTTTTTTTCCCTGGGAAGAATAGTAAACAAGTTCTATATTTCAATTATTTTATTTTCTGTCAAAGAAAAAAGTCTCCTTCTTAAGGGAGAATAAAGCCAACAATTTTTAAAATGAAGCTGAGGCTTCAGCCTTCAAACTAACTGTTTTATTTCTTTGTACATTTGAAATCATTTTAGATGTTCAAACTCAGTAAAATTTATTCAATTTGTATTGAGTGTCTTATCACATATGCTGTGCTGGGTGCTAGGGATAAAGCAGTAAACACATAAACAAAACCTCCTGCCCTCATGGAGCTTTCAATTCACTGAGGGAAGATGGACAATATAAAAAAAAGTGACATGTTCAGCTACATGTGATAAGTATGTAGGAAAGAGGATAGGGATTTCTAGGGGTGGGGGTGAGTTGTAGTTTTAAGTAGCAGGTCAGGGAAGACTTGGATGCAAGAGGTTATCTCAGCAAAGACTTGAGAGAAGTGAGGGACTGAGCTGTCGTGCAAACACAAGCAAATGCCCCGAGAGCACACCCACCAGCCCTGCTGAAGCAGGCTAGACTAGGTTGAGGACCAAGGACTGACCACTGCATGAGGAATGTGGACCAAAATCTGATTGGGGTGTGTTCAAGAGAGAAAGAGGAGGTTTGTTGTAAACAGCAAGTATAAACAATTCAAGTAAAAATGGTTTTGCTATAATGGAGAACAGAGAAATGGAAAAATGACTAGAAGATAGATTGGCGGCAATGGATTATTTTTCTTTTTCTCTCTATTTTTTTTTTTTACCGATGGAAAAACAACGGCATTTTTTGGGCTAATGTGCAATAGGAATAATACAGTAGAGAAGAAAAAACTTGATGCAGGAAAGAAAGGCAATTTTGGGGGGTGATCATCTTTGTGTAGGTCAGGGAAGTCTGGTACCAAAATGCAAGGGATTAGCCTTAGAAATATGGACAGCTTCTGTAGAAACAGAAGGAATAGCAGAGGACGTGCACCCAGATGCAGATAGGCAGTAGTAGAGGTGGTGAGAACTACGAAGTCTAGTATGAGTGAACAGGGAGATCTACAATGGTATGAGTTAAGAAAAAGTAAAATGGATTTTAATATTTTCAGGATGCTTAACCCAACAAAGAATTCTGGGACGTGAAGTGATAAATCAGTCAAATTAGCAAAAAGCAAACTAAAAATTGCTTTTTATGACAAAGATAAAGCATTAGGTCTATATGTGATTATAAAAGTGCTTATGTGTTTAATCCTTCGAGTTGATTAGATTGACTGAAATTTCCTCCCCCAAATGTGTTATACACTATATTATTATTAGTTACACACACAAGATCAGAGGGAAGTATATGACTGAGTAATGATCCAGGCATTGAATTTGGGTCACCACATACCGAGCCAAATTTCCATAAAATATTTTAGCAAACTGCATTTTGTGTCCTTATTAAATTATTAAGTATTAATTTGTAGTCTGAATTTGAAAAGGAGTATCTCTAGTGATTTAGGTGCTAAATGCATACAAAATAAAGGGGGGAAACATGCTGTTATTGATAAATAGCAAAGCAATTGTATTAAATCTCAGATGAGAAGGCAGCATTTCTAACATGATTAGGCTGCCATAACAAAATACCACAGACTGGGTGGCTAAACAGCAGAAATTATTTCTCACAGTTCTGGAGGCTGGAAGTCCAAGATTGAGGTGTCTGCAGGTTTGATTTCAGGTGAAGCCTCTCTCCTTGGCTCACAGATGGCCACCTTCTTGCTGTGTTCTCATATGGCTGTTCCTCTGTGCATGCACACTTCTGGTATCTCTTCCTCTTCTTACAAGGACACCAATTCTATTGGATTGGGACCCCCACCCTTGTGACCTCGTTTAACCTTTATTGCCTTCTTAAAGATTCTATCTCCAAATATAGTCACATTGGGGGTTAGGGCTTCAACATAGGAATTTGGGGGTGAGGGGACATAATTCAGTCCATAATATTATGTTAAAAGTTTACCAGAGGTACTAGTTACTAGAATCTCTTAGGCATTCCCACTATTTGGTATGGTGGGCATCCAGCCTGATAGGAACTGCTGATTCAACTTCTTGATGCAACTTTCTCCAAGTACACCAGCCAGTAGGAGCTATACCAGCATATTTGGACTAATCCATTAGGCGACTATCTTGTCATGACAGAAAAAGAGAGATAGAGGAAGATTAAGGCCATCACAGAAATGACAATAGCTTCCGCTGGCACTTCATTGTGGCCAAGATAGCATACAAATTTTCTAACCTGGCATCCTCCATCGTCTATCCACTTTAGCCTCTATATCCAAATGCCCCAAAGCTCCAGCCACCATTCTCTGAACATGCCACATCCTTTCACAACTCTGCGCCCCTGAACAAATGAGTTACTCTGTCTATGAAGATATCTATCTGTTTCTTCACCTGACAAGGTCAGACCCATTATCTCAGTTTTGGCTCCAATGCCACTTCTGTCAAGCCTCTGCTCCATACCCCCAACCCCCACCTTCAAACAATAAATTATTTTTATTTCTCATCCTTCCCTACAATAATTTCACTTGGACACTTGTAGTTATCTGTTGGCATGGCTCTCTCTTCTACCACACTGCGGTGCCTCAGGAGAAGTAACTAAGTTTTCTTCTTCCTTGTTCCCACAGTTCTTGGTACAGTTCTTGAGATATGAGAAAGTCTCAGTAAACATATGAGTAATAAATGGATGAATGCAGCTGGGTGTGGTGGCTCATGCCTGTAATCCCAGCACTTTGGGAGGCTGAGGCAGGTGGATCATCTGAGCCCAGGAGTTCAAGACCAGCCTGGCCAACATGGTGAAACCCCATCTCTACTAAAAATACAAAAATTAGCTGGGTGTGGCAGCAGGCACCTGTAATCCCAGCTACTTGGGAGGCTGAGGTAGGAGATTCGCTTGAACCTGGGAGGTGGAGGTTGCAGTGAGCCACGATTGTGTCACTGCACTCCAGCTTGGGCAGTAGAGTGAGACTCCATCTCAAAATAATAATAATAAATGGATGAATGCAAGAATGTACAACTCATCCACTGAGCAATTATTTACTGAGCCCCTGTCATGTTCCAGATATTGCCAGGGTACTGGGAATGCAAAATGGCAAAGGAGACAGAAACAATCCTTTATGGAGTTTGGGGTCTAGAAAAAGAGACAGAAAAAAATGTAAACCAGCAAATGCAAGAATTTTAAATTTTGATATGTGTTATGAAGGAAATTAATCTGGATATGAAATAGAGGAAAAATAGAGTGGATCTACTTTTGATAAGTTAGGCAAGGCCTCTCTGAGAAGTAGCATATCAGCTGAGAGCTGGAAAGATGAGAAGACATTAGCAAGACAATGTTCCAGTGAAAGGGAACAATACGTGCAAAGGTCCTGAGGCAAGAAAGGGCTGTTTAAAGAACTAGAATGTTTAAAGTGTTGAAATAAGGCAAGGATGACAGGGGCATGGTGATCAAGAGGGAGACTGGTAGGAAACGTGGCCTAAGGTCAGCAGGAACCAAATATCCTAGGCCATGGGTAGAATTTTGTTTTTTAGGTCTGAATGCAGTCTAAAACCAGCTCATGTTTTATAAAGACTACTTTGGCCACTATAAGAGAAGAGATTAGAGGTCTAAGAATGAGCGAAGGGAGATACGTGTTAGAAGATATTTGCTGTACTGCAGGTGAAAGATTATGAAAGCTTGGAGTAGGCTGGAAGCAGTGCAGATTGGAGAAGGAGACTGCAGAGACATTTTAGAAGAGGAGTCAACAACTTAGGGAATAACCTGCTAAAGGAAATGAAGAAGAGGAAGAGTCAAGAATGACTCTCAGGTTTCTGACATGAGCAATAGACAGTACCATTTGTTTAAAACGAAAGGTTTTATTTTATTTAAAGGCCTAAGTACAGAAAGGTTTGGGGGATGTGGTAAGGATGAGAATGAAGGGTTCTGTTTTAAATAGTAAGGTCTAAAGAAACCCAAGTAGCGATGTCAGGTGATTGGAGGTGATTGGTTGGATATATAAGTATGCAGCTTAGAGAAGAGGATTGGAAGGCGTTACTACTTAGTTGGCATTTAAAGCCATGGAAGAGAGTATAGATAGAGAAAAGTGGCCCAGAATTGAGCCCACAAACAACAACACACCAGTGATGTCAACTGTCATTCAAAAAGATCATTGAACAATAAATAAAATGAATTTTGGGAGGGAGAATGACTGATAATCCATTATACTGGGTGAGCCAGTGGTAATGAAGGCCTAGACTACAGTAAGTGAAAACTGATCTTTTTTCTCTTCTCATTGTCAGCTCTCTCCCATGGCATTCACACTTCATCTCCTAATGGCAACCGTTGCCTGTAGGTTTGTATTTCAGTACTAATATTTCCACTTGCTTGCTGAATATCTCATTCTGAGCATCCCACCAGTACCTTAAATTAATAGACTCATATAAATCCAGCCGATTTCTCCCATCCACTTGAATTGCTCTTCCTATATTCCTACTCCTATTGATGGCATCATGGGTCTTTTAGTGACCTAGAAGGGAAGAGGGGATTCCATCACCGAGTCTTCTTCCCCAACCCCCTATTTAATGAGTAAGTTGCCAAAGTATTTTGATGGTGCATCTTAAATATTATTTAATCATGCTAAGTTTCCATGTGTAAAATATAGTCACTTTTTAAAGTATCCATTGTTATAGATGCTAATAATTTTTTTTAACCAGAGATTGTTACTGTTTTTAAAGAACTAAATTTTCTTCAACTCTTTCTCTTAAAAATTTATCTTTGGACTAAAATATAGTCTGATAAAAAGTTAAGATAGTCTGCAGAAAGATTTAGACTGGCAAAGCCATTCAACCTTAGTAGGAGGAACTACTTTGGTTCTATTTTTATCATCTCATTTGGGAATGAATCACTGAAAACAGAAATAGAAATAGAGATGGATAAGAAAGACCTGGGCCATCTAATTCATCTCCTTGTTAGTGCAGGGAAGTTTCCTTTGACAAATGCTTGTGAGATATTATGCAGTAAAAGTCATAGATTATAACATTTCAATCATTTTGTAAGGTGACTATTTTTCGAGTTACTCTCAGCTTTGTTCTCTGAACTTCTTTTCACATATCCCTGTCATATGTGAAGTATATCTCTTTGTACACAGAAATGGCTGAGAATTACAGAGATGAATGCAGATTATTTTTCTGTAATGGTGTTGAGTCTAGATGAAGTTGACTTCTCTCGTTAGGATTGTTTTTGTGACCAGTGGCACACATTTGTGAGGTCATTACCCAGAATGAATCATGATCAAGCTTGTGACTTAGGATGGCTAAAAACTAACAGGAACCCTTAGATATCAAACACGTCCCTTGGTACCTAATGGCACAAATGCATTATTCTAATTGGGTCAGTGGAATACTTAGTGTGGGTATAATACTCGTTAAACTTTGTGGCTTTGCAGTGGAAGTAAAGGGGTGGCATTTGAGAGGAGTATTGTTCTTTGACTATTGCTCAATATCTCTGTAATCTCAATTTTCTCATAAAAATTTGTATGTTCTTTTAAAAGATTTTTTCTGTTGTGTTTCTGATTGTTGACTCTTTACATTTAGTTTTATCCTTTTAAAAATAAAATATTATTACATCAGTAGTTATTATTCTTTCAGGTTTCATGATGTTTGCAAACCTCTTAGTTGGCAGTCTTCTATATGTGCTGTTAACATTCTGCATACCTCCTCTTCCACATCATCAATAAAGATACTAACATCACTAGATCTAGCGTTTTCTTTGTGCCTTCCCACCAGCCATACCCCCTACTCCCAGCTGAATGTACTCCATATGACATTATCCTTTGTTTATAGTGTTTGACATAGTTCTTAATCCAATTGAGTGTCTTCTTATTCAAGTCAATTAGTTTGGGCAAGAACAGTTCACATGAACCAACAAATAGATTGCAGTTTTGATCTGATTCCTGAAACTTCAATTATATAACTATAGTTATTTTAGCAGTGTTTCTTTAAGTTCTTTCTCAGCAAACCAGAGCATTCATAATTAAGTACTTATAAAAAGCAACAACATAGGAATTCTGGAATGGTTTGAGACCTCATTTTTCTTTTTTTCTTTTCTTTTTTTAAATTGAGAAAGCGTCTCACTTTGTTGCCCAGGCTGAAGTGCAGTCATGCAATCTTGGCTCACTGCAACTTCCTTCTCCCAGGTACAAGTGATTCTCCTGCCTCAGCCTCCCAAGTAGCTGGGACTACAGGCATGCGCCCGGGTAATTTTTGTATTTTTAGTAGAGACGGGGTTTCGCCATGTTGGCCAGGCTGGTCTCAAACTCCTGACCTAAAGTGATCCACCCACCTCAGCCTCCCAAAGTGCTGGGATTGCAGGCATGCATCACCGCACCCGGCCTGCAAGACCTCATTTTTCATAGGCTACCCATTTCCTTTATAGAGTCCTAATTTGGAATTTAAGCAGCTGCCACTTTATAATATTCACTTTTTCTCCGTAGTCGAGGCTATAAAACTAGAGATCAGGCAAAAGGCCTTGGTCAGCTGTGGATACTAAGAGTAGAAGGTCACATCTGGCCCAACTTTTCTTCTTACGTGTTATGGAATTCTGGCGACTACTCAACAGCTGACCCAGAAATGTTCTTCCTAGAATATATAATAAAATTGTAAAGTAGAGATTTCAAGGTTTATCAGAAATGTTAATGGGCATGCTTGGATTTAGTGAAGCACACAAAAGAAGAGTCCTTTGGTCTACAATGTACATGAACTCAGCATTGCTCCTTTCCCTTTACTATGGCCAAGCATGTCCCTGAGAAGATATCATTCTCGGTCTCATCTGATGTTCTAGGGAACCTGAAAGCCACAGGAATCACAACAGCTGCAATAAATAAAGCATCTATTCAATACAGTTTCATGCCAAATATTATTCAGCATTCTTTTGGCCTTGGTTTGATAGAAAACAGCATGGTGAACTTACTACCTCTCCTTTACTACAGTGAGCCCTAAGTATGAAAGATGTAACAATTCAAACCTGCATGTAAATAAAATCACTGTTTGCATTACTTTAAAATTATTAAGACAGTAACACAGACAACCAAAAAATGTAGTAAAGTCTATTGTGATTGTTGAAGAGGTATTAGAATTAACACTAGGCTTTTTTATTCTCCATAGGGAAAATAGTAGAAAAATATTTAGAATATGTGTCCATGCAAATGTGTGGGTTGGAGGGGGATTTTTAAAAAATAAGTGCTACATATGTGACAACATAAGGAAGAACATTATTAAGGAATTTCACAGAATTTTTATGTAAAGTCTTATCATACAGTATTATGATCTCAGGGATATTTTGTGATATTTACAGAGTCTTCTGAGGGTTCATTTATTCAGGTCATATTTTAAGGAGGAACTTATAAGATTCAGATCTAAAATATAATTCTGTAATATGCCCAACTGATCCCATTAAATCCAACTCGAAAAGGAGCACTATAATGATGTGAAGAATTCCCATTCTTTGAGTTGTTACACCTCACTTGAAATGCATTCCTTCTGGATTAAAACAGCAATTTCTCTTTGTTTCTCTTTCCAGGCTGAGGTTCAACTATGCTACCTGGAAGCACAAAGAGATGCTGTTGAGCAGATGTCCCTCAAGCTGTACAGCGAGCAGTATACCAGCAGCAGCAAGCGAAAGGAAGAGTTTGCTGATATGTCAAAAGTTCATTCAGTGGGAAGCAATGGGTAGGGAACTATTCTTTTTGTTGTTTTATTCTCACTAATCTATTTTTTCAATGATTTTCCACTGGTAGGTGTTAGGAAGGTATTTCCTCTTTAGCAAACCGACAAGGAGAAGCTCAGTAGACTAGGCATTAATGTTCTTTTCCATTTGTGCCAGAATTGAAGACTGTGGATTTCATCAGCCTCTGCCATCTAACCCAGAACTTTCTGACTCATTATTAATTTTTAAAATACAGCGTTGTGATTTTATAAGTGTTTTTGTGACTACGATGTGCCTTTAGTATTGATCTGTCTTCTTTATAAATTTTTTCCTTGTATTTGCTCTTTTTTAGGTTTCACAATTTTATTTTAAAGCCTATTTAAGGACTTTTAAACACCAGAACCATTTTGGAAACTTAGAAGAACATAATTTTCCTGAATAGTGTAGAAATTTAATAATTGTTTAGAGACCATGGGCTAGCCACTTAGCTTCACATGAAGTCAATTGGAATAGACTAGCTCTTGCATTATCTATGGTATGTGAAAGGACCCAACACCTTCAGTGACCCATCAACAATTTCATTCAGCCTGAGACATACAGCTGTATTTATATTATACTAACTATTCATACTATTGAACAGTCAAGTCACATATTTAGATAATTCCAAATGACTTTTAAAATTATGTGAACGTTGTCTAAATATATGTGTATTTATATCATTGGAGCAGATAATTTTACAAAGCTAAATATATGTGTGTATATATGTATATTTTTAAAAAGTGTATATATTTTTTCTTTTTTCCAGCCCAATTGTAATATTTAATAGGTGATTTTAGAGAGTAAAAGGGTAGTGATGAAATTGAATTATTTCAGAGTATTAATAATTTGATAATAGTTATGCTCATAAAAATGGAAACAGTAACCTATTTTACTTTTAGACTTGTACCAGACAGCACAAAGGAGAAACTATTCCCCAAAGTTACATTACATGTTAATAACATTATATAAACCTATGGGATGTAACTCTAGCCAAAATATTTCTTAAAGTGACAAGAGGAAAGAGGCCTTTTCATGCACTGGTTTGCATTTATTTTTTTAAAGTGCTTATAGTTCTGACTGGAACTACAATCCTCATATAAAGTTTTGGGATAAATTAAGTACACTGATGAAAAATTCTTTCTTATTGTAAAAACCCATTGTCTAAGAATATAGGAAATAACTCCTGTATTCTTAGTCATTCAGAGTCATAATTGAGAGTCATAATTCTGTTTAGGAAATGAAAAGGGAGTTTTCAAGTTTTCACATTTACCTATTTCTATAACTTGTTGCTCCATCAGTATATTTTAATACATGAGACATATTATATATGTAGTCAATTCATCTTACTTGATTCAGTAGTCATTTATTCACCAGAGGAAAAACATAGCAGCAAATAAGAAAGAAAAGGTTAAATCTTGAAGCATGAACAATAAACTGCTTTGAGGCCTTAATGTGCTTTAATTTCTCTAAATGCCTAAATAGCCTCTGGTGTACATGCAAGCACAAACTTTAGGTCACATTTTCATGTTTTGTAAAAGCCCTGGGGTTTGAGCAGTACCACGTGCTTCTGACCCCAGATTCCAGGGACCCAATCTGAGCACTCACTCTGGGCTCCACAAATCATAAATCTGCCCTGGGAATTGCTTAGTTAACAACAAGCATTGTTCTGTGAAGTGGGAGTAGGTGAACTTGCCTGATATCCTTTGTTTATGCTCCTTGGGGTGCTGAAGGCTGTGCATTGTGCAGAAATTTAAGAGTGCACTGAAAGAAAGCCAGCTATTTAATACTAAGGACAAAAACCATATACTCCTTTCTATTTTCTGTTTACATACAGAAAAGCATTGTTTGAGAAATGCATGTGAGTGAGGTTATCTGGGGTGTCCTGCCCTTAAAACTGTCTGTTCCCACAGTCAAATCCTTAATTCTAAAGCCTTAAGAAAGTAGCTTTGTAAAATTATCTGCTCCAATGATACATAAACTTCATTAATCATTCTTTTTGTTACATAGAATGAACATTGTTTCCAATAAGTAATTGTGGGAATGGTGTGGGCTTTCAAGGATCTTCATTCCACATGCATATATCCAATACACTAAAGAGAAAATTAAGTTGGTGATACAATTCGTATCATTTTATTTCCTTCTCATGCCTACAAGCATGCTAAAAAGATTATATGTACTAATGTAGCTGAAAAATGAATCAGACTACTCCAGGGAAGACTGAGCTGCTACACTGAATGGTGATCTTAAGTTTCTGAGAATTTTATGTAACCAAAATAACTTTTAGAAATGAATATATAACCTCTTTAGCCTGACAAAAAGGTATGTTATCAAGGTGATACATCACAGCTTATATAGTATACAACTATGAATTGTGTGGTTAGCAGTTATGAATATATGTGATAGGAAGATTTTCCCTGAACGTATGTGAGGCTGTATGAGTTCTAGTAACAGAGTTTGTTCACCTGTGGGGAACAGTTGGCACTGGCTCCAGCATCCCAAAGTGGAACCATAGCTCCTGGAGGGACCTGCAGTGTGTGAGTCTCCGGTGATTATCAACAGTAGCAAAAGTCAGTGCTTTTCAATTTAGGTGAAAGCACTTATCAGTTGCCTTTTTTTCATCCAATAAATATTCATTGAGGGCCTACTATGTGCATGGCATGATGCTCTGAGCATAGTTTATCAAGAACAATTACTTTCTGTATATTTTGTAAAGTATAACCATCTCTTTTTCAGATACCTTTTCCTATTGAGAGGTTATCTGACTTTATTTTTCTAATGAATTTCAAAGATTCAGTTTAATTTGCTAAGTAGTATCATTCTTGATGTCAGAACTCAGTGTAGATTAAAAACCATGTCTTTTCTTCAGTCTGTGTAAAGGAGAGAACTGAGAGGCAAAGATAGAAAGTTTAAAGTGGAGCTAAGACCTCGACTCAGCACTCTGGGTCAAGAATGCAGAAGGTAATCTATAAAGTCACTCTTTGCCCTCTCTGTAAGGATTTATCTGGACTCTTAATAAGCTTTTCCCCCAAATCTGGTGTTGTGCATATTCCATACTGTATGAAATTTGAACTAAGGTATCTTCCTACTATGGAGAAATGGAAGTCTTAAGTAGAGTTCATTAAAACCACACAGAAGTTTGGGCAAAACATTGCAGAGCAGGTTTAAATCAAAACAAAATTAACTCATTCATTAATTTGACAAATTTTTTTTTTTTTTTTTTTGAGATAGGGTCTCATTCCCATTGCCCAGACTGGAGTGCAGTGACATGATCTTGGCTCACTGCAGCCACAGCTTCTTGGCTCAGGTGATTCTCCCACCTCAGCCTCCTGAGTCACTGGGACTACTGGGGTGGGGCACCATGCCCAGCTGATTTTTTGTACTTTTAGTGGAGACAAGGTTTCACCATGTTGCCCAGGCTGAATTTGACAAACATTTTAAAGTACCTTCTATATGTCAGGCTCTATGAAGTGCAGAGATTAAAATGGTGGAAATGAAATGGTTCCTACATTTCAGAAGCTCACAGTTTGTTAGGAGGAACCAGATCTCTGTAAACAGCGTGGAGTAAAGGATTTTAAGTGTCAAGTTAGAAATATGTGTAGGGAAGAGGGGAGGGCTCATTGAAGGCAGAGCTCAATTCTGACTGTGTCAAGTAGAATTAGAGCAGGTCAGGAAAGACAGCAGAGAGAGAGGGCTCTGGAGATGGTTTTTGAAAGAGGGCTAGGTCGGCAGAAGTGCTTCTCAATTTAACCTGAAAAACACATATTGAGCACCTACAAAGACATACCACAGTCTCTGCCTTCATTGAATTTACAGTCTAGCAAGAGAGTGTGGCATGAAGCCGATACTGATCTGTGCAGTGAGAGAGAAGGGGAAATAGAGAATGCTAGGGAACTTAGAGCAAACAGGATGAGCTCTCGCAGGCAGGGCTGCATCTTTCATGTTCACTGCACTCTCTCCAGCATCTGGCGCAGTGCCTGGCAAGTGCTAGGTACCCAGTAAATGAATGGATGCATGAATGAATAAATAAAACTGATCTGGGGCTAAAAGGGAGGAAAGGTCTGGAATCATCAGACTGCTTGCTGTTTCATAGGACTGAAGAGGAGGATTGAAGTTAGAGGAGGTGTGGAAAATAAGGCTTTGGAAGAAGGTGAAGTCCAGAGCCAGAAGTTAATCATTGAATTCATGGTTCTTAACCGAGATAGTGCATCAGGATGACCTGTGGAGCTTTTAAGTAGAAAAAAGCCAGCCTGCCCGACCCTACTGAAAATTTTGATTCAGTAGGCAGAAGAAGATGATAGTGATTAGGTTCTAATGCTCACCACCAGTTGAGAACCATTGCTTCAGTGGTTTTCAAAGTATGGTCTCTGGACCACCAGCAGCAGTATCTCCTAGGAATTTGTTAGAAATGTCATTTCTAGGTCTCACTTCAGACCTATTGAACTAGAAAGTCTAGGGGTGGAGACCAGCAATCTTTGTTTAACAAGCATCCCAGGTGATTCTTTTTTTTTCTTTTTTCTTCCTTTTTTTTTTGTTTTTGAGACAAAGCCTTGCTCTGTCGCCCAGGCTGGAGTGCAGTGGCGTGATCTTGGCTCACCGCAACCTCCGCCTCTTGGGTTCAAGCGATTCTTGTCCCTCAGTCTCTCAAGTGTCTGGGATTACAGGTGCACACCACCATGCCTGGCTAATTTTTGTATTTTTAGTAGAGACGGGGTTTCGTCATGTTGCCCAGGTTAGTCTCGAACTCCTAACCTCAAGTGATTCACCCACCTCAGCTCTCCAAAGTGCTGAGATTACAGGAGTGAGCCACCGCACCCAGCCCCTCCCAGGTGAATCTAATGCTGAAGTTTGAGAAGCACCGCTTTGGGCATTAGAGACTTTTAGGTTGACAGTTAATGGAGCATGTGGAGACTAGATGGAGACTGAAGCCAGAAAGTATCAGTAAACCTCAGTGGTCCACAGGATGAAGAGAGTGAGGGAGAAGGAACCATTCTGATGCCCCAGTTATTGGCTCAAAGAGAAAGAAAACAGGAATACTTGGATTCAAATGACTTTGGTGTCATCCAGCATGTGATATTTATTTAGCACCTATTAAGTGCAGGCTGTGTTAGGCACTGGGGACATAGAGGCAGTGGGACACAAAAGGTGATAGGTATATGGAAATCAGGAAAACCTTCCAGAAGAAGTGTCATGGAGGATGGCCCAGGGTCAGAAATGACAAGGGTGTTTCTCACAGAGGAGGCAGTGTGTGCAAACAGCCAGAATCACTAAGTGATGCCCAGCATGACTAGATTGGTAGTTTGCAACAATTATCTGCTAACTGTGTGGAGAACAGATTGGTTAGGCCTAGGCTAGACAGTGCTCAGATAAGAGGCTCTTCCAGTCATTCAAATAAGAAATAGTCCCTGAGCTAAGACAACAGCAATAGAAACTGAAAGAAGGAAGCTGCATTGACAAACCTTGGTTACTGGGTAGATGGGGTTGTTGAGGGAGGGGCTATTTGAGAATGGACCTCCGTATTTCAGACTTGGGCACTCTAGGAGACAGATGTGGCATTCACTGAGGAGGGGAATGCAGAGGAAGAATAACAGGGAGGAAAAGCAGAGTATTTGAGACATAGTTCTTTCCATGGTCTCTGAAGCATCCAAGTAGAAAAACCCAGGAAGCAGAACTGGAGCTCAGAAATGTTTTGGCTTCCTCAGCCAACATTAAGGACAGTGTGGTAACTATGGGGTAGCAGAGGCTGAGAGAGCCAAGAATTTACCTTGTGGTAAACTATGCCCTCCCTGCCAGGTGAACATAACATTGTCTTTAAGGAATGCTTATTTTAAAACTATAGGTAAGCAGAACATTTTCATTTCAGTTAGAGTTTTTCCTGCTGTAATATGCAAGAATTACAAAATAAAGACTACACCATTGAGAATTCCAGGTAGTATCTTGATTGACAGAATTGAGGAGTACGGTTGACTATTATTTTCTCTCTTAAAGCTGTAGGTAAAAAGCTCCTGATCCTAGATATAAGATTGCATTGAGTCTGCTCAGATTGCTTCCAACTACACAAATAATGTTTATTTTTAGGGGTAAGTCATGCATTCACTGTAGTCTAATTTCCTAAGAGGAGAGAGAGAAACTAGATTAAAAATTAAGAATAGAATTCAAGTTAGCTCTCTGCTACTTTTTAGCTATGGAACCTTGATTGGGACATTTAACCTCACCAAGATATGATATCTCAGTCTATAAAATGAGAATCATTATCCTAGTGTACTTCATGTTTTTTTTTTTGAGAAAGGAAATGCAATAGTAGGAAAATATCTAAAATACCTAGAATGCAATAAATAATATGAAAAATCATTAACGAAATATTTATTTTCCAACTACTGTGTTGCAGACAGTAGTATGAGATGCTAGCAATGAAAAAGATACGTAAGACTTAATCTCTATGGTATTCAGTGTAGTGAGAGAGAGAGACATTTAGATACATCCTTATAGAACAATGGGCGGGGCTGGGCACAGTGGCTCACACCTGTAATCCCAGCACTTTGGGAGGCCAAAGCAAGAGGATCATTTGAGCCCAGGAGTTCAAGACCAGCCTTGGTAACATAGTAAGACCCCCCCCTACCAAACCTACAAAAAATTTTTTAAGTAGCTGGGCATGGTGGTTTGCATCTATGGTCCCAGCCACCTAGGAGGTTGAGGCAGGAGGATTGCTTGAGCCCAGGAGGTTGAGGCTGCAGTGAGCTTTGATAATGCCACTGCACTCCAACCTGGGAGACAGACTGAAACCATGTCTCAAAAAATAAATTACTTAATTAAGAAAGGGGAAAATTTAAGATACAGAGTGTTATGGGAATACTGAGAAGGGCTACCTAATCCAGCCTAGCTGAAAGGGGTCAAGAAGGCTTAGTGGAGGAGGGAACATCTGAGCTGTCTTAAAGGATGCATAGATTTTAGCCATTAGAAGAGGTCTGGCCGGGTGCGGTGGGATTACATGCCTGTAATCCCAGCACTTTGGGAGGCCGAGGCGGGCGGATCACGAGGTCAGGAGATCGAGACCATCCTGGCCAACATGGTGAAACCCCATCTCTACTAAACATACAAAAAATTAGCCAGGCATGGTGGTGGGCGCCTGTACTCCCAGCTACTAGGGAGGCTGAGGCAGGAGAATGACATGAACCCTGGAGGCGGAGCTTGCAGTGAGCCAATATCCATGCCATTGCACTCCAGCCTGGGCGACAGAGCGAGACTCCATCTCAAAAAAAAAAAAAAAAAAAAGAGGTCTGTGCAGTTCAAATGGCTTTTATTCAAGTCAGGCAATAACAAATGCTGGCGAGGATGTAAAGCAAAGGGAACCCTCATACACTTGGTGGGAATCTAAATTCGTACAACCACTATGGAGAACAGTTTGGAGGTTCCTCAAAAAGCTAAAAATAGGGCTACCATACAATCCAGCAATCCCACTGCTGGGCATATACTCCAAAGACAGGAAATCAGTATATGAAAGAAATATCTTTACTCTCATGTTTGTTGCAGCATTGTTCACAATAGCCAAGCTTTGGAAGCAACTTAAGTGTCCATCAGCAGATGAATGTATAAAGAAAATATAGCACTTATACATGATAGAGTACTATTCAGCCATAAAAAAGAATGAACTTCTGTCATTTGCAACGACGTGATGGAGCTGGAGGTCATTATGTTAAGTGAAATTCGCCAGGCACAAGAAGTGAAACATTGCATGGTCTCACTTTATTTTTTGGGATCTAAAAATCAGAACAGTTGAAATCATGGAGACAGAGAAGGACAGTTACTAGAGACTGGGAAGGGGTAGTAGAGCATCAGAGTTGGGGAGGTGTAGATGGTTAATGGGTTAAAATAAAACACAGAGAATGAATAAGACCTAGCGCTTGATAGCACAACAGGGGGGCTATAGTCAATAATAACTTTATTGTACATTTTAAAATAAAGAAAAGAGTATAATTGGATTGTTTGTAACACAGAGGCTAAATATTGAGAGGATAGATGCCCAATTTTCCATGATGTGATTATTACTTATTGCACTCCTGTACCATAATATCTCATGTACTCCATAAATATATATACGTACTATGTACCCACAAAAATTAAAAATAAAAATTTTAAAATAAATAAAAAAAGTAGAAGAGGGATATGTAGAGGGAGGGAGAGGATTTCAGCCATAAGACAGGAACTAGGTAGGGGGAGTATCTGAATGTGTTGAAGTTTACTACAAATAGTTTGATGCTGTTGAAGCAGAAGATCATGGAGGTGATTTCTGACTCTGCTTCCTGGAATTAGAAGGATTCCAAGAGAGTTTTTAGGGACTTCCACTCCTGTGGTGAAGTTCCAGAAGATACCCCAGTCTCATCAGCTGTATGCCTGACTTCCTCTGGCTGTGGATGAAATTGGGCAATGTCTACAGATAGAGATACAGTTGAGGTTTATGCCTTGTATCTGAGAACACAGGAATAGTTCATCCCTCATCACGCAAGGCTTTAGTATAAATTTTCTTCCCAAATAGAAACAGTATATACAGGTTAATCCCAAGCACAACAGGCTGAATAAAATGAACTTTAAATTAAAATAGGATTATAGGCTAAAAGTTTGGCAGGAAAGAGGAGTTCATTTTCTTTTAGGAAAAGAAGTGCCTCTATATGTGTGTGAAAGTATATACAAATATAACATCCCCAAAGAGAAGTGATATTGACAAGTGAAAACAAATGAATCACGATTTAAAATATCACTTGATTAAAGACCAAATTTGTTTATCTAAATTAATTAAGCAATACGATATGTCAAATGACTTTAACCAAATGAGAAGGGATATAATCACCCTGGATTTCCTGCCATGGGGTGATCTTTCTGGTTTTCTGTTGAGCAGCATGCCAAAATATTCATGCTCTGTCATACTAACTATCTCTCTCTCTCTCTCTCTCTCTCTCTCTCTCTCTCTCTCTTTCTCTCTTTCTCTTTTTTTTTTTTCTCTCTCTCTTACAAACACACACACTGTGACCATTTTGAATTTCTACACGGTGGGTATTTTTAGAACACTGCTACATAAAGTGTTTTCTTTTTGGTGCACACCAGCCATAAAATGATGTGCTATTCTTATGTGTGCCAATGTTGATAACAGTCTCACATATAGATTAAATCACTAGACAACCCAAAGAAATCTTATTTCCATCCAGCATTTCTACTTCCTTCCCTTGACTCTTGCCTTACCTCAGTCTAATAGAAGATCAGTGTTCAATTCAGGCCCTTTTTGTGCTCTGGAACTGTTAAATAGTAAGGTAACAATGTAGGCTACAGTCAAAAGGATTAAAATGTGCCTGGCTGCTTCCTGGATAAATGATATTCTGACCACTATGTAAGTATTTAAATAGGTCTTTCTGGACTAAAACAAACAAAAAAATCTTACCAGTAGAAATGTATTCACTTGGGTCATGATATTATTACACCCCTTTAATGTGAAATAACGTTAAATCGATTGTAGACCTAGACTTCGCTAATTTGATGACATCCATGCCAAGAGCCAACAAAAGGCAAACCAGAGAGGGAGAAGCATGCTTTTGGGAGAAGTATGACTTCAAAGTTAACAGTGTAGTCAACTGATGAAGACATAAATATATAATATAGTATATATATAAAATATAGTGTGTATATATATACACACACACCACACACACACGTCTTTCATGATAACAATGATCAATTTTTGTACTGTTTTGGGGAGTTGATGGGACCTATTGATAAAAGGAGAAAGTTGCCGACACGGACAATGAGAAGGCACCTAAAACAAATCTGATTTATTTCATTTTAGTATACTGAGGTTAGCTCTTTTCTTTAAAATGTATTCCTTTATTCATTTCCCTATCTCCTTCAACAAAGGATCTGAGTCAACTTACAAAAATATTGACAGTAAAATAGAATAAATATTAGACTGAAATAATTTAGGAAAAAGTAAAGTAAGAAAATAAACAAATGTGTATGTTATGTATGTCCTCAAGAAGGGCTATGATTTGGCTATGAGCTATCCATACCCAAAGAATAAAATGAAATTTTATCTATCAGAGAATTCATAGTGTCCTATGATTAAAAATAAATCTATATCAGATGACGCACAACTTCTTATGCTGTTGAGACCTGAGAGGAATTTCTCCTGTAGTTCTTTAAGGCAGAGACAGGTGTCTGTGATACTACACCCGTGCAAGAGAAGTCAAATCCCCAAAGCAGTTTTTTGGTGTAGGCTGCAGAAGTGATGTCAAAGCACAATTCAGTAAGAACAGTTCTGTAAGTAACTAAAATCTTGTAGTCCAAGCATAGCACTCTCTGGGTAGGGTCAGCCTGAATAAAGGATAACTTTTCATGTTAATTGTGCTACCAGGCTTTTGTTAGGATTGGGCAACAGACAATTATTTACAGGTTGTTGATATATTGCCTATTACATCTTGGAAAACTAGTGAGGCCTAGAATAGGGTAATCCTTTTATGAAATGGTGAACTGCCCAACTCACACCAGTGTGCCATTAGGTTTGGATCCATTCCCCTCTTAACACACAAATGATAACATAGGACGGTTTATCTTTTAAAAAAATCATCTCTTTGTCTTTTGAAGTACATTTTTCCATTTGTTCTTCCAACTACTGATTTAAAAATTCTTCAGAATGTTTTCTGTTTCCCTGGCTAGAACTTAGTCCAGCATATTATCTAAAAATTTGGATGAGCCTTTGACTTCCTGATAGTGTAACAGAATCCTCTAAATACACCCAGAAATCTACACTGATGTTTCTAATGTTATAGATTATCTCGTTGGTTAGAATTTTTAATGGATTATCTTGGTGCTTTATGCTTTTTATTTCAATAATAGGTGTTGGTGGACAGATGGTCCACGAGAAAGTGGGGCCAGTTATTAACAAGTTTGTAGGCTTGATTTTATTTTTCTTAGACCTGTTCACATGTACGTAGGTATATATAAAAACTGAGGAAATTACTGCTAGAAAGAACTCCATATTCCTTTTATTTATTAATGGCAAAGGCAGGCTGCTTTTCTCATGAGGAAGTTGCTCATGAATTTTCATTCAAAATAGTAAATTAGTGTCCACACTTTCATATGTTTAGAGTGGAAAGGGATTGTACATGCAACTGTGCATATCAGATTCCATGTCTGGAAAGCTACATTTTATTCTTTGATGATATTATGGTTGGAGATATAACAGGCACCACTATTATATCTCCCTTCTGTGCTTATATGACACATGGAGTAGAGGATGATGGGAAATTCTGATCTATTATTAGTATTTTACTTCAGTAAAATACTTAAACTATATTTTTGCAAGATTTTGTTACCACTCCTTTACGTGTCTTTTTTGAAAGCCAGAGGCAAACTTTCCTAGGCAAATAATGTGAACAGCGAACACTTAGTGAATATTTGGGGAAGGAATCAATATGCTAAAGAAGCTAGGAAAATTGGATCATTTAATAGAACTCCCAATATAGACAGGTGGTATTTCAGGAACCAGTCTGGTGTTTTTAGATGTCCTAGTGTGAATTAATATTAAGCATACAAAAGATGTATTCTTAAGTGCCCCAAAATACACACACACACACACACACACACACACACACACACACACACACGATTACTCAGCCTTAAGTAGAAAACCTGTGAGGACTTTTAGTGTTATATATTTTTTTCAACCAATAATTGCTCTATTTTGATGATTTCTTAATTTGGTTGTCTGTTTTCATCAAAATTCCTTAGTGAGCCCAGTTGAAACCTCATATATTCACACACACACACCTCCCATTGATTTCACTTGGGTGAAACTTTATCGTTTAAGCAAAGTTTAAGTTGAAATGTTGAGTTAATGATGCTCACTTTAAATACCAAAGGCTGAATGCATTTATGTATTCAAACACTTAGCTAGTCAAATATAACTCCCATCAGGGTTTAGAGGAAGGATTATTTCTTAAACTATGCTGGCCTCACAAGTAATATATTACCATCAAATCTGCAGAAAAATGATACTAAATAAGGTTGTTAGTATTTTTTTATTTATAAAAGCCCTGGAATCTTTTTTAACCTTAAATAAGGCAAAGTAAAATGGTGGGTAAGATGTTATGAAATACTTAGAGCAATTACCCATAGTGCTTCAACCCAAACTTAAAAATAAACACTAAAGAAAAATTTCGCACATCTATTTCTCTATAGCCTTGTCTGTTTAGATGCTTAAACTATAAAACAAATACATTTATAGTTCTATATTTGTCTAAGAAAAACTGACTTCAAGTTAGAAGACTTTTTCTCCCCATAACATGATTAAGCTACCTACATCAGAATGTCCAACTCCTTTATTGTGAACCCATTTAAGATCAAGTGTATGGCAAGTTAAATAAGAAATATCAAAAAGAATACATTTTGGTTAAATGTTTGCTTTATAACACTTTCATAGAGTATATATGAGTTTGCTTTATAACACTTTCATAGAAAATGTAACATATTCATAGAGTATTACAATGGTATCCTAACAGGCCTTTTAACATCTAGGAGCTCACAAATGAGAGTGAATGCATTGACATAAACCCAAGCATAATTACAAAGAAAATTTTATGAGGAAAGTCCCTCCAAAAGGGACTCATAGTTCTTATATTTGTATTCCTATAAGATTATAAGCTACTCACCACAATTTTAATCACCTCTCTCCCTTCAAAAGAGAGAGATGAGAGCAGTTGTCATGAGAAATTCAAGAGAAGATCCTGGTTCTGAATTCAGCTGATAGAATCAGCATATTCTCCAAGGGAATATAGAACTGTTAACTAGTTCTCCCCTACCCTTGATAAATTCATTTGTTCATGATCTTCTCTGTTTTCCTGCAGAGTAGCTGGAGCTTTTCCTGGAGCACATTGTCTTTTATAAAATCACTCAAAAAACACACCTTTGCAGCTAATATAAATGTAAGAAAGTGAACTCTTTCCTTACTTAAGAAGTTTCCTATAATACTGGGGACATTAAATTGTGGTCATTTCAGAATCTTTCAAAAGCACCTACAAAGAAATTCAATAATTTATTTCTGATTTGCCACTGTTTTTTTTTGAGACAGAGTCTTGCTGTGTCGCCCAGGCTGGAGTACAATGCCATGACCTCAGCTCACTGCAACCTTTGCCTCCTGGGTTCAAGCAATTCACCTGCCTCAGCCTCCCAAGTAGCTGGGTCTACAAGCATGTGCCACCATGCCTGGCTGATTTTTGTATTTTTAATAGAGACGGGGTTTCACCATGTTGGCCAGGCTAGTCTCAAACTCCTGACCTCAGGTGATCTATCTGCCTGGGCCTCCCAAAGTGCTGGGATTACAGGTGTGAGCCACTGTGCCTGGCTTTGATTTGCCACTGTTATATGTTTGATTTCACTAAATGTGGAAAAATCTCAGGTCTTTTCCAACTTGTGGATTAACACATGGCCAAGAATCTGAAATCAGGCACAAATACTTTTAAGAAAAAAGTTTTTGTCTTCTGTTTTGAGACTTTGTGAGAATTTGTTGTTTAGCACATTGGTGCTCATTGGGTACCAATGAAACAAAATGTGGTACCAAGGCATTTACTGTATCTAACAAATCAAGTATCAAGTCTAAATATTCTCAGCTAGGATGAAAACAAACTAGACTGGATAAAGGGTGAGTATCTGTATTAGGTTCATTTGCTACTTGCAGGTCTCCAGTGTAGACTGTTTGAGAAAAAGTCTTAAGTGACTTTTGTTCGAAGGCCCATGATAAGGAGAATAATAGAAGGAAACAGTTCAATAGATATAAATGCATGCTAAAAAGCCAGTGAAAAAATTCCCATGCTTCAGAACATTTTATTATTTTATATATTTTTTAATTTATTTGAAAACTATTCATTAATAATTTTCATGTTCATAAACCTTTATCTTTCACTATAAAAAGAGGAGGAGGTGAAAGGAAGGGGAAGGCAATTAACATTGATTTAACATCTACTACATATAATCATTTTAAGTAAGTGAATTTACCATTTTAATATAGTAAAAACAAAATCTCACGTAAAGAATGAGTAAAGCAGCCTGTTCATGTTGCACTGGTTGTATTGGTATTGGTCTTTGGCGATGAGATACTGTTGTGTCTGCTGACACATGCTGCTTTTCTGAAGTCATTCTTGCCCCACTGAAGGTTTTTGTTTTCTTTATCTAGATTCATTTATCATCATTCACCAGGGACTATGCTGGACACTGAGGATGCAAAGATAATAAATTTATCTCTTGCCCTTGAATTTCTTAGTCATAATCAAAATTTCTTTTTCAGTGGTGCACATGTATGAAAAAGAAACAAGCTTCTTTCTTTTGTCTTGCCAATTGATCATTTTTATGAGGCACCCTACACTCACACTTTCCTAGAAAAGCAAGAAAAATACTTGCTTTAAGATCAGAGTTCAGGCTCTTAGACACATTATAGCCTCTCTAATAAATTAACATTCTCTTTAGGAAATACTCTCTTGGGATCAATACTCTGTTTTTCAGATTTTCTATTTGTCTCCATTCTTTTCTCCAAGATGACATCTGAGCATATAGGGATTTACATGATCTTGTAATTCTGGGGTGCAGTGGAGTCCCCTGGCTTAACACAGTGCTTAGGTACAGTCTGGCTGGGCTTATTGAAATGGGTCTTGTCAAGGATATTATGAGGCTTCCTCCCACAGAGGGCTGTAGCTGGTCTAGCTTATGTTGTTACCTCTTGGCTTGGTCAGGGACCGGTGGTATTTCTTGCTGACTAAGCCTCAACTCAGCCCTCACTGACCCTGCCAACTCTCTGTGGTCTGGATTGAGAGGCCCACCTGGCTCTCCTTTTGTTGGGGAGAGGCCGTCATTGTGCCTTTGTTGTCATGGCAATGCCTCTGTCAAGTTCACCAGCTGACCTCTCAAGAACCCTGGAGTCTCTTCTTGGGAGAATGAGAGAACAACAGAGCAAAGAGAATTCTAACCGAAGATCTCTCTCTGTCTACAACATCCCCACTCCAGGTTATTGTGGGGACAATATATGAGGCAATTTCCTCGCAGAGTTCTGACCTGGAAATGAAGTTGACATCCTTATGCTTTGGGCTTTTTTCTCAACCTGTCTCACATGCCTCCTTTCTAGGTCTTAGGCCAGGAGAGAGGAGAACACACATCTGAGCACCTGCTCCTCCTGCCTTATTTTTTATTCTCCAAATCCTCTGACGTGGAAAGGGTGAGCTTTCTCTTCCTTTCCCCTTTGCTTTAATAATCCCTTGAATCAGATACTCTTCTAATTTTGTGGGTGGCATTCCACTTTTTCTGTCTGTATGATTAAAATATAGGAGGGTGCAAGGAGAGAGAAATAGGGACTGTAATTCAGGAAGTATTTCTAAATGGTTATACCTCTCAAGGAAATGTTTATTAGTTATTCCTTATTAGTCACAGAGTCAATAAAGAAAACCAGATGGTTTATTTTTTATTTGTCTCTTTTATAGTGGTCGGGTTTTGTTTTGTTTTAGTCTTTCGAAATGGGATACTAGTTCAGATTTCACATATATGCTGGAGGTCTTTGCTACTCAGAAAGTGTGGTCCATGGGGCCAGGCGCGGTGGCTCATGCCTGTAATCCCAGCACTTTGGGAGGCCGAGGTGGGCGGATCATGAGGTCAGGAGATCGACACCATCCTGGCTAACAAGGTGAAACCCCTTCTCCACCAAAAATACAAAAAATTAGCCGAGCGTGGTGGTGGGCGCCTGTAGTCCCAGCTACTCGGGAGGCTGAGGCAGGAGAATGGTGTGAACCCGGGAGGCGGAGCTTGCAGTAGGCAGAGATTGTGCCACTGCACTTCAGCCTGGATAACAGAGTGAGACTCCGTCTCAAAAAAAAAAACAAAAAAAAGCGTGGTCCATGGACCAGCAGTGTTGCCAACACTTGTTAGAAATGAAGAATCTCAAGCCCCACCCTAGAACAGTTACTGAATCAATATCTTCATAACAAGATGATCAGTTTCACCGTATGTGCATTGTAGTTTCAGAAACACTGCTCTAGGCCACCATAGCCTTACTAAAGGTTTTAACTACATCAACTATAACCGTCATTGGCATCCAGTAAACATTTATTAATAAACTCCACATGTTAGCCAATGTTGATGCTTGCCCTTGGGTGCTTATAGTTCTAATCAAGGATCTTTATAGTTATGATAAAGTAATTAAAATAAAATAGGCAATCCTAGATCTATTCCCCCCCACCCCATCACCAGGCACACCTTAAGTTTTTTGACAGATCTATTAAGATTAAATTATAAGTTATTAAAAGTGGATTTTCATTTTCACGGAAAGCAGTCGTTTAATGTACAGAGACAAGAACAGGTAGTAATAAAATACTCAACTGAAAAATTCAGATTCATACCTGAGGCTGCTGCCTCATTAGTACTGATAGGGTTTTGCTCAGTTACAATTTCACAAGACTGTAGGATTTCTTTTAGTGGGGTGATTTTGAGGGGTAAAGGACAAAGTCATAGTTTTTCATTCTGTACTTTCATTTTCAGATCACAGTGTTTTAGAAGAATCTGGGCTTTACTTATTCACCAGGCTTTCAATAGAGAATCACATTAATCCTTTTAAGCTCCTTATTCTAATGATTTATTTTGTTGAAAACCATAGTGATCCTCCTTTGAATTTTAATGATTGCTGGCTATTCAAAGATTCATTGTTTTGACTTCCTGTCCTTACCTTTGTTTCCTACGTGTCTGTGGGGAACACCTGTCTAATACTGGATCTGCCACTGGTTCTCACTGGCTTACCAGAGTCACTCAAGCCTATCTCTGAGTGTTAAGCTGAAATGCTGACTACTCATCCATAACAATAAATGTAGGATATATGTTTGCAGAGATAGGCAGATAGACAGCAGAGGGACAGATAAATGATTGAGTGATGTCCCAGTGAAAACAGTATTTTGGATCTGATAGTATATATCAATATATTTGGAGCTGATAGTGATCCTTATACAGAAATTAGTTAAATTGTTATTCTTAATCATAAATCTATTAGGAAGTAATATCTGTAGAATATCTAGTAGAGGGGAAAGGGGTTCCAATTTTGAGAGTGCTGTTCTTACCCAAAATTCAGGACCATGTAACCTTCTACAAGTCACTGACTCTCTATTTCTCAGTCTATTAAATGGCAGTGCTCTTTTTTAAGGATGCAGTGGTGATCTTTTTGTTCAAGTGCTGCAAATCCTCAGAAAGGGTTAGCAAATGGAAATAGCCATAACGTGTCTCAGGTATGAGCATTGGAATTGCATATTACGTTTTCACAATCTAAGAGGTGGCTGTGTCGCAGGTTTGAGTTTCTATTTTGCCCAGTGTGTAACAACATAGAAATTTTCTCTTCTCTTATTGTAGATAACACTAGAAACATCATGGGTTTTCAAGAATATATTATTCTAATATAAGATTTTAACAACTACACTGTATTTATGCATACTACATTTTGCGCCTTATCTTCAGGCTTCTGGACTTTGATTCAGAATATCAGGAGCTCTGGGATTGGCTGATTGACATGGAGTCCCTTGTGATGGACAGCCACGACCTGATGATGTCAGAGGAGCAGCAGCAGCATCTTTACAAGGTTAGAGCTACCCTTCCTGCCTTTACCTTGCTGTGGAAGATCTGATTAGCCTGACAAGTCTCTCTCTCTCTCTCAGGATATCTTTTCGTTCATTGTATGTATCATGGTGTCTATTAGAATTCCCTTCCCTGTCCCCAAACTCATTTCCATCCCTTGTGTGCTGACAGGCTGCACCGACATCATAATTGCAAGAAAGTTCCCTTTATCACATTCTATTTGCTGTAATTCTATAGAAGGACAAAGATTTATCTTCAAGATGAATAGCAATAAATGAAACTGCATTCATAAATAGACTGAAACAAAATGAAGGATAAATGGACTAGTAATGTTTAACAAAACGTGGTACGATTGGAGCACTCAGGTGGATTCTATCTACCCCTCAGATCTTCCCAGGGAAAAAAGAAATTTGCCTTTGGTTTGGCTTGCTGCTGCCAAAGTACAGGCCTCATCCAATTTAATGTTTATTAGTGATACATAGAGCAGACGTTGTCATATTAAGTCAATACATTTCCATGTGATTTAAGAAAACTGGCTTGAAACTCATGTATTGATTGTAGGCAATCCATCTAATAACTATCTATATTGTTTTCCATGTTTGCTAATTCACCCTTAACCTACTGTATTTTACCAATTCTACTTAAATAGTCTTAGCAGTTCTTATAAAGCAATCATGTGATTTTGCCTAAAAAAAAAAAAAATGGTTGCAGGATTCACAGTGCCTGCAAAAGCTGTCAGGGGGAGGGAAGAGGGACTTTCCACTGAAATATCAGACTGCAGTAAATCTTCCTCATTTAGGCAATTTTTATTGGAGTAATTCTGACAGTTGTCATCCTTGAATTGCTTTGAGCATATGGCATATTTCAAAGAGCAGATTGTGAATCATAAAAAATAAAATTAATAACTAACCACAGAATCAGCAACAGTATAATGACAAGAAACAACTACCTTCTAGTTTTTAAAAATTTCTTATAGAATAAGAAGTACATTCAAGGTCAAATAAAAGTTGCCTTCTTTCTTCTTCAATGGTATCATTTTAAATTACCGTTCTTTAATAAATGATTTTAACTTTTACCTCCTCTAAAGAGAGATATTTGTACTTTTCAAGGGTCTGGTTGACTTTAATTAGTGTCCCCTAGGAATCATCTCAGTTAAGAGAAGATATAAGCTCCCCAGGGACCCAGCAAATGGGGACATTTTATTCTCTAAAGAATGCAGTCCAACCTTAATTGAGTTTGTTGACTGTTAGCTGTTTCCTGTATGGGTAGCTGTCCACATTAACAACACAGCTATCTAATATATCTTCTGGCATAACATATTGTTACAGTAACAGTCTCAACCTAATTTAACAAAAACTAGATGACTTCACATTTCACATCAGGATCAGGAATTACATATGAAAACGTGCATATAAATCTCTATTAATTTAGTGATAGAAAAATATTTTATCCCTAAGACTTAAGTATTAAGAATTGAGCCAAATGGGAAAAATATAAAAGGTTACCTAACCATAAGCCATTATCTCGGACTTTATTGCACTCATGATGCCAAATAATATTTCTTTTCTTCTTGATGCATTTTTTATTTTGCACATAAGCCACTATTTTTTCAGAAACAGTGCTATTCTTTGTCAAAATCACATTCATATAATTTACATCACAATTAATAGGAAATCATTGAACAAAAATGCAGTCTTCTTTTTTCTTGCAGTTTCCTTATAAGTGCTTTGCCTGAAAATTCCCATTCTGGCATATTGAAGGCCATTATTCCACCCACTCAGAACTTCTGGGTTATAGTATTTTTCCAAACATTTTCTGTACTGTGATTTTTCATTTGTGACTCACGTCCTGTCACCATTCTTCTGCTTTTAGGTGCTTAACATAGCTCTGCTCATTAGACCAGCACTAACTTTACATTTGGCTTATAAGCAAAATTAAAGATTGAGTTAGAAACCAGTAGAAAATGCTGCTAGTCTGTAGGGTCTTTCTTTATGTGCACTCCCAAATTATTCCAGAGGCTTGGAAGCCTCCAGAATAACCCTGAGGATATTGACTGAGGAGTCATGTAGAACTTCAGGTGGCTCCTAAATTAGAAAAATTGATGAGAAGAATTAATTTCATGTCTTCTCAAGAATCCTCAGGGATTTCCAGGTTAAGTCAACATTTTCAATATCCTATTCCTCTGTTCTAATCTGCTTTTCCAGGAATCAACTGAACTGATGCCTTGAGAAAGGGGTATTTATGGTCTGTTGATCATAGAGACCCCTGAAGGAGTAAAGCTTTTCAATTGGTGCCCAGGCCTTGCCAGGTTTTAAATACAATTTGAGACTACCTTATTTATCTCTAATCTTTGTATTTGTTGACCCCAAAAGATACCAGTGCTTTATTAACCTTTTTTATTAAGGGCACCATTGACATTTAGGGCGAAACAATTTTTTTTTAGTTTGTGGGCCTGTCTTTTACACTACAGAACATTTACTCTTCATGTTCCCCACTCATTGTGACAACTCAACGAGACCTCCCAACCCATTTTACAGCATTTCCCAGTCCATCTCAACATATCTATACCATCTTTGTTTCTTAAAATACTTATATAACAACAAGGAAAATGCCTTAAACTTGTACTGTAAACGTTATTGAACAAACACTTTATATAGCTGATATTGAACCAACAGTTGTGAGTTTAAAAATCAAGGATGAAAATGAAGCTCATCATCCCTAGTATTAACGAAAAGGATGAGGTGAAACTTCTAAGGGAGATCTTCAGCTGAGTGATGGCAAAAATCCTAGGAAACTGTAGAGCAGGACCGAATCTTTATTCCTTCTATTAGAGCATTTAAAACCTTTGTTCTTCTCTCCCTGGGTGTCTCTCTGTATTTCATCACTCAACCCCTTTCCTGGAGTATTTATGCCCAAACCCTGACTCATGCACTTATGAAGTCCTAGGTTGATCCCCAAGGTATGTGTTTAGAAATGTCAGGTTAGATAAAATCTAATAAGATGCTAGTCAGTGAGAGTGAAGCTTATTTAGCTTTTTCAACATTAGGCATTACCTTCCTGACTTTACCTATATATTTTTATATCCTGATTTGCACTAGAAAATCAGCTAGCCTTACCTCCTAAACATGAAACTACAGATTGTATGAAATACAGAAACCCTAGACTATCCACTCAGCAGATATCCTGAGTACAGCATCTATTGTGATATTTAGGCTAATCCAAAGCCAGCAAAATACACAAGGAATTTATAAAGACAAATAATTGGATTTAATGGGCAAAGACTACATTAGTACAACTTAACATCATTCAGAAACCTTAATTAATACTGCAATGGGCTATAAAGTGGACTTTCTATTTGAACTATTTCTTGTTATTTTTATATTGTTAGAAATTTAAGATCATTTTTTGAGTTAATTTTAAACTGCAGTCTCAAGAGCAACCTAATTCCTATTAAAAACTAACCATTCCCTTAAATGTACTTTCTTCTTTGTTTTGAGACAGTGAGTTATACTGCCAATGACTTCCCTTCCCCCTTATCTGTCTTGCTCTACCTCTGAATAGGAGCCTTCTATATCTATTTTCTAATGAACATTGGCAATATCGTCAGCCTAGAAAACACAAATGTAGTCTTTTCTCATTTTTTCTTCCTCAACCTGAGAATTACCTCGAAGGAGAATTTGCACCCACTCTCTCACTTTCTTTCTCGTCATTCCTCCTCTCTTCCTAAGTAGGACAATTTAATTTGTCAAAAGTAACCACTATGATTTTGAAAGTTCAGCTCCTATTTGGACTAGAGTTACGACGCCAGAATTCATAATCACAGGGAGCTGTCACTCTGCTGGTCTGCATGTGCATTAACTATTAATGGAGAAATATTTAAAACCCACTTGTGAAGGAAAAGCTCCATTTTTTCATTTCTACAGATCAAAGGTGGCATTATTCTTGGGCTTGGGGAAGCTCATGACACCTCCTCCCCCATTCTCTAAGTGTTATAGACTGAGTGACCTAGAAGCATTTCAACGTTTAGAGAGTTATAGCTCAGACTGCTGCTGTTGCTGCTGCACTGTCCTCCCCAGCAGGTACAGCTGACATTGTAGTATGGTGAGGGTGTGCCCTATCAGAGGCTCCTTACCTATGCACAAAGGACTGCCAGTTCGCTGCTACCTACAGAGCACAGATGACAGATCTCCTAGTGATCCGAAGTTGGTCTGGAATTCCAGACTCCAAGGGTTAATTTCAAGGGCCAAATTCAGAAGTTGCAGCCTGGTGATTATTGTTATAATTAAACAAGAGTTTTCAGATAGTATGAAGCTCACTGAAACACCCCACTTATATATTTGTTCCTTGAACGATAGCTTACCTGCTCCTCATCAATAAAATATTAGATTATAGTCATGGGCTGCATAACAAGATTTTTGGCCTTTGAAGGACTACATATGCAATGGTTATCCCATAAGATTATAATACTATATTTTTACTATACCTTTTCTATATTTATGTACACAAATACTTACCATTGTGTTACGGTTGCCTACAGTATTCAGTATAGTAACATGCTGTACAGGTTTGTAGCCTAGGAGCAATAGGCTCTACCGTATAGCCAAGATGTGTAATAGTCTCTACCATCTACTCTATCATCTAGGTTTATCTAAGTACACTCTAGGATGTTCACACAGTGACAAAATCATGAAACACTGCTTGAATGGAGACCAGAAAGTGAGGTGGGGAGAAAGGGAGAGATTATAGCAGGGATATACATTTCTCAGAACATACCCCGTTGTTAAGCAACATGATTTGTACATGATTTATAAAGGGTTAAAAATAACTCTTCCAGCTTAAAAATACTACTAAATAAGTATCCAATTCAACTGAGATCTTTGTACTTTCAGAGAATTTATACTAAAGATTTTGTACTTAATTTTGTAGGTTAGTTACTCATATGGCTTCATTCATATAAGTCCAAACATGTCCTCTGTGTAAAAGGAAAAGGACCATTCATTTATATAATACAATGGCTACTAAACAGATCAATTACATTTTTACCCTGCTATGAATTTGGGGTTATTTATAAGAATCAACATGAAAATAATATAAATATTTTAAAAACATAAATACAAATCAGACTGGAGAAAATATACATAGACTAGAAGTTGCATCTGTAAGAAGAGTTAATATGCCTGTATATAAACTGCAAAGCCCTACACAGTTACTAAAACATGATCCCAATGTTATATTTTGAGTTTCCTGGTAGTGAAAGCAAAGAGGGAAATGTGTCCAGTTGCAAAATGTATACTTTCTATAAGAAAAAGAGATAATACTTCCTTTGAAGAAATTTTGTTTTGATACTTAGATGTGAAAACATTTTCTTTTAGGATTTTTTTAAAATACAAGGGCTTAGAATGGTATGGTAAATAAATTTCTAACCATAATAATTATTAAATATAAATACGTGTGGAATAGAATTAGAAATTCTGAGGAATAGGAAATATAGAGTACAAGAAGAAGTATGGAACATAGTTGACTTGCTATTTTATAACTATTGATATCAAAATGATGTCATAGATATGAACTAATCTCAGAAAACAGATTAATCACACTATTCCTGTATTTCATAAATTCACACATTTCAGCTTTCTGGAATAGCTCTCTTTTATTTTGTTCTGGACCAAATTGATCTAACTAATTTCCGATGTGATTTGATATTCTTATGACTAAACTTGAGCCCCTAAAAGTGTAATGTTAGGTTGGTTCATGGTCCAGGTCACAGTAGCTAAACTTGAAATAGAAGACAATTCATTAACTTTTTAAAAAAAAATTCACATGGTGGTGTACAGAATAGAAGGACGAGTCAAAAAATTAAATTCTGTTAATTAGGCCTTATATTGGAATTTCAGTGTTGAATGTTACATCTCTACCCTGATGTTCAAAATGAAACAAATTACAGTTATTGAAGCAGTCAAGGTAAAAATGTTCTAGATATATCAGGCACAAGAATTTAATGGTAATTTTTTACCTCTTTTCCTGGTAGATTAATTGTATAGCTTAATAGTATGTTAGATTAAAACTCCATTAAGATAAGAAGAATATGCTTAAATTCATTATAATATTTCAAATAACATTATCTAGTCATTTAAAAAGTGATCAGAATGGAAAGATCTAGACTGTCTCCACTGCTTATCTAGAAATGAATTTGTTGTTTCATTTTTATTAAAGTTTGAAAAGTCCTTAGATTAACTGTCATATTAATTTGAGCTTTGATGAATCAGTGTTTGCTATGAATACTTGAATATATTTTTTTTCCTTTTTTTTTTCTTTTTTTGAGAGAGGGCAAAACTTATCCTGAAAATGTTTAGGGGAAGAAAAAGTAGATGAATGTGGTTTCTCAACAATGTTTGAAACACTGTTCATGCTGGAGCCTGTAATTCCTATTTGAATCACTTCTTTAAAAAGAAAAAAAAAAAGATGTTAAGAGAATAGGATGCCAAGAAATAGTTGGCTGTGTGTGTGGAGGGGCAAGGAAGGGAAGCCCCGCCAGCAGTTTTTGTCTCTAGCGGGTGAGCTACTGTCCGGAAGGTGCGTTGGCTCTCTGGGCTGGCCTCTGAGGCATTGTGCTGCTCCCTCTCTCCCTGGCCTGGCTGGCTCTGGCCTAGAGTGGATCAAACGAGCCGTGGGGAAAGTTCCCCTCATTTGCATCACTTCTAGACAGCCCTGTCGTACTCTTTGCTGACAGGAAATCACTGTCTTTGTCACCTTTTCTCAGGGCCCTCCTTTTGGCAGAGATGGGCCATGTGACCACGCTTAATCACAACAGGGCTGGCTCAGGACTCAATGACATGTTTTCCTCAGCACTTCAATAAATGGGGTACAGGAGTCAGTAGGAAATGAGTACATTAATTTTAGAGTGAAAAGATAATTAACACTTGAAGGACTAATGCTACAACCTATGGAATTATTATTCAAATTGAAGTTAATTTATCAAAAACTTGTGAAAACTATCTGCCCTAATGCAACTGTTTAAAAAAATAAAACTTGAATAGTAAGAGTTGGGCATGTTGGAGGCAGAGTGGGAAGAAGGCGGGGAGAGGGGGGCTTGGATGGAGAGTGGAGAGTGAGGGGAGAGAAAGGGAGAGAGGGAAATCATAGCAGGCATTAGCTATGTTTGAAAAAGCAACTTAAATGGGCTAAAACTTCAACATTTGGGACTGAAGGCTGGAGCACGTAAAACGCTTACTTAGATGATATGAATAGGACACTGGCAAACAAAAGCAGCAGTGTGCTCCTAGAAAACTGTGCTTAAAGGAGTTTCCTTGGCAACAGAAATGCAGTTCCAAAAGTAGACAGAACTTTCCTCAGAAAACATACTATTAATAACAACCTTCCGGAACAACTTGGAACAATTTGACGACTTGGCAATAATAATGCCAAGTGTTCTGCAAATTAATCTAACACATAACAGTTATGTTTCTCTTGCCTGTAATTCTGCTGGACCCTACCTAGAACTCATGCTTTTAGCAGCACAAATGTGAAAAATATTTCTAAATGCTGTCACGGAAAAAGAAAACCAAAAGAAATGCTAGTGGCCAACAGTGGCCAATGATTGTATTCAGCCTTTTGGAATCTACTAAGAACTCTGAGTTCAATGAGATAAGTTTATTCCAATAAATGCTCCTATATTTACTATCTCATTTCAGTAAAGAGGCTTCCACAGACAAAACTTGGTAAAGGGTTAACAGTCTGAGACTTGCTGTGATGTGAAGCACATCTGAGGCCGTTGGTTATGTAAATGTAATGCTCACTAAATATGTGCTGAGTGTTATTTTTTAAAGTATCATCATTTCTTGTTAGCCTAGAGAATAAACTAATCTTGGATGTACTTGGCCAACGGGAATCATTTGAATTCTCCTGAAGGCTATCCGTTTGCCAGCCAAGAGAGGTAGAGTATTCCCCTCCTCTGACCTTTCTTGAATCCTTGGATCTAAAGGTTAAAAGTAATCAATATCTCATTGTGCTGCTTGGTTTCAGGGTAATAAGTAATAACCATCATGTTAAAATCCAAATGATTACAGATAGCACTTAAATTAGTTGACCTGTTTGGGAGATTTTATTACTTCCAATCAGGATAATAATTAGAGTTTGCTAATAAAATTTTGGATTAAGTTGCAAAAAATTTCAGCCTTTAATTTTTTGAAAAATGACTTTTACTTAATTAGATGGGAATGCGTAGTATTCCCTCTTTTGTTAAGCTGATAGCTTTTGCTTTAGCCCCAGATATTTGTAGATTTCTTTCTAGTTTCTAGAAAAGAAAGTAGAGGAACATTTAAATTTCTGATAAGAAAAGGTTTTTGGATCACTGCCATCTTTGGCTCCTGAACTACTCAAAACTATGTATATGTTTCAGGTTAGTGACTTCATAGCAGTGACCCTCACCTACTTTTTAGTATGTCCTGTTTTTAAATTACTTATCTTTAGTGGTTATATTCATATTGGGGCTAATCTGGTTTGAGGCTGGCAAAAAATTATATGATGTATGATTAAACTTTACAGACAGCTATGGTATGAATGGGGTTATTTATTTTGTTTAAAAAAAGAGTATCAAAATTTAAAGATGAAAACCAAATATTATCATTGACAAAGAGGTATTAATATAAAAAAGATAAATGATAGGCTTAATGTTCCATGTAATTACATCAGGAAGGCATTGGTTATCATAATTATAACCACAAGGAAATGTATAAGGTACATATGCTATTTGGTCTAAATAATTTGTCTTTTATCATCGTTCTAGTTTTTATAGTTTATTAGAACTTCTTGAATGTATTCCTAAAGCAGGAATGTGGGGCTAAAAGGTACCTAGGTAACGTTTCAGTTATTTCAAAAGAAGTCCTGGTACCTGTTCAGAATAGATGGTAAGGCGCAAGGGAAAAGTTTTCCCATAGTGCTTTCACATTAAACTCATTAACTTCCTTTATGTCCGTATCTCATAACATTGTCTAACTTTGGAAAGAAGCACATTTGTGGTTGTCCTAGGGATATCAATTTGGAGTATTAGGGAATTCTCCAACCCAGCTAGCTGCATTACCAACTGACCATACTGCCTTTAATCCCATTCTTAAGATTCATTTCTTTGGGGTAAAGAAGAATGCACTCTACTGAATGCAGATATTCTGTGGGGAAGGCGCAGGAGAATGATATTGAATTAAATATCAATTTTAATATCTAGCTAAAATAGAAAGGCATTGGGAAGGGAAGAGAGTGGGTAGAGAGAAGAAATCCAGAAAAGGGAACAAAAACAGATGTTATCTTCTTCAACATTTGATAAAAAGAGAAGTGTGTTTATGTGTATGTATATGTGAGTGTGTTTTTCTGGTATTGAGATGGGTGTAGGATAGAGGGAGAAAGAAACTTATCAAATAGTAAGATTTTACTAATAAATTTGATTGTGTCAGTGCCCCATTCACATTATCTTATTTAATGCTCACAGGGATCTTGATTATTTTCCTTAATTCATAGACCCTGAGCCAAAAACATAAAGAGGTTAGGAAGCTAGCCTAAAAAGGCACAGAACTTGTCCCTTAGTCAGGCTAGGCTAGGGTATGCCAAGATAACAAATATGCCCCAAATCTCAGAGGCTTAAAGCTGCAAAGATTTATTTCTCATGCATACTACATGTCCATCACATGTTGGCTATTGGCTCTGCTTGGCATTGTCCTCACTCTTAGACTTAGGCTAATGGCACAGCCACCGTCTTAAATATTCCCTTACTATGGTAGAGAGAAAAGGGAGCTCTAGCGGGTCTCACTCTGGCCATTAAGCCTTCTACCTGGAAGAAACACATGTCAGTTCCACTCAAAATTTTTTGGCCAGAACTAATTGCATGGCCACAACCAACTTCAAAGTAGATGGGGGAAATGCAGCCCTACCATGTGCCTGAAATGCAGAAAGCTAGAAATATTTGTGGAGCTGTGCTAATAACTACCACAAGAACTAAGTAAGTTGGGATTTGAACCCAATCTGGGTGGCTCCAATGCTCATGGTCTTTTGCTCGCCTGCTCATTGTTGCCCCATATCATCTTCTCTACAACAGGTAGATTCTTGCAAGAACGTTATTTCCTCCCTCTGTATGAACTTTTTGTGCTAAGATAGAAGAAAGAAATGTTAGAAGGTATATCTGCAAAGAAAAGATGATAGACTTGGGTTGGCTCTTTAGCTAATCATCAGGCTGTTCTGTGAAAGCCCCCAAATGTTCTTAAGCACCTCAATACCCTGGGCAAGTATTGCCATGCTGAGCCTCACTGGGGCCTCCTGCATTTTGTTAGATTCAGGAAAGCTAAGGATGAAAACATTTATGCTTTTTGGGAGATGCACTAAAGGCAGCATTGCCCTCAGATGATTCAACCTCCTGGATCCCGTTATGCCAAAGGAAGTTACTAAAGGAGGGTCCCCATGGAGAGATGCTCTATAGGAATATCATTTGCAGAAAAACCATTTTGCAGTCCTGTTGAGGAAGCAGTTTCAGTTCTCAGAAACAAGAGCCTTCCTAAGCATATTTTTAATAATGTGGGCTTTTGTGAAACTCATACATTCTTAAACTAAGCACTTCTGTGACACTCTATCCCTAATGAGGCACACTGGGGTAAGCAAAGAAGGAAGGAGTGGTCTTCCTGCTGAACCTTGATTCATTTACATAAGACACAAAACACACAAACACACTACACACACATGCAAGCTAGGAAAGAAACAACCAGGCTAATGCTCTTATGGCCTTTGGGTTGATTTCAATTTCACTTCTAAAGTTTCTCAAACCACAGAGCTCTAGCCTTTCTCCAGAAGGATAGCTATACCCTACTGAAACTCATCTAAACTTACTATTTCAGCTGCTTTCCTAAGTAGTTGATTCCATATGCTTATAGACATTTACATAAAGAAAATGTGTGAATTTTAATATCCCCCTTGTCATCTCATTTTAGCCTTAAAAACTGGGAAGTCTGTGGAGGAAGTACACACACATAAAATGTGTTTATTCACATACATTTATGTGTGTATACATATATACACGTATACAAAGTATTAACTTATTTAATTTAAAAAAATCTTTCACCAAGATTGAATTTGAATGAAACCAGATTCCTTGAATCAGATATGCTATAGTCCCAAGACATTTAAATCATGCATATATAAATAACTGTACAAAATTCCTTCATATATGCCAAGTTTCAGTCTGGAGCACATTTCCATGTTACAAATCTTGGCATACTGGATTTTACAACCTTCATTACAACAGTATTATCCCTTTTAGTACTCAAAAGTGCCTCCCTGTGAAAGTTCTTCTTGGGGATTATTCAGCTGTGAATACTTGTTTATTAGTTAAATGCATATTTTAAAATAATGATCATAAATATGGACTTAGTAGGCCAAATTTGAGAATGATTGATTATATTTTTTGTTAGACTTCACACTCCACGTGGAGGATTCGTGTTATTTATTGATTATTTATTAATGTATCTCCAGTGCCAAGCACAGTGCCTGGCACATAATAGAAACTCAATAAATATATGTTGAAACACATATTTTCAACAAGGCTTATTCAATAGTTAATTAAACTCTATTAATCAGAACTATGCTATCAATTCATTACTTTTTCAACAAAACAGTCTATTTTTATGCTGTGATAATTGAATGTAAAACTTTATGTTCTTTTATATATAAAACAAAAATTTCTCTCCTGGCAAAACCAAAGTGCAGTAAAGACAGTTCCTAATACCAAGAGTACTCAGGCTTGGCCAGGTTGATATCAGGGAGAAAGAGAAAGTAGTAGGGAAAGAATAAGGCAGAGAGGAAGGGAAGGACAAAGACACCCATGTCTGAGACATAAATGGTACAGAAATCCACAACTAATCACCATAATTCTATGGCTAGTCTCCAGCCTCTCAAACCATAGTATTCTCTGGTGTATTCTTGAATATTTAGATACATACGGGTATGATTATTTATACATGTGAAGGTAACATGTGCTGTGCAAATGTGAAACCTAAAAATCAGACAATAGATGTAGGTGAATATCAACAGTAATTAGAAATGGTAGGTATAGAAGCACAATTTGTACTTGTACCATAGTTGGCAGGAGAGTTTATTGACATATTCATTGCAGAAAATTAGATACGACTTCAGATGAGTGTGTGCTTCCGAAAATGTCGTCAGTAAGGGAGTGAGGAAAACAAGAAGGGACTTAGACTTGGGCTGGCTCTTTAGTCCAAGTTTATGATGAGAGGGAGAGACATGTGCACATGTGAGAGAAAGAGAGAGAGAGAGAATGAGCAAGAGAGAGAAAGAGAGAGAGTAAAAGAGTGACTTATCTTCCCAAAGCCGTAGCTAGCTAATTCAGAATATGGAAATTTAAAAATTAAATGTCACTGCTCTAATACCAGGAGAGGGCTGAAACACTTTTGAAACTTTCTCCCACATTTTCATTTTTAAAAAGTATTATACTATTCATAATTTTAAGAAATAATCATATATGGCCATTAGTCATTTTTTTTTACTTAGTGATTAATTGTGAACTTTAATGATTTTAAACAATTAAGAAAATGTTACAAGATGCATCATTTCAAATTAGCATCTGACAGATTTGTAATCACTTCACTTCTTGGCCCTCTTTGTGTCCACCTTGACATCCTTTTGGGTTTACTGTTTTCCCACTGAACTTTGTCCTTCCTCCTTAGCTTTCCTCAGCTGACATGCTGCAGTTTGAAAATATGCATGATAAACATTCCTGTCTGTATGATTTTTCCCTCCTCTTCCTCACTCTCATCTGCCTGGTGGTACTAAAGACCCATTCTGTGAAGTAATGTCTTATAAACCAGGAGCCAAAATCCTCATGTTAACTTAAGTATAAATGAGTCTCTAGGGTTAAGCTAATTGAAATATTTTCTGTAACTTGGAAATACCGCAAAAGAATTCAAATTTGGCTAGCATCTTATAATCCAAGTTTTGATGATAGTTTCACTAGGCTCCATCCGTCCAAGTTTGGGTTAGAAAAAGAAATAAAGTATGGAAACACTGTCAGAAGCCTTTTCTGTTTACAAAAAGATCCAGGGATACCATGAGTAATGCCAGAAATCTCATGTGACAGCCAGCTCTTGTGGGAGTTTTGAGCTCACCAAGTTCAGGAAATAGTTCCAGAAAGCTGATTGGAGCATTGGAGCACAACGATTTTTTTTTTTAATCTGAAGTGAATAATTGTGTTCCCCGTCTGCTGTCCACACTGCTGCTCAGAACTATACCCTGGTGGGGTGGACATCTCCCCAGTGCTAGGTAATATTTGGCACTCAGTAAATACTTTCTGATTTGAATCACCTACTTAATGATTCTTCTCCTGAATATTCCAAAGTTGATCTCTAAGAGATTTTGTACAGTTATTTAGTTCCATGGAAAGTGAGAATTTCAGTGGTGTTCCAGGACTGCAAGTACCTTGAAAAGACCTTCATTTCATTCCTTCTCTTTCAAGGATTGTTTTTATCCATTCCATATAGGAGAGAATTTGTCCTCCATTAAAGATCTTTCCAGAGGGAATTCCACAGCCTTCCATTAAAATGTTTAACTCTCCCTTTCCTGAAAGTCTTCTTATTTCTAGTGTAAATCCTCTCTGTTGGTGGTATTAATTGTCAAATCAGCCAGAATCCATGCTCTGTAACTAGCTCTTCTGTTTTCTGTATAGTCACATTTCTCAAGCTTTTGCAGTTTCAAGTTAGAAAATTTTTTGGTGCTCAAAACTGGTTGGTGAAAAAAATTTTTTTAAGTCATTTATTTCAGTTTTGTCTACACTCCATCTAACTGAAACCACTTCCATCCTCTTTTGTAGCAGAAAATATGCTAATATTGAAAGACTGCTGGTAAATCCATATATCTGAGAGGCTTTAACAAGCTCCATGGATTTCTCCATCAGGTTTTTCAACTATCTCTTATTAACAGTTAATAAAATAGTTCATGGATGGTTTGGAAGACGACTGTAGCTTTTCTGAGATGGTATGACTTACAGTATATGCCTTTAAAAAAATTTAAAAAGAAAAAGAACATGACATAAAAAATGGACCCAAAAAAAAAAAAAAACCTCTTCCATTTAGGGACAGAGCTACTTCTTCTCCCAGTGGATGCGTAATATATTATTTATGTCGGAGTGAGCATTGTGTTTTTGGCTCACATTCCATTTGGAGCATACACAATATGACAGTTTCCTTGGCTTATTGTTGTATATGTGGCTATCTATTTTTAATACATTGCTTTTGTCTCTTTTTCATGCTTGCTTACATCTGTTGTTATGAAAACTGACATAAAGTTTTTAAACATAAAAGAAGTGATGGAGAAAAAGATGTTAAGAGACACACAACATTTCAAGGGAACATGAGGTGGAGAAACAGGAGCAGAGTCACTACTGAGGGAAACCGAAAGCAGCCTCTGCAAGATAAATGGGAGGGAGGTTGAGAACAAGGGTGCGCAATCACAGACGAAAAAAAACAGCCATGGCGCTACACAAAGCGTTTCTAATGAATGAGGCTTAGTGCCTTTTCCTCCAGATCATTGAAACATTTTAGGCTTCCGTTGTTAAACGTAGGAAGTAGGGATAATAACACCTACCTTGAAAGATTGTTGTTAGGATTCTATGAAGTAATGTATATAGGGGCTTCACCTGGTCCTTGGTAAATAGTATGTGCTCAAAAGATAAAACAGAATCGGGGCTGACAACTATGACCTGCAGGTCACATGCAGCCTACCACTCATTTTTAAAAGAAAGTTTTGTTGGAACACTGCCAGGCACATTCATTTATGAAATATCTATATCTGCTTTTACGCAATGGTAGAGTTGAGTAGCATGAACAGTGACCATGTGGCCAGCATGCCTAAACTATTTACTATCTGCCTCCTTACAGAAAATGTTCGCTAATCCCTGGTATAAATAATAACTATTATGGCAACGCTTTAGGAATATCCATTATTGTACAGACTTGAATGGTTTCCCAATTCAATTTTCTATCTGCTATATTGCAGTAATATCTGTTGATTATGATCCTCTTGCCCCAGGTTCTAATTTTCCTTTTGTAACAACCCAAACTCTGTTTTGCTTGCTTTTCAGTGTAACATTAAATGATTAATTGGTTCATGTCACCACCAGGTGGCCTCCTATACTCTGTTGTGCTTCTGGTAACCAAAGAAAATCAGAAAGTGGATCCTATACATTTCTTTCAACTGTGGTTGTCACTGTGCTCACAGGCACTTCTCTGGCGGCTTGACTGCTCTGAAATTGTTCATTGAACCCTACACTTCATGTTTGGCCTTGAAACATAAATAGATTCACACGGACCTTTTTATAAAATGAATTAATGCTTTTAAATGCATACACACACACATACACCAAAATGGATTTTTAATAAAGAAGCTTGGTTGTCACTAATAGCTTCGCCATGATTCAGTCCCACTCTCATAGGTATACAGAGTTAACTGATCTTGAAGCTTCCTCAGGAAAAGACAAAGGCCAAAGAGGCTCAGATCTCTATATGTTAATTTCCCTTGAAGGGAATGGATGGACCTCATCTCAGTGCCCCAGTTTATGTTATTTTATTCTATAGATCCCCCTTTGAGCTTTCTTTGATCTTATTTTTAAGCTTCACTAAAGACCAGTGTTAGCAAAGGAAGATTGAGAAGCCATGTGATAAAGCCCTGGAGAAGGAGGCCAGATTCCCCTCGGGCAATTATTCTTATCCTCTCAGGCCTCATTTTCTTCATCTGTAAAGTGAGGGGGGTGGACTCAGTGTCTCTCAGGTCCATTCCAACTTCAGTATTTTCTCTTTGGTGAAAAAAATCAAAGATTACTTCAATTAGTAATTGACTTTGCCTATAAGCAATTGGACAAAATCAGAATTTTAAGACTTAATTTCACAGGCTAAAAGAACAAACTCATGGGTAAATATAATACAGGCATACCTAAGAGATATTGCAAGTTCAGGTCCATACCACCATAATAAGGCAAATATCATAATAAAGCAAGTCACGTGAATCTTTTGGTTTCGCAGTGCATATAAAAGTTGCGTTTACACTATACTGTAGGCTGTTAAGTGTGCAATAGCATTATGTCTAAAAATGTACTTAATTTAAAAAAATTTTATTGCAAAAAGATCCTAAAGATCATCTGAGCCTTCAGCAAGTCATAATCTTTTTGCTGGTGAAGGTCTTGCCTCAGTGTTGATGGCTACCGACTAATCTGGGTGGTGGTTGCTGAAAGTTGGGGTGGCTGCGGCAATTTCTTAAAATAAGGCAATGAAGTTTGCCACATTAATTGGCTCTTTCACAAAGGATTTCTCTGTACCATACAATGCCGTTTGATAGCATTTTACCCACAGTAGAACTTCTTTCAAAATTGGAGTTAATCCTCTCAAACCCTGCCGCTGCTTTATCAACTAAGCTTATGTAATATTCTAAATCCTTTGCTGTCATTTCAACAGTGTTCACAGCATTCTCAACAGCAGTAAATTCCATCTCAAGAAACTACTATCTTTGCTTATTCTTCAGAAGGAACACATCATTTGTTCAAGTTTTATCTTGCGATTGCAGCAACTCTGTCACATCTTCAGGCTCTACCTCCAATTCTAGTTCTCTTGCTATTTCCACCACATCTGCTATTACTTCCTCCACTGAAGTGTTGAACCCCTCAGTCATCCATAAGGGTTGGAATCAACTTCTTCCAAACTCCTGTTAATGTTGATATTTTGATCTCCTCCTATGAATTTCAAATGTTGTTAATGGCATCTAGAATGGTGAAGCCTTTTCAGAAGGTTTTCAATGGACTTTGTCCAGATCCATCAGAGGAATCACTATCTATGGCAGCTATAGCCGTACAAAATGTATTTCTTAAATAAGACAACTTGAAAGTCAAGATTACACCTTGATCCATGGGCCACAGAATGAATGTTGTGTTAATAGGCATGAAAACAGTAGTAATCTCCTTGTACATCTCCATCAGAGCTCTTGGGTGACCCAGTGCATTGTCAACGAGCAGTAATATTTTGAAAGGAATCTTTTATTCTGAGCCATAGGTCCCCACAATGGGCTTAAAATATATAGTAAACTGTGCTGTAAACAGATAAACTGTCATCCAGGCTTTGTTGTTCCACTGATAGAGCACAGGCAGAGTAGAGTTAGCATAATTCTTAAGGGCCCTAGGATTTTCAGGATAGGAAATGAGCACTGGCTTCAACTCAACGTCATCAACAGCTTTAGCCTCTCACAAGAGGGTCAGCCGTTCCTTTGAAGCTTTGAAGCTAGGCATTGACTTCTCCTCTCTAGCCATGAAAGTCCTAGATGGCATTTTTTTTTTTCCAATAGAGGGCTGTTTTGTCTACACTGAAAAATCTGTTATTTCGTGTGGCCACCTTTATCAATGATCTTAGCTAGATCTTCTGGAGAACTTGCTGCAGCTTCTCCATCAGCACTTGCTGCTTCACCTTGCACTTTTATGTTATGGAGATGGTGTCTTTCCTTAAACCTCATGAACCAACCTCTGTTAGTGTCCAACATTTCTTCTGCAGCTTCCTCACCTCTCTTAGCCTTCATAGAATTAAAATGAGTTAGGGCCTTCCTCTGAATTAGGTTTGGCTTGAGGGAATGTTGTGGCTGGTTTGATCTTCTATCTAGACCACTAAAACTTTTTCCCTATCAGCAATAAGGCTGTTTTACTTTCTTTTCATTTATGTGCTCACTGGAGTAGCACTTTTAATCTCCTTCAAGAACTTTTCTTTTGCATTCACAACTTGGCTAACTGGCACAAGAGGCCTCGTTTTCAGACTATCTCAGCTTTTTACCTGAATTGCTCACAAAGCTTAGCTATTTCTAGCTTTTCATTTAGAGTGACTCTTTCTTTCACTTGAGTACTTAGAGGCCATTGTAGGATTATTACTTGGCCGCATTTCAATATTGTTGTGTCTCAAGGAATAGGAAGGTCTGAGGAACAGAGAGAACTGCTGGTGGGTGGAGCAATGAGAACATACACAGCACTTACGGATTAAGTTCACAGTCTTATATGGGTGTGGTTTGTGGTGCCTCAAAACAATTACAATAGTAACATCAAAGATCACTGGTCACAGATCATCATAACAGATAAAATAATAATGAAAAATTTGAAATATTGACCAAATTACTAAAATGTAACGCAGAGATACAAAATGAGCACATGCTATGGAAAAATTGTGCCAATAGCCTTGCTTGACACAGGGTTGTCACAAACCTTCCATTTGTAAACATTGTAGTATCTGTAAGGCATAATAAAACCAAGTATGCCTGTATTTTTTTTAAAGTACCATAAAAAGTGTATAATTTCTAAATACTACACTGCTTTTGGTTCATTTCAGACCATAAAAACATAAATATATATTTTATGAAACTTCTTAGACACTTTCCTTTTCCTTTTACTTTTTTTCAGTGGCAGATAACTTCCATTGGATTCTCTGCAGTGTCTTTTGCTGCCTGTAATGGAAATTCAGCTTTCTCTTTGACGTCTTATTTTCCACACATTTTAATTTTTCTACCTTCTTCTTTAGGCAGAATTACCAAATGCCCCTCAGTTTTTTTCACAGCATGGAACAGATATATTCACTTACATTTCCATTGAAACTAAGTCATTTCATAATATATGAGCAACCTTTTCTTACCTTCTGCTTGTATTGTGGTACACACATTGGTAGTTTATACAGTATTTGAATTGTCACATTGGATGTCATGGCAAATATGACTAAAGACATTTAGCTGTCTATGAGGAAAGGACCTGAATAGTCCCTAAGGCATTTTGGTAAAGAACAGACTCACGTTTGAATTCGAAGTCTACACCCTGGGAGACCTAGTGACAGGCAATCACTCTAATTTCAAATTCCCTACTGGGGAGGCTTCTCTGGAGAGCTATATGGTCGAAGGCAGATTCATATTTGCTTGAGGAAAAAATGATTACAAATTTTTCTACCTTGCAAACTGTACTAATTGGCGTCAAATTCAACTAACAATTTATGAAGTTTGCATCACTTTCTGTGTGTTTAAGCACAAAGACATTTTTCACCTGAATTCTCTTATTTTATCACATATATTTTGAAAATTACATATGTCCATCTAATACATATATCAGGAATTAATGGTCTAATTATTTTACTTTTACTTAAAAGGAATAAGGAATGATGTTATCTCATTTTAGTGACTGTGAGGATGAGACAATAAGAATTCATTAGGATACTATGGTGTGCTGTGGAGAACCAAATAAAGGGAGGTTATCCTTTTCCTTAAGTAATTTATAATCTACTTAGAAAAGCAAAACGAAAAAACATGAAATAATAGCAAAGATAGCAAATTTATGTGGTATGAAAAATAAGTGCTAGTCTTCTTAGAAAGTCCTCATGGAATAAATGATATTTGAACTGAACCTTACTGGATAGAATTTAAATAACTGGAATAGAGATAGATGCATTGCAAAATAATGCATTTTAGGGGGAAAAAAACCTCAGATCTAGGAAATAGCTTGGCATGTTCCTAGGATTTTACCAAAAACAGGAAGACAAACTGGAGAAGAGGAAAATCAGTGACAAACCATATAGCTTTTATCCCATGTGTTCAGTGAAAGTCAATAAAAGGAAAGATTTTTTTTTAAAATTCTAGTGAATTCCTAGATTCAATGTTTCATATAGTGAAGAGAAGTTATATATACAAATAAGGAATTAGTGGCATAAAAGAGATGAGAAAAGTTATGCCAGAGATCATATTTTCTTAGCATGCAACTCTGCATGCTAAGAAAATTTTGAACAAACATTTGTATATGGTCTTTACTATGTAACAGAAATTGTTCTAGGATCTTTGCAGATACTGGCTTATCCAATCCTCACAGCAACCTAATGAAGTATTAACAGTATTCTCAAATGAGCAACTAAGGCACAGGGAAGCACACAGCTAGTAAGCAATGCAAGCAAAGTTTAAATATGGGCAGTCTGATTCCAGGCATATATTTAATTTTTTTAATTTTCTTAATCAATAGCCTTTTATCTCATTGATTTACAAATTAAAATGTTTGGCATGGTTTCTGTCACCATGTTTATGTTTAATCACTCATGAGCGATTAAATGGTTACATATGTATAGGTTTTAAGAAGTAGTATTAATAGGTAATATCAACAAGCTCCCTCCTCCCTTCATTAAGAGTCAAGAAAAATAGTAAAACTTTGTCACTGTATATATATATGCACTGTATGTATTACGTACTATATCCTATTAGGCTGGTGCAAAAGTAATTGGGATTTTGCCATTGCTTTTAATGGCAAAAACCACAATTACATTTAGTATATACTATAGTATACACTATGTATTTAGTATATGCTATAGTATACACTATGTATTTAGTATATACTACATATATACTATATACTATGTACTCTCTCTAAATATGTATATATTCCTGTCTTTTAGAAAATACATAATATATATAATTATATATTATCTACATTATATAATGTATATTAATTATATATTATATGGTATACATTATCTATCTATCTATCTATCTATCTATCTATCTATCTGTATTTACCTTTCTAATGACTTCACCCTGATGTGTGATTTCTTTTACTCTCTAATATGGCCAATCTCTAATAACAATAGTTACAATACATTATTTCTAAGACAGAAAATAAAAACCATGGGAAATTTGCAGTCTTGCTTTCACATCGGTAGCAAACCAAAAAATCTTATTACAAAACTCATCTGTGTTAAAATCAAAGACTTCTTATTAATGGTGTATTTTATATCGGGATCTAAAATTTCTTACAAGTATGATCTATTTACCTCTTAAAATACCTGTGTTAGACAAGTGGCAAAGATAGCTTTGTCCCTGTTTTGCAGATGGGATGACCATGGAAATATGAAATGACCTTCCCTGGAGCAGGTGGATCAGGTGGATCAGGTGGCAAGCCACCAAGAGAACAAAGGCAGAAGTAACAGTTGCAGGATTGATGGTGCCCAGTGAAGGTGCTTAGGGAAAATTCTCAAAAATCACATGTTTTGGTACTCACATCTTCTTGAAAAGTTATCCCTTGTTGTGGCTATAAGCTGTGCTAAATGGCCACATCCTTGTACTTCTGCTTCTTTTGGTTCTAATATCCTCTTAATGAATTTTTTTCAGCCTTTATGCAAAATGTTTAAGTCATCAACATCATATTCTGTCATCTGTTTATTTCAGGGAAGCCATTCACTAAGACCTTTTCTCCAGCTGTAATTTGCTTCCTTTTCTGCAATGCTGTTTATTTTTATGTAGTTTTTAGGATTTATTCCCTGTAGACTAGGAATTGTTTTTCCTATCTGGTGAAACCTTTGTAACTTCCCCTATTTACTTATTAACTTTCTCTCCATGCATCTATGCATCTCCATCATTACATTCTCCAAATTTTCACTTCTTCCTCCTCTTTACTTTTATCACTCTTGTCTCTTATCACACACACACACACACACACACACACATTCTGTTTCTCTTCGATGTAAGAGAAACTTCTTTGAATATTTATAGCAGACTCCTTTACATAGCTGAAAAAGTGCTCAAAAGCAGTTATAACCAAGGTTTGTTCTCTATGGTCTTAGTTTATACCAACAAATTTCCACTTGTACCCTAGAGCTTCTTTAAACTGTGAACTGTCATTCTTCTGAGTGACAGGCATGACCATCAGTGAGAACTCTCCTATCTGCCCTTTTAGCCTCAACCTCAGGCTATTAAAAATCTGTTGGGTTTTTGAGGATGAGCCTACGCCAAATGAATCTGGCTAAAGAGGTTCAAGAGTAGGGTTCTTAAGTATGTGTTGGCCACTCCATTGTCACTTTGTATGGCATTCTTGACTTTATTTACATTATACTCTTAGGGCCCACCAATTTCTTCAGACTTCTGGACTGAGATCTAAAGATGTATTTTCAAGAGCAGTAGTATGGCTTACCAAGCTAAGCTGAAATTCCTCCTGAAATTCTATTTGTGGATTTTAGTACAATCTTACTGACCTTGGGCAAGTCACTTAGCTTCTATGTATCAATTTTTTATCTGTAAGACAGAAGTAATATTACTAACTTTCCCCATGGGCTTGCCATAGGAGAACAGCAAAAAAAAGAACAATCCATTGAAATGACAGTCAAGCTTTCTGAGGCTGCAGCAGCAGCGTTTAAGCCTTAAAGCCTAAAATCTCTAAAATTTATTTTGTCAAAATATTTTTCTGACAAATATGGGTAGGTACCCAAAAGAAACAAAAAGGCCCAAGGGGTCAGGGGATGGGTAGAACAGAATGGTTTTTAAGCCTGTAGCATACTGGTATCGGAACTAAAAATTAGACTTAGCCTTTCGCATTCTGATCAAATGTTCTTGCTATGAGAAAACACTGCCTCATAAAAGGTGCCCTTAAAATATTCAAAGAACTACTGCCACCTTCCTCTTTTCTTTGATAGGTTTTCACAGAAGCTTTTCTTGTGTTAACCGTTCATGGCCATGATAAACAATTAACTTTGTTCATGGTTTCTGTCTGAAAATTGAGAATAATATTCCTGTATTGGATGTTTCACCAAATAAGTTTTTCACAGAAAATGAAGCTCAAAGATAAAGCAATCACACTGTACTCATTTCTGTGTACTAACACTGTATCTGGCATATATTTCAACAGCTCTCTATATCTGCCTGGACTTTCTTTTGGGAGAAATTCAAATGAATAAATATTTTCCAACAACCTCCTACATTTAAACCATAATGCTAAGAATTACAGTGGGTAAAGAGTGAATGACATGTGGTCTCTGACCTCCTACAGTCCCTTGTAGAAGCTTATAATCTAATTCTGAAACCATACTTATCCTCATCTGAAGTGAAGGCACCAGAGATATTCTTAAAAAGTAGCATAAGAAATCAGATATTTTCACTATACAGGGATTTGAGCAGTCACCAAGAAAAACTCCATAGCATTATGGATCTGTTAAGATTATAGATGTGAAAACCCTTTGAAAATTAAAAATACTCTGCCAAAAAAAAAGTCACAATGTGAATACATAAAGGTATAATGGCACTTGCATTGTGTTTTGGGAACAGGCAACCCTGGAAATGCTTTGATCAGCTCTGTCTTAACACCTACCATCGCATGGTAAATTCTGGGTGCAGCCTCTCAGTGCTGGAGTCCTTAGTCCTTGGGGAATGCCCATTTGCATGAAACTTGAAAAGATAGTTTTTTGATGATGACAGTAAGGGCGATAATACATTCAGCCTTTATTTAGGCAACTGATTCTCATAGATTTCAAAAGTCACCATGTTCTGCAGCAACACCTTTTTGATAAACTACAATGGTTACAGTGTTCTACTTCTCATTTTTCTTCTTATCCTCAGAGAGAAAGCAAGATATCTCTTTGAGGAAATATCAACAGAGTTAACATAAGAAATATATAGTTTCTTCCTTATGAAATTAATTTGGCATTATTTTTGAGGTGTGGAGCATCTTGGCAACTGCTTTGGTTTAAAACTCTATGTGATTTGGGAAAAGCACGTTTCAGAATGTTTAATTCAGTGATACAAAAGGCACTAATGAAATATGCATGTATGAATTTTATATCATATTAGTTCCCTCTTTCTTGAAATCTGAATAAAAGCCAAACATCTGGATTATGTTTGAAAAGCCTGAATTTCCAATTTTCAGAGAGATCCAGTCTATTTTGACATTGCACACTTAGCCTTCACATTTACAGTGTGCTATTAACATTACTTGCAATTGTAGAAAAAAAAAAGTCCAGATTTAAACAAACTTGGTGCCTCCTAATGCTAAAAATAAATCTATATTTGAAATGGCTGCTGCTGCTGCACAACCATACACATCCATAGTTCAGGCTTCTTCAGCATTTTCATTATAAATACTTGCACTGAACAGGCCTATAATTCAGCTATAAAGATATGTGGTAACCTATGATACATAAATTCTCCTTTGATTGTATATTAAAACAACAAACAGCAATTCATACATCACTTAGTTTGAGAAACTATTCACTGACTCAAGGCTTTCTGAGGGTCTCAAATATTCAAGATACTCTGTGGTCAACTAAAGAAGACATAGCCACCATCTTTTAAAGTTTATTCTTCAAATTTACAAGGCAAATAACATTTATGTTTTTATAGATATTTGGGTATATTTTAGCACCTAGACTAAAGGCAAGTGAATATTTATGGTTTTAGTAGCTTAGAGATGTAAATATGCATATCATTGCTTTATCTCATTTCATTATCATAGTTAACTTAGGAGATAGATGGTCAATCAAGTTTTAGGCAAATAGTAGTCTGTCCACACAAGAGGTCATGGAAGATAGAAGAATGTGACTGTTGTGTTTGAAGTTTGCATAATGGTAATTCTTCAGTGGACTTTAATTTACTACACTTAACTTGTTATTGGATTTCTTATAGCACATATTAGGTAAGTGTTTTCTTTTGTTATGTTTGGAGAACAGCTAGAATCAAAGATTTTTCTTTTCCTTTTCATCTTATTTTGTGTTATTAGAAAATTCTAAATTAAGTAGTTGTGCTGAGTGCAGTGGCATGCACCTGTAGTCCCAGCTACGTAGGAGGCTTGAGGCAAGTGGATTACTTGAGCCCAGGAACTCAAGGCTATAGTGTGTGTTCATCATGCCTGTGAATAGCCAACTGCACTCCAGCCTGGGCAACACAGCAAGAACCTGTCTCAAAAAAAACTTTAAAAAATTATGTAGTAGTGCCAAATTCAACAGAAATAGCTGTGTTTAGAGGTGTTTGTTTAGGTTGGGAAATGGAAAACAAAATAAATGAAACTTTTACATTGGAAACCTTTTTTAAAGGAGAAAACTGAGTTTCATTACATTAATTGCTGCGCCTCAAGTCTTTTTTCCTTCCTACATTGCATACTCTGACAGATATTACATAATTGCATAACTATTTTTACTATGTGCAGACATGACATTACAACAGCCCTGATATGGTGCATCATAATGAAACCATAATTAGAGTAGTCATGATGTATTATGGCAATGATCCACATCGTCACTAAAGTGCATTGGAATGCACAGAAAACCCTTTGAGATGTGTAGATTTTCAATGTAATATAGCACAACTCTGAAGTTTCATAGCATGGAGGAGAAATTGCAATTATGCCCATGCTGCTGGTAGCAAGGATTAAAATGCACATCTTCGATATCTACCGAAGAAAGTCTGTATTGATGAAGGAAATTTTTGAGGGTGATATTTATCTTGAAGTTTATGTCTTTTAAAAAAATTTACAGGAAGGACGTTGTTGAAATATGAACCTAACCACATAAATTCTATAGTAGAAGTCTCCTGTATTTATCAGATAAAAAGACTTGAAAGTTTCATTCTGTACCTCAAATTCAATGAAACGCCTCTCTAAAGTAGGATGGATTGAAGACAGTTTTAGAATTTTCAGTTAACCCTGCCCTTTCTTTTGGTTCTCTGTAGCCCATCTTAGCTTAGATTATACAGCTTACATTTTATGTGGTTGTGTCTTTGCTCCATTGTTGTTCTCTCAGGTTTTTCTGCATGAGAATCTTGTTTCTGAATCTTGTTCTAGCGAGTGACAGCTTCTTCTTAACTTGGTGATTTTCAGTCTTGGCATTTCTTTTACCTGGGATAATGTAATTGTTATGGCTGATCTTATGAATGTGGATCCAAAGAAGCTCAACTTTCTAAAACAGAGAGGAAATTTAGGCTCTATCTCCCAGGCCAATCCTCATTCAATGCTTCATTTGCCCATAATATATCCCAGCCAGGTAGACTTCTCATCTCTGCCTGAACACCTCTGATGAATGGGAACCCACTATCTCTCATGCTGTGTTCCTACTCAAGCTTCAGCATTTGACCCCCAGTCTGACCTCTGAGGTCAGATGGAACAAATTAATATTTTTTATGCAAAAGTCCTCTAAATATTCAAAATCTTCTAACATGTCCTTCCTCTCTTCTTTCACCTCTAACTTTTATTTGCCCTCTTAGCTGAATACCTTTAGCTCATTCAACAGCTTGACCCTTGGGGAAGTATTGAATCTTCTCCCTTACTGAAGTGCTTTTTTTTGGAACATTTAATACATTGTCTAGGTCCCTTTTGGAAAATGGAATGCAAGCAGTACAAGGTTGGGGCCTAGCAAATCACAGTCAAACTAATATATCCATTACCTTTCTTTTTTTAACCCTGTGTTTTTCTTAATTCAATCCAAAATCATGTTTCCTTTCAATATGGACAGGAAGCAGGGAAATATTGGGTAGAAGAGGGCAGGGTCCCTGGCAAGGGCTCCACCTTCAAGCCTGGAACCGCAGCCCTAAATGAGAACATGCATTCCTGTTTTCCTGCCCGAATGTTGCCTTTTCCAAAACCACCCTGGCCCACCACGCCCCCTACCCTGTACCCGTAAAAACCCCAAGCTCCACTGGCAGAGCAGAGCAGTGCAGCACAGAAGGAGAGAAGAGAAGTGTCTGAATGTTAAGAGGAGTTCGGCTGGCTGGGGACAGAGAGGAGTTCAGCCAGGGATGGCCAAACTCTAGGGAAAGATTATCTTCTCACTCCATCGCCTTCCCAGCTCCCCATCCCAGTGAGAGCCACTTCCATCACTCAGTAAAATCTTCCACATACATCACCTTTCCATCCATTTGTGTGACCTAATTCTTCCTGGATGCTGGACAAGAATTCAGGATGCACCGGGTGCAGGAACCCAAAAAGGCTATCAAGCTGACTCTTCGCTAAGCTGTTTAACACCATCCATGGATGGCAAATGCTAAAAGAACATTGTTTGTAACATGTGCCCTCTGAGGCTCCAGAGGTTATGGGCAACCCCTAGATGCTGCCGCGGGCCAGTGCAGTGTTTTTTCCTGCTGACACCCAAAGTCACTTGCCCTGGCTCCTGCACCCGCTCACCTGCGGGCTCCCCCTCCTGCAAGGGGTTTAACTGCAAGTGGCCGAGTAAACGAGCCACACCTCTATCACAAGTCTTGTGAAGGGGTCAAGGGAACTCTCCTGTCTCACTTTTTTAAAAATTTACATCTACCTTCTATTGTCTGTTGACTCACATTGAACCTAAAGGCAAGTGAAGCCTTGTTACCTCCATTCTTTATGCAGTTTAAAACTTTTTATCATTTTGGAGTGGGGGTAGTGGGGTGAAATGGGGTGGTTATTAACTCTGCCTGACTTTACATTTGTCATTTCTCCTTCTTAGATTTAACTCATTATGGCAGCATGTTTTGTTCCTTTTAGAGTCTATTATCATCTGAAATAGATATTATAAAGTAGTTGCCTGCAGATTCATATCCAGAGACATAGTTTGATCTGTGTAGTGTTAAAAAGTTTTAATGCAACATAGAACAATTTTGAGACTTCACATAATATATATATGTGTGCGTATGTGTTTATGTGTGTGTGTGTGTGTGTGTGTGTGTGTGTGTATAGGCTTTAAAATGTATATGTCTTGCCATACTGAACCCATGTTGAAGCCGTATTTCCACAGGGTAATAGCTGGCAGAACTGAGTTAAGGGTTGCCCCTTTTAGATGAGGCATATGCTCTCCCATCCTCCACAGTTCACACTATGCCTGCTTATCTCTTACTGATATTAGATATTAGTAATAGTCACATTTATGCATTGTCTTTATTTAAAAAAATAGTTCTCTTTTTTATGACAGTAGCAATAGTTAGAATATGAAAGAGAGAAGAGGATTTATCCTTGCCCTACTCAATTCCTTGATATCATCTGCCTGGTAGTGAGGTGTTGGAGCTGGCTAATACTGACTTATGAGAGCATATTGTTAAATATTCAGGAATTTTACCAGCAGCAACCACCATTGGTAGATTGGAATCAGCCACAGTGGGAGTATTTACACCAGGGAAATCAACGAACATTACAAATCAGGTCTTTTTTTCTTCTTCTTCTTCTTTTTTTTTCCTTAGAGAACCAGTTTACTAGCATACTGCTACATTTAGGTATTTGAGTTTATGATCTCTGAACTAAAATGCATATTATACTTTATTGATCATTGACGTTAGTATAATCTGCCAATCTGATCAATATGCCATATTCATATTTTCTTTATCTATGTCATTAATAAAATATTTAATAAGAATGGACCAAAGAAGAGACCTATGGCATAACATCCATTAAACAATGATCTTTACATATGGTTGTTCAACAGGTATTCAGTAAAACTCTCCGTGCTTCTAAATGATTGCATCCATCTGCTCACTTTATGCTTATGAAAATCTACTGGAAGTGCATACGCCTGATCCAGGAATTCACATCCTTGGTGAAGGGATTTAAGTCATTAGATTTTGGGTGTATGTTCTTAGCAATTTAATTATGTTTAAAATCTGGTTAGTAGTGTAGTAAATAACTGGTATTGCTACAAAATTGCATTGAGAAGATAATAGGATTGAATTTCTATACAAGTTGACACTCAATTAAAATTTCCATATATCCAGTGAGTTAGCCAGTTCTTGGCTAAGGAGTTAGAGCAAATGCCTTCCTACTAAGCCGATCACTTCAAAACAGGCAAAATTTATAATAGAGTCAAATCAGGACTGAATGCATCAACAAAAACTGGAGTTCAGCTTATCAAATACAGATCAAAAGCAAGAAATAGACTAGAGAGCACACGGGATATTTCTTCCTTAAATTTCTCTATTTTTTATTGACACTGGAGGAAAAAATAGCACATTAAAACCTCCTTGCTGAATTACTGTCCTAAACCAATAGATCCGTGGGGCTTGTTCAGCTAAAAGCCACAACAGACTTTGTAATGCAATGATGTAATCTTGGCATCTTGGCTTTGTGTCATTTATATTCAACCTAAAAAAAAAAAAAAAAAAAAAAAAAAACAATTTTCCTGAATAGACAGGCTGACAACAATATTGTTCAGTGTGGGTTTTTATTTGGATTCTCTCCAAATGGTTCACATGCCTTCACAGTAACACATGCCTGCTTACGTTTTTTGCCTGAATTCTAAACTTTTCCCCTTTTACTAGCTTTCTATTTTTCTTTTAAGGTCTCAGTTATGTTTGTAAAACTAACCAGCTCTACCACAAAATTAGGATGTATCTTGCAGAGAGCATTCATTTTACTTTTTGCATATTTTTCCCGAGGTCATGTCAAGGTTAGTTTGAATTCCATCCTACATTAAGACTTCTTTCACAGCTATTTAGCTCGGCAGCCTACTCCCCGCTGGGGTCTGCCCCTTGGGCACGTCAAAGCTTCAGACCTGACAAATCACACACAGATGAAGCTGTACAGTTTTTTAAACAGTTTCATCAGTAACTTTTTTTTCTTTTTCACTATCCTCCTTCATGTTGAGATTTTTTTTTCTCTGAATTACCATTTCAGGAATGTTGATTTCCGTTTGAGACAATTTGTTTTTACATCAGAGTTGCAGACTAGCAATATCATTTATTTTATAGTAAAGGATATTAATAGCCTTCTGTCACCAAGACTGCAGACCTACAGACCATTCCTGACTATTCTAACTGTAATTGCTTTATTAAAATCTATTCGTAACAGGAAGTGTAGTGTTGGAAATGTAGCTATATCATAGAGTCTACCAGAATCTGAAAAAAATATCAACCATAAAAATGCAGTTTATAAGGTATTATGAGTTGAGCCTGGAAATGTTTCCTGAATGGTTAATAATATGCTCTTATCCGTATTTTAGCAAATTATGAAACTAAATGATGCAACTCCATTTCCTGTTTAATTGATGAAGTTAAAGTCCTTGGTTGCTAATGAGTGTATTAGCAAACAATGTCCCCTTTACAGGCTTAAGTAGATCAGGATTTTTAAAAAGCAGCTTACTATCCTTATTTTTATGGGATGAAAAATATTGACTGCCACAAAATTGCTAGACCAACTGAAGTCATGGTGTAATTATTTCTGTGCAGTCATTTTGGCAATTTCCAACGACCAGATTAAGGTTTTCTAGTTCCCACACTAGAAAATAGTTATTTTCTTTTACACACCATAGACTTTTCATTACATTTTCATTCAGGACAAACAACACCTGAAGATCTTTACTGCAGACTAAGGAGAAAACTTAGAAGTGAGGGGAAAAAATAATATTTGAGTGATTCTTCTCTCCTCAGTCTTCTTTTACAGTTTGCTCAACATGAAAGTACCCAAATGAAGGGTTCTGTAAAAGGTTGCTTGGTTGAAACTAATTAAAGACAGGTCTAAATAGAAAAAGAAAAGAAAAAGGGATCAAAGGAATTACATTAGGTGTCAGGACATCATTTGGGAGCGTTTTGTTTAATTTTTGTAATTTGATTCCAGGAAAACACTAAATTCTAAAAATGTCCATTTTTTGCCGTAATTTTATACTTGTGTTATTTTTGCAATAAGATACATGTCAACAGGCAAACATCTTGAAGAGATCATTTTGGTATTGGCGCATTAACACGTTATGGTGAAAAGAGAGGCTTGTGCTTTTCACGCAGTGCATTTCAGTCTTCAATTAATGTGAAAGCACTACAATGCCTATGCAACTTCTCTTGCCTAGTGGTGCACCATTTATCATTGCAGTTTTACATTGACCTTGACACCCACTTCATTAGAATAAAGATTGTCTACCATTTAGGTTACATTGTTCCTCTGCACAGAGACCCCATGCAAATTTCTGTTCAGATAGAAGAGCTGCGGGGCTGTCAGAGGTCATCTGCATTAAATGATTGCAGCTATTTTCCAACTGCTTCTTTTCATTCTACTCAATTCAGGCTAGGAGGATCAATCAAGTCCTCTGCCTGAAACAGTGGGACTGCTGGGAATATGACTGTTTTTGGTAGTAGTGGATATGCCCTAAACAGTATTAAATATTTAATATAAACTCATTAAAGGCCATACAAAGGCTTCAGAAGGATATCAAATTTATGGAAATATCTAAGGGGATAGAGAACCGTTTTAAAAAGTAAATAGAAAAATAATAATCAATATTATAATTTTACAGGGTATGATCAAGATAGTTCTTAAACTTACTAAATTTTACCTATAGGAGACTTTTTTCTCACCCTTGACATGGGAAGGAAAGAAAGGAGACAGGTAGACTTGGCGTCCTTATGCAGTATTTTTTATGAAATTGACATGAAAGTTTTCAGTTATTTGTGTTTTTATTTTTGTTCTGTAACAGTGACTTCTAGTCTAGCTATATTTATTTTTAAAGGCTTAGATATTTGTTATTTAAAAGAAATGACTGGAGAAATAAGTTGCCAGGTCTCCTACTTAAGTTTTCTGAGTGGTATGATTGGAATTAAATTATTAATGGCAGATACTTTAAAAAAGATTGTTTTATGATCTTCTATTAGGGAATTTGCAATTCATTTTAATATTTGTAGTTTGATTTATATTAAAGATAATGCAATCTATGTCCAATTAACAGTACATGGCCAGTGTAATGTGATTTCCAGATCATGCAAATGGAATAAGCTAGAAGAGGGGGAAAACTCAATTCTTAACCTCAGGTGTCATTTGCTGTGCGAGTTCTGGCAATTTTAAATGACATTGCACTTTTTAATTTTTCCAAAGGCTCAGCAGCAAATTTATCCCAATCAGGAAAACCTATTATTAATTTACAAGGACAATTGTAGGAGTCTTTATAATTTCTCTATGCAATTACTCACCATAAATTCTACTGGTAAAATACAAGGAGTTTGCAAGAAATAACAACTATTATTTGTCTTGGGCTTGAACCCTTTTCTTCAGTTTTGAACATCTTCTTGAAGTGTTGGTGGTACTGACTCCATGTGCAGCATCATATGCGTTATGAGATGCTACACACAAGTCTTCTGAAAAGCGGGGCAGCACAAGAGCTGCTGCACAGGCAACACTGGCCTCTGGCAGATTCCTGCACTCCGCATGGACAGCTGAGCTTGGACCCTGGACTTTTATATAAAAAGACTCTTTGTTCACCACTGAATGGCATTAGGCATGGACTTGCTGAGGGGCCACCATGAAGCCTCGAATGAGGAGGGCAAACACTAGCCAGAAAACACGTGAGAGTTGTAAATAGACACATCCCTGGATTTTTTTTTTTTTTTTTTTTTTTTTTTTTTTGCAAAAATGCATATTTTCACACATTATTTTGCCAGTAGTTTGGTGTTTTGGTATGTTCCTAGCATTTGCTTTCTTACTGATAGACTAAGTAAGATATATTTTATTTTCTCAGTGTATTCTATCTATCTATCTATCTATCTATCTATCTATCTATCTATCTATCAATCGTATCTATCAGTCAATCATGCATATATGGGAAAGGGGATCTTGCTGGATAAACAGGTGTTTGTGGCATTATATTTGTACCAGGAAAGACATTCAATCCTGTCATTCTAATAACTAGATCATTTTCCTTGTTTTAACTTTTCCTAATATAAAGTCAACTGAAGCTCAGTTAAAAGTAATATGGTGTAAGATGTAAATGCTCAAACCCTGATGACACAGAATACAACAGCCCTATTCTAATAATCAAGAAATGTCTTTAGTTTAATTTGTGTGTTTCTCGCAGCCAAAGCTTCACTCTCTGTTCAGCAATGTCTGGTCTCTTTTCAGCATAACCAACAGAAGCACCATACAAAAGTCTTACAATGGATGTCTTAATCTCTCTGTGTGCTTTTAGAGCATTATTTTGAATTCCATCATGCTGCCTTTTTTCTTTCCTCTTCTGAAGTTTTATTACAACAGCAGAATTCCCAGGGAGCTTTGGGGGCAAGGTTCACATAATATAGCCCTCAAGTTTTGCTTAGGTGGAAGCCATCCCCCAATCCTGGCCATCTTTTGATGATCCCTCTATTTCAAAAAGATTCACTCGGTAGAGTCTTATAGCATTAGCTGTATATAGTTTATTTTTTATTTTTTTTATTTACCAGACAGTGAGCATCTACAACCCTTTCATGATGTTTTCTTTCTCTGACCTCACAGTGACAAGGCATCTTGTTCCTTAACATTGAGGGAGGCAGAAAAATGCTTGAGTTGCTCAATGTGTGCCTTCTATACCAGTTTCAAAATGGCTTATTCTTCTGGTTTCCATGGTGACAATTAACACTGTTTCAAGGCATTGTTCCAGTCTCCATTTGGGCAGAATTTTCGGTGTGATTTCTAACAAAAAAAAAGGAGGGGGACTTCGGTGTGGCGGGGAAGCCTTTAGCGTAACTGTCAAAAAAGTTATCTCAATCAAGTCTTCATGCATTTCTAAGTATATTTATTTCAGAAATTCCTGTTTTTGCTGGCTTTGTTTTATAATTCAGTTTTAGCATTTGTGCTAAAAGTAAGTACTCAATAAGAATTTTCTACAACTTCTTTAGTTCTTAGTTAAAATGGTGGGCTAGAGTTTGTAGTTATTTTTAACTCCTTTTTTTAAAAGTTTTTCTTTGTATTTATATACACAGGGATGGCATTTAGAATAGTACTGTCCTGTGTCTTTAATTTAGATCATTCACATATCTATTAGGAGGCTTCATTAGTCAAAATTGAATTGGCCAAGCAAATACACTTAATAATGTAAATATGGCCTTTCAAGAGAGTATATTTTATTTTTGACTAGACAGAGAGGCCCACAGCAGGTGCTGTGGGGAAATTAAATACTGGATGCTTATTTACCTTAGCACTCAAGAAAAGCTTTCTGACTTTAACTTTGCTAATCTCATTTTTGCCTATTGAAGAGTAGTCTATATCATAACATCCCCAGACTACAGGACACAATGGGGCAGCCTCTGCTCACTTACTGCTGTGGGTGGAATGAATATGAAGATTAAATTATCTTCTCACCACAGGATAAAGTAGCCCCACTTGATAGGATGACCGAAAACTGATAGAGCTGGCAGTTGATTTTCTGAGTCTAATGCTTCTGAAAAGATGTTAAGAGACAGAAGAGCAAAAACATACTAGCATCAACAAAAATATAAGCTCCTGACATTATTACACATACAGCTTGAGCCCCTAAACATATTAGATTTAACCTTCAATATGCTTCAAAAATTAAAATAAATATTTTCACCTTAAATTATATAACATTTTAGTACCTTTCATCCATATATCAATACATCTAACAATTAACTAGATACTCTTAGCTTTTGTATTAGAGTTTGAAGGCATTGTCCATCAATCACATCTTAAATCAAGCTGTTTAGACAGTCGGCTATATGGTGACAAAGACTGAGAGCACACATAAAGACAAGTTTCTTTTAAAGGTAATAACCTTTTATAATAGCTATTGCAGTGACTACTTATACGCATTTAACAGAGAAGATTGGTTTATTACATCTAAAATTAAATTAATTGCTTTTTATATTTTTATTTGTGTAAGACTATCATTTTTATGGGACACATCTAAGCTGTTTCCTTTCTTGACTGATGTGCTGTGTGAGAGCTGTTTAAAGTTGGGGTGAAGAGGGGGGGATGAGCTTGTCACAAGTTAAAGGGATAACTGGTAGAGGCCATTCCCAAGTGGCACAGCCAGAGGACTCTTTCTGTCAATGAGTAATACCATGTGGCATAAGTAAAATATTTGAATAAGATTTTCCTGCCTGCCTGAAATACTGGTTCCCCCAATATTATGTGGAAATCTTACCAAATTAATTATGTAAATCTTTGTCAGCTATATCATTTTAGATGGGAACCTGATTACATAAAGCAGATTGTCCTCTCCTCCAATCATCGCTCTGACAAATAAAACACTATCTAGGTTTCTAGAATGCTCCTGAATATTGAATCCAGAAAATTCAAGTGGACAGTGTGTTTCCTAAGTGCTGGAGTAACATGGTCCTGGTAATTGCCTTCCATTAGAAAACGCAATCAGAATTTCTCCTGTATCACAGGCCAGATTCTAAAAGCGCTCTAAAGCAACCCTTGATTTTCTCCACTATGCATATTCATGTAATTTTGGATACTCTGACACCCTGATCAACATTCATTAATAATATGAAATGCTTTAAATCACCTCATTTAAAACATTTTGTTCTGTGATCCACAAATGACTAACATTTGGAGAAGTTTACATAATACAAGTGATGTGCATGTTTAGTGTAAATGAAAGATTAAAATATGAAGCTAAAAGTATGCAAACATATGCACGCAAATGCTGAAGATCTATTAACCGAAACAGTGATTTCATACCTTCTTTTCCTTTAATCTGCTTCCAATTGTATTTTTGTTTGGGATCTTATATAATATCATGTTTTCAAGGTGAGTGAAATCACCCAAGTGCTTGGGGACATTTGAACTTATTGATTTATTTATTTGCCCAGAGAAAAGTTTTTCTCATTAACTCTGATAAAGGTGCTTATCTTAGGGCACCGTTGGTCATGTAGGGCAAAAGAACAAAATACTACCATGGAACTCAGTGACCTAAATTTGGTGCCTGGAAGAAAAAAGTTTTAAAATTGCTATTATATCTTGGAAATGTGCTGAAAATGTAAAATATGTTTAATATTTTAACCAGAATCTAGATTTTCTACTCAGAGGAGTTTTTACATGTACATTTATAAAGTACAGTCATAGTCATTTATGGCTATCCATAATATAGGACTAACTATGGAGTTATCCAAATAGAGTTATTTGAAGAGAATCACCATAGTAACTGTCACATTAAATAGCACTTACATTATCTCCAGCAAAACATCTTTTAGGAGAGACTCTCTTGGCAGTTTGTTAGAATATAATACATACTGGGGGAGAGGGTTCTGTAGTCAACTATGATTTGGGGGATATTTTACAGTAATCAATAAAGAAGCATAGATTTGTAACTACTCCTAAAATGTTGGCTTTCCTTTTTCTCTATATATGTACCTTTTCTCCAAGCCCACACAGAGTTTTTAAGGAAAAGAAAATGAAAACAAAATGTTAACTGAGAATTCAGATAACTTACATAATCTTTATGAATAATTTTTTTTCTTTCACTTTGAAACTGGTCCTTTAGGGGAAGAGATGAGAGGTGGACAGCACTCTGGAACCAAATAATGGCCAAAATTAACTGTAATATTAAACCCCCCTAGACCAGTTACTATCCTATTTAGAATATTTTAAAGATCAAATATGTGTATAAACTTGAGTTTAAGAAGTAAATCTTAGTCAACTAAATGTAATAACTGTGTGTGTGTGTGTGTGTATATAATATATTCAGCAATATTCTTCATCTACTCAAAGTACTTAGGTTTAGCCTCCCCATAAATTTTATTGGGAACAAAAACTTTTAATGCTCGTAAGCATCACAAATTCTGTGTTCAATGATTTTCTAAGAACACCTCTCTCCCTAATGATATCTCTTTTTCTCTTTTCATTTTAGCGATACAGTGTGGAAATGTCCATCAGACACCTGAAAAAGACGGAGCTGCTTAGTAAGGTTGAAGCTTTGAAGAAAGGTGGCGTTTTACTACCAAATGATCTCCTTGAAAAAGTGGATTCAATTAATGAAAAATGGGAACTGCTTGGGGTATTTGCATTTTTATTACTGTTTGTAGGTTATGTGTACATTTTTTGCGTAGTGAAGTACTCTGTCCGATTTCTAATTTGAGGCACAAATATCTCTCTCTTTCAATTCACTACCTACGTTTCAAACAAGCTATTCATGCTATTATGGGAAAGACACTGCTTTTCCTCTTCTGTTGATTTTTTTTTTTTCTGAGCTTGTCCCCTCTCAGATTTTAATAATTTTGGTTCTTTAATACATGAAAAAGTAAGTAAAATATGCCATGTATTATGGGTATGCACCAAGTCAACTATAATACAGTATATCTGATATATACTGACTGTCATGCTTGAATGAATGTTAATAGAATTTATTCTGAAGGTACATGTGAGAGACATCTACTGTTTAACTATTTACTGTACCCTTAAGATGAAAAGTGGAGTTGTCACTACAGCTTTCAAGTCACACTAAAGCCACCAAAACAAAGATGCAAATTTGACCCAAATCTGAATTGCAGAATTGAATCAGCCTGTGTTTTGTGCCTCAATTTCCAGCTCACTTTTAACAAAAGCCAAAAAAAAAAAAAGTTTCATGTAATTCATTTCACGCAATGATGGGCTGGGTCTCAGCCAAAGACTGAGATGCAAGAATCTGGCAAAAAGGCAATATAGAGATTCTGTTACCCAGAGACCAGGATGGCACTGTGCAGGAGACAGTACTGTCCTTTTGTTGGAAGACAGCTGAGAGAAAAGTTAAACTGTATTTTTTCATCAGCTTCTCTCCTAAATTGCCTTCACTTCAAATCAAGGGTAAGCTATATTTGTCAATTACCTAAATAATTAATTATAACAGCCAAGTATGGACGATGTCAGTTATGGAGCATAATTTTGCATGCCTTCCATTTTTCTACCTTTTAAAAAAAATTTTAGATAAATAATACTCCAAAAATATTTTGAATAAAAAGCTCTTCATGTACCTTGATGATTTGGAGGAATGCCAGTATTCTGTTTATGCCATGCCTAATCTAGGAGATTAAAAAACTGCAGGTTTAAGTCCTTGTTTCTCATTTAAATTCACTACACTCTGCAGTTGTGCAAAGTAACTTAAAATGTTAAAAGTTTTTCATCTAACATATTGTTGCCTTTTAATAATAATTAATGGCTTTCACTTTATAATACGGTGACTTAAATCAAAACCTGCCGTATTCTACAGCATTCATTGATCTCAAACAGGAGAAATGTGGTTAGTGTATGACATTTTAAAAGGTTGTTTACTACATAGATAAGAATGGCAACCTTATGTGCTTGATAAAGTAGCGATAAGTCTGTTTACATTGCATTTTAATATATCCATTGGTAATTTGATAAATAACAATAATATTTTTAGAAAATTGTTTAAGTTATGTCACATGTATTGCTTCCTCAACAGAATTTTAAGTCAACATTATTTTGAAAAAAGAAATAATATTTAGCTATCCTTTATGAATCAGAGACTTTAAAAATAGTTGCCATTTTGACAAAAACATCATTCAAATACAACATGCAGGTTTGCAGTGAGAGAGTAGGGTGAGGGAAGATTTTTTTAAATCCTGTACCACACTAACACCACCAGGCATACTGTTTTAATTGGCATGATTACATTTTAATTGGCATGAAAAAAATTAAAGACAAGGATTTTAACTTCTAACAATAGTAAAATAGAGGTATATGGTTTTTAATATTACTTTCATCTAAGGTGAACAGTGTGGAATGGAAATACATTAGAATGAAATGTCAGTGGTGCGTACAGTTTAATCTGTGAAATTGTGTCCCCTGTGCTGCATATTACTCTGTCTCAATTGCATATTAAACAACCCTATCAAGGCAGGCATTGGCATCTGCTGTGCTGACACAAATTGTGAATTAAATGAAATTGATGTCCTCTGTCGTATATTTATGAAGACGGACCATTCTCTGAAGTATTCTGTTTATGAAGAATTTATGATTGCAAACTGTTCCAGAACAAAAAAGTGGCAATAAATTCTTTTTTGTGACCCTACCCTCCAAGGGCATTGATTTCACCTCCTGCTGCTACTTTTGTTACAGCGTAAAAACAATAGCTAAATCTGGATTCCACTGAGGGTCTTCAAATTATCAGTATTTTCACCATGAAAATACAAGGGTGTTGCCAAGAAAGGCTATTTTTCTGCTACAGTCTCCTAAAGATACTATTTACAGAACACTACACACCAGATGAATGTTTGTTGACTTAATTTTATTTATGTTTTAAAGCTTATTTTTGTAGGTTTAATGCATCATTATAGATTTAAATCCTATTGATTGGGACTGCTTTCCACCAAAAAGAAAAAAAGAAAACAGCCCTCCCCGACAACACTCTCCTGCCATAGTGGTTAATTTAAGTAGGCTTCTAGTGTAGTGAATTGGGGATTATTTTAACACATATTCGGTATTAGAAAGTCCAGCATCCAGAAATGCAAAATGGAAAGAATTGTGGGATTGAACAATTTCCAAGTCAGGTAAAATCAACAACATCACCAAGGAGGCTTCCTTTTCTTAAAACCCTTTAGTTATATGGTTTCGGAAATATGTCACAAAACAAAAAATGGAATTTAATTCTCCGTGTTTGATCTACTCTTGGCCTCTTTAGTATATTTATTAAACTTACATCTCCTGGACATTTTATGTGGAGAGTTTTTTACTATAAACTCCTATCATGATAATTCAAATGAATTTTTCTCTGTGACCAAAAAATTCAAATGAATTTTTATCTTGCGAACTATGGGCTAAATCTCCTTTCTATTAAAGGAAAGTAAGTGAATGAGGTCTTCTTAAGTATCCGCTGGTACTCAGAACAACTTGCACTGAGAATTCGAATACTAAATGGAACAATGACCTAATCTGAACTGAATGTCAGTAGTGAGGTGGCAGGTATAGATGGACTCTTCCAGGTGGCTCTCGTTACCAACAAAACTGTGGTGTGTTTTTGGTACCTAAGTTAATCTATGTTTTTGTTTTTTTGTTGTTCGTGGGGTTTTTTTTTGTTTGTTTGTTTTATTTTTTGTTTTTTAATCTGATGCATTAGAAAACCCTAGGAGAGAAGATCCAGGACACAATGGCAGGGCACAGTGGGTCGAGTCCACGTGACCTGCTCTCTCCTGAAAGTGGAAGCCTGGTAAGGCAGCTGGAGGTCAGGATCAAAGAACTGAAAGGATGGCTAAGAGATACAGAGCTTTTCATCTTCAATTCCTGTCTGAGACAAGAAAAGGAAGGAACAATGAATACTGAGAAACAACTGCAATACTTTAAGGTAATAAAAAAACAATCAAAGTTGATAAAAAGCTCTTTTTATGGTAGGGATGAAATATTTATCAAGTACATGAAGTATTATACCCATGTATCTGTGTATCACTGTGCACCTAAATGTTTCCTTGAATTTATAGACAACCTCCACATTTCTTATATGTCTCTATGTGTATAAAGATGAACATTAAGCATATCACATATACATTGTAGAGGGGAAATCTCTGCTGCATGTGTGTTTTTTGCAATGCTTGTTGAGGGAGGACTTTGATGAGTTAAAAGCAGACCAGCAAACACTAAAGATTACTAAGGCCTTTGAAGGACAGACCTAAATGTTCTGTAAATAACTTGGATAAAAATACTTACACAAATTGATATGATAAAAACACATGATTTAATCGAAGTCCATTACTGCTAACAAAAGGAAACATAATTTTTACATATGAAAGAGTCAACTATTTATGGAGGGAAGAAATAATGTAAAACAAGTTCACACATTACAGGCATATTCCATTATAGAATATACCAACCTGAGCAATACAATATTCATTTTCACTGTATGTCCATGGAGAGGCATTTCCCCTGGTTTGTTCCTATTGTTTACACAATATCTATTTAAAAGCAATTTAACATTAGAATGTTTTCCCCTATTGCCCAACCTAGCCCATACTGCTTGAATCTTTCCATAAATGCAGTCATTATTTGGGTTCTGGCTAGTGCTGGCCTGAGGCTTTGGGGTTGCAGAATTTGAATTTGGTGGCAATAAATCTTCATCATGAGAAATCTTAAAGAGGAGAAAAAGGAAAACCAAGAAGGAAAGAACTTTTTGGAACCAAGCAACCATTTCTTCTCAAAGCATCGTAGGACCAGGTTTTATTCATCCCACCTTGCCTGCAATCATCCAGTAATCCGTCAGAAAATTTAGTCACATGTGATTCACCTTCTCTCTGCCAAACAGGCAGAGTCATCTTGCTCACCTCTATAACCCTAGTGGAGGCACCCTCAAAGACAAGACCACAATACTTCCCAATAAACTATCTGCATTGCACACCTGTAAATTTGCTTTCATTGAAAACCTCCTCTTCTGCCACTTAACTGACAGACTAAACTGGAAGTTAAAGTGTCTTGCCAAAGCAAATGGGTTTATGGTCTAAAATCTAATACCCAGGTGATTTGCTGTTTTATCTCTACTTGACCCATCCTAACCTCTACTGCAGGGAGATGGAATCTTCAGATCTTTTAATGAAACTTTTCAAACTTTTTGAGATTATGGAGCCCTGATGATTTTTCTTTATGACTTGAAACTAGTTCCTTTCTAAAGTTGACCTTGAGGAGTTTGATCAGATGAGTTAGGGGGATCTAGCATAATGGCACCTTTTTATTGTTTTTAAAGAAAATTTTATTCATGACTGTTGGAATAAATCTTTTTCCTAGCCAGAATTTTAAATAATTCTGAGCTATTTACTCTTAGTGTTTGGTATATGATTAATCCAGTGTTCTGTGTATTACCACATTCACTGGAAGAATGGAAGCAAATGTTTGTAATATAATAATAACGTAATATAATGTTTGTAACCTGTCAAAATTATAATTGGTAATAAGCATGTACAGAGTAACAATTTTTTACTTGCCATAAACCCAAAGAACAGGTACACTCTGCCTTTCTAAGTGATGAAACAGCTCAGACAGGAGAGTGACTGAAGAACCTTTTTACATATGGGAAACCCTCTGCCATGCTCTGCCTCTCGTGGGTTCCTAAAGGTCTCCTGCCATGACTGGTCACACAGAAGAGGACAGGCTTTATCTACAAGGTTTAGCTTTATGATTCTTTATCCTATAAATCCTCAGCCTTTTAACATAACTGAAGTCCTTTATATGACACTAAGAGTAATGACAGATAAACTACAATGTACTCTCCAGGAGAATGGAAGGGAAGGTGCTGCATATGAAAAGGAAAACCCATAGCTTTGTAGACAGAACTGCGTTTCCTTCTAATAGATTGGTCTGGGATGAGACAAGGGATCAGGATCTTCAGTTTTCAGAAAAAAGGACAAACCAATTGTGGAACATTTTCCTTTTCTTTAAGCAATACGTATGAGAAATATGGGATTAGACACAGAAGAAAATTCTACCCAACAAAGAAAGAGTCCAAACTCAGCAAGAGGGAAGAAACATGAAGGTGTGGTCCTAAGAGCTCTGGGATAGGAATGCAGAATTATCAAGGAATGAACACACTCTGATAACAAAATGCAGGAGAGTATGTCAGGGATTTAATGAGGCCAGCTGGCAAAGGGTCCCTTTGAGCTGTGTGTGTGCAGCTTCAATGCCATTGGCTGGAAAGCACTACTTTTTAATGATGACCCTTCAGAGAGAAAAGAAAATAATTACTTAATCATATGTTCCTTGTATCCCATAACCAAATTCATTATTCTAAAGACTCCAAATGGGAAGATATTATTCATTACCAGCTAAAGAAGGCCACAGCGCTGGCCTGGTCCCAAAACGAGTCGAGGAAGAGCAAGTTTAGACCTGTTACAAGACTTTGTCATCAAGAAGGTGAATGAGTGGATTAGATTTAATAACCTTGTTGATGATTAATAACCGAAATCTGCTTTAATAATTTAAATTTGACCAAGCACTTTTATGCATATTGTTATACTTAAAATATACACTAATTATGTAAGTCAGAAAATTATGATGACCTTCTTATATGTGTGGGTATTTATCTTTATGAATGAAGAATTTGAGTTGTGGAAAGGTAATGTGACTCATTTGAATCCCCATAGCAACCAGCAGCAGAGACAGAGGGAAAATGATTGTCTTTAAGTACAAATTCCCATCCTGTCATTCACTGACTTTTCAAATACACTTTGAAACTTTGCTTTACTTTAAATCAGGGGTTGACAAACATTTTCTGTAAAAGCCGGATAATAGTATAATCTCTGTATGAATTACTCAGCTCTGCCATCATAGTGCAAAAGCAGCCACAGACAATATCTAAATGAATAAGTATGGCTGTGTTCAATAAAACTAATTTACAAAACTACTTACAAAAGTAGGGCAGTGGGCTTGATTTGACCTAGAGGCCATAGTTTCCTGACCCTGCTCTAGATTACAAAAATTATTATAAGCATGGGAATAGATACAGTCTGTGTCATCTTTAAAGAAAGGAGACCATGCTACAATTGCATTAGGGGGACAAAAAGTTATTTTAATAATTGTAACAACCACACCTAATATGTATGAGGCACACTTTCTAAATGTTTTACCTGCATTCACTTACTTATTCCTCATCACCATCCTGAGACATATTATAGTATGATCTGCTATTTATATTTTATTTTTATTTTTAAAATTTTGAAAATTCGTGGGTCCATAGTAGGTGTATATATTTATGGAGCACATGAGTTTTTTTGTTACAGACATGCAATGGGTACTAATCACGTCATGGAGAATGGGGTATCCATCCCCTCAAGTATTTACCCTCTATGTTACAAACAATCCAATTATACTTTTTTAGTTATTTAAAAATATACAATTAAGTTACTATTGACTATAGTCCCCCTGTTGTGCTATCAAATACTGGGTCTTATTCATTCATTCTATTTTTTTCTTTGTACCCATTAACCACCCTGTTTGCCCCTACTACCCTTTCCAGCCTCTGGTAACCATCCCCCCTACTCTCTATATGTGTGAGTTCAATTGTTTTAATTTTTAGAGGCCACAAATAAGTGAGAACATGCAATGTTTGTCTTTCTGTTCCTGGCTTATTTCACTTAACAAAATGATCTCTGGTTCGGTCCATGTTGTTGTAAATGACACGATCTCATTCTTTTTTATAGCTGAATAGTATTCCATTATGTATATGTACCACATTTTCTTTATCCATTCTTCTGTTGGTGGATACTTAGGTTGGGCTTCCAAATCTTGGCTATTGTGAATAGTGCTGCAACAAATATGAGAGTGCAGAAATTTCTTCAATATACTGATTTCCTTTCTTTTGGATATATACCTAGCGGTGGGATTGTTGGATCATATGGTAGCTCTATTTTTAGTTTTTTGGAGAACCTTCAAACTGTTCCCCATAGTGGTTGTCCTAATTTACATTCCCACCAACAGTGAACAAAAGTTCCCTTTTCTCCACATCCTCGCCAGCATTTGTTATTGCCTGTCTTTTGGATAAAAGCCATTTTAACTGGAGTGAGATGGTATCTCATTGTAGATTTAATTTTCATTTCTCTGATGCTCAATGATGTTGAGTCCCTTTTCATATGCCTGTTTGCCATTTGTATGTCTTCTTTTGAGAAATGGCTATTCAAACCTTTTGCCCATTTTTTGATCATATTATTAGATTTTTTCCCTATACAGTTGTTTGAGCTCCTTGTATATTCTGGTTATTAATCCCTTGTCAGATGGGTAGTTTGCAAATATTTTCTCCCATTCTGTGGGTTGTGTCTTCATCTTGTTATTTCCTTTGCTATGCAGTAGCTTTTTATCTTGATATGATCTCATTTGTCCATTTTTGCTGAGGTTGCTTGTGCTTATGAGGTATTGCCCCAGAAATATTTGCCCAGATCAATGCCCTAGAGATTTCCCCTAATGTTTTCTTGTATTAGTTTCATAGTTTGAGGTCTTAGATTTAAGTCCTTAATCCATTTTTATTTGATTTTTGTATATGGTGAGAGGTAGGGGTCTAGTTTCATCTTCTGCATATAGAGATCCAGTTTTCCCAGCACCATTTATTGAAGAGACTGTCTCTTCCACAGTGTATGTTCTTGGCAAGTTTGTTGAAAATGAGTTCACTGTAGGTGTGTGAATTCATTTTTGGGTTCTCTGTTCTGTTCCATTCGTCTATGTGTCTATTTTTAGGTTGGTACCATGCTATTTGGTTAACTACTAATTCTGTAGTATACTTTGAAGTCAGGTATACAGTTTTATTCTTTTTCCTCAGGATAGCTTTAGCTATTCTGGGTCTTTTGTGGTTCCATATACATTTTAAAATTGTTTTTTCCATTTCTGTGAAGAATGTCATTGGTATTTTGATAGAGATTGTATTGAATTTGTAGATTGCTTTGGATAGTATGGATGTTTTAATAATATTGATTCTTCCAATCCATGAAAATGGAGTGTCTTTCCTTTTTTCTTTTTTTTTTTTTGTGTGTGTTCTCTTCAATTTCTTTCATCAATGTTTTGTTATTTTAATCATAGAGATTTTTCAGTTCTTTGGTTAATTCCTGGTATTTAATTTTATTTTAGGCTATTGTAAATGGTATCACTTTTATTAATCTCTTTTTCAGATTGTTCACTGTTGACATATAGAAACGCTACTGATTTTGTTATGTTGATTTTGTATCCCGCAACTTTACTGAATTTATCAGTTTGAATAGGTTTTTTAGGAGTCTAGGTTTTTTCAAATGTAAGATAATATCTGCAAATGCAGATAATTTGACATCTTCTTTTCTGATTTGGATGCCTCTATTTCTTTCTCTTGTCTGATCGCTTTAGCTAGGACTTCCAGAACTATGTTGGTGACAGTGAAAGTGGACATTCTTGCCATGTTCCAAATCTTGGAGGAAAGGTTTTCAGTTTTCTCCCGTTCAATGTGATACTACCTGTGGCTCGGTCGTATATAGCTTTTATTATGTTGAGATATGTTCCATCCATCCCCATTTTTTTTTTAGGATTTTTACCATGTAGGGATGTTGAATTCTATCCAGTGCTTTTTCAGCATCAGTTTAAAGGATCATATGGTTTTTATCTTTCATTCTGTTGATATGATGGATCACATTGATTGATTTGCATATGTTGAACCATTCTTGCATCCTTCAGATAAATTCCCCTTGGTCGTGATGAATAATCTTTTTAATGTATTATTGAATTTGGTTTGCTAGTATTTTGTTGAGGGTTTTTGCATCAGTATTTATCAGAGATATTAGCCTGTAGGTTTTTTTTTTTTTTTTTTTTTTTTTAGTGCGTCTCTGTCTGGTTTCAGTATCAGGGTAATACTGGTCTCATAGAATGAGTTTGGAAGTATGCCCTCCTCTATTTTTTGGAATAATTTTAGTAGGATTGGTATTAGTTTCTCTTTAAATGTTTGGTAACATTCAGCAGTGAAGCCATCGGGTCCCTGGCTTTTCTTTACTGGGGGATTTTTTATTATGGCTTCAATCTCATTACTTGTTATTGGTCTCTTCAGGTTTTGGATTTCTTCCTGGTTCAATCTTGATAGGTTGTATGTGTCTAGGAATTTGTTCATTTCTTCTAGGTTCTCCAATTTATTGGCGTATAGTTGCTCATAGTAGCCACTAATGATCCTTTGAATTTCTGAAGTATCACTTACAATGTTTCTTTTTTCATTTATGATTTTATTTATTTGGATCTTCTCTCTTTTTCTTAGTCTGCCTGAAGGTTTTTCAATTTTGTTGAACTTAAAAAAATGACTTTTTATTTCCTTGATCTTTTGTATTTTTTTCTTCATTTCAATTTCTTTTATTTCTGCTCTGATCTTCATTATTTCTTTTCTTCTACTAATTTTGGGTTTGGTTTGCTTATGCTTTTCTAGTTCTTTAAGATGCTTTGTTATATTGTTTATTTGAAGTTTTTCCTCTTTTTTTGATGTAGGCACTTATAACTACAAAATTCCCTCTTAGTACTGCTTTTACTGTATCCCATAGGTTTTGGTATGTTGTATTTCCATTATCATTTGTTTCAAGAAACTTTTCAATTTCCTTCTTAATTTCTTTATTGACCCATTGGTCATTCAGGAGTGTATTGTTTAATTTCCTTGTGTTTGTATAGTTTCCAAAATTTTTCTTGTTATTGATTTCTAGTTTTATTCCATTATGGTCAGAGAAGATGCTTGATATTATTTACTTTTTTTGGAATGTTTTAAGACTCGTTTTGTGATCTAACATATGGTCTATCCTTGAGAATGATCCATGTGTTGAGGAAAAAAATGTGTATTTTGCAGCTCTTGGATGAAAAGTTCTGAAAATATCTATTAGATCCATTTGGTCTATAGTGCAGGCTAAATCCAATGTTTTTTTCTTGATTTTATGTCTAGAAGATCTGTCTGATGCTGAAAGTGGGTGAGTTGAAGTCTCCAGCTATTACTGTGTTGGGGCCTATGTCTCTCTTTAGCTCTAATAATATTTGCTTTATTGATCTGGGTACTCTAGTATTGAGTGCATACATCTTTCAAATTGTATCATCTTGCTGAATTGACCCCTTTATCATTATATAGTGACCCTCTTGGTCTCTTCTTATAGTTTTTGCCTTGAAATCTATTTTGTCTGATATACACATAGCTACTCCTCCTCTTTTTTGGTTTCCACTGGCATGGAATCTTTTTCTGTCCCTATACTTTCAGTCTATGTGTATCTTTATAGTCAAAGTGTATTTCTTGTAGGCAACGGATCAATGGGTTTTATTTTTTCATCCCTTCAGCCACTCTGTGTCTTTTTATTGGAGAATTTAGTCCGTTACATTCAGCATTATTATTGATAAGTTAGGACTTACTCCTGCTATTTTGTTATTTGTTTCCTCATTGTTTTGTGGTCTTCTCTTTCTCATTCTTTCCTTCCTGTCTTCCTTTAGTAAAGGTGTTTTTCTCTGATGATATGATTTAGTTTCTTGCTTTTCATTGTTTGTGTATCCATTTGTGTGTTTTTTGGTTTGAGGTTACCATGAGGCTTGGAAATACTATCTTATAACCCATTATTTTAAGCTGATAACAACAATACTGTTTGCATAAACCAACAAACAAGCAAAAAGAAAACTAATAAAAACTCTACACCTTAACTTCTTCCTCCTGCTTTTTAGCTTTTTGTTGTTTCTGTTTATATTTTGTTGTACTGTCTGTGTCTTGAAAAGTTGTTGTAGTTATTATTTTTTTTTGGTTCATCATTTAGTCTTTCTATTAGGATATGAGTAGTTTACATACCACAGTTGCATTGTTAAAATATTCTGTTTTTCTGTGTAATTACTGAAACCAGTGAGTTTTTTACCTTCAGGTGATTACTTGTTGCTCACTAACGTCCTTTTCTTTCTAACTGAAGTATTCCCCTTAGGATTTCTTGTAGGACAGGTCTGGTGTTGATGAAATCCCTCAGCTTTTGTTTGTTTGGGAAAGTCTCTATTTCTACCTCATGTTTGAAAGATATTTTTGCCAGATATACTATTCTAGGTTAAAAAGTTTTTTTCCTTCAACACTTTAAATATGTCATGTCACTTTCTCCTGGCCTGTAAGGTTTCCACTGAAAAGTCTGCTGCCTGCCATATTGGAGCTCCATTGTATGTTATTTGCTTCTTTTCTCTTGCCACTTTTAGGATCCTTTCTTTATCCTTGACCTTTGGGAGTTTATTAAATGCCTTGAGGTAGCCTTCTTTGGGTTAAATCTGCTTGGTGTTATATTCTGTTCTTTTTTTTTAATTATTTTATTTTATTTTATTTTATTTTTGAGATGGAGTCTCGCTCTGTCACCCAGGCTAGAGTGCAGTGGCACAATCTCGGCTCACTGCAAACTCCACCTCCTGGGTTCACACCATTGTCCTGCCTCAGCCTCATGAGTAGCTGGGACTACAGGCACCCGCCACCACACCCAGCCAATTCTTTGTATCTTTGGTAGAGACAGGGTTTCACTGCACTAGCCAGGATGGTCTCGATCTCCTGACCTCGTGATCTGCCCTCCTTGGCCTCCCCAAAGTACTGGGATTACAGGCATGAGCCACTGCACCCGGTCCTTGGTATAATATTCTTGTACTTATTGATATTTTTCTTTGGGTTTGGGAAGTTCTTTGTTTTTATTATCCCTTTGAATGAACTTTCTATTCCTATCTCTCTACCTCCTCTTTAAGGCCAATAACTCTTAGATTGGCCCTTTTGAGGCAATTTTCTGGACCTTGGAGGCCTACTTCATTGTTTTTATTCCTTTTTCTGTTGTCTCCTCTGACTGTATATTTTCAAATAGTCTGTCTTCAAGCTCACTAATTCTTCTGCTTGATAAATTCTGCTGTTAAAAGCCTGATGCATTCTTCAGTATGCCAACTGCATTTTTTCAGATCCAGAATTTCTGCATGATTCTTTTTAATTATTTTAATCTTTATCTGGTAGAATTCTGAATTCCTTCTCTGTGTTATCTTGAATTCTTTGAGTTTTTGCAACACAGCAATTTTGAGTTATTTGTCTGAAAGGTCACATATCTCTGTTTCTCCTGGACTGGTCTCTTGTGCCTTATTTAGTTCATTTGGTGAGGTCATGTTTTCCTGGAATGTGTTGATTCTAGTAGATGTTCTTCGGTATCTGGGCATTGAAGAGTTAGGTATTTATTGTAATCTTTACTGTCTGGGCTTGTTTGTACCTGTTCTTCTTGGGAAGGCTTTCCAGATATTTGAAATGACTAGGGTGTTGTGATCTATGCTGTATCTGTTTTAGGGAGCACCCTAAACCCAGTAATGCTGTAGTTCTTGCAGACTCAAAGAGGTACTGGCTTGATGGTCTTGGACAACGTCTAGGATAATTTCTGGATTGCCAGGCAGAGACTCTTGTTTTTTTCCCTTACTTTCTGCCAAACAAATATTTATTCATTCTCTCTCTCTCTCTCTCTCTCTCTCTCTCTCTCTGTCTCTCTCTCTCTCTCTCTCTGTCTGTCTCTCTCTCTGTTATGAGCCACCTAAAGCTGGGGGTGGAGTGACACAAGCATCCCTATGGCCACCACCACTATGACTGTGCTGGTTCAGACCTGAAGCCAGCACAGCACTGGGTCCCGCCCAAGGCCTGCTGCAAACACTCCCTGGCTACTGCCTGTGTTTACTCAAGGCCCTGGGGCTCTACAGGCAGCAGGTGGCAAAGCCAGCTCTACCTGTGTGCTTCCCTTCAGGGCAGCAAGTTCTCCCAGGCCCCTGTTGGGTCCAAGAGGTGCCTTCCAGGAGTCAGGGACTAGAGTTGAAAGCCTTAGAAGTCTACCAGGTGTTCTGTTTTACTGTGGCTGCACTGGCACTCAAATCACAAGATGCAGTTCTTCCCACTCTTCCATCCCCTTTCCAAAACCAGGGGAGCCTCACCCTATGGCCACCAGCACAGACCATGGAGAGTACTGCCAGACTACCACCGATGTTCCCTTAAGATTCAAGGGCTCTTATGTCAGCTTATGGTGAATGCTGCCTGGCCTGGGACTCACCTTTCAGGGAAGTGGGCTCCCCTCTGGCCCAGAGCAAGTCCAGAAATGCCATCTAAGAGTCAAGTCCTGGAATTGGGGACCCCAAGAGCCCACTTGTTACTCTACCCCTCTGTAGCCAAGCTGATATCTAAGATGCGAGACCAAGTCCTCTTTACTTTTCCCTCTGCTCTCCTCAAGCAGAAGGAGTTTTGCCCTGTAGCCACCACACATGGAAATCTGCTAAGTCTCACCTGAAGCCGCAAGTCTCAGGGACTCATCCAAGGCCCTCTACATAGTACCTGGGTATTACTGCTGGTTTTTCAGGGTTCAAAGGGTCTACAGTTAGCAGGTGATTAATGCTGCCAGGACTTGGACCTTCCTTTCAAGGTAGTGGGTTTCCTTCTGGCCTAGGATCATGTCTAGAGATGTCATCTGGGAGCTAGGTCCTGGAACGGGGGCCTTAAAATTTTGACTGCTGCCCTATCCTGCTGTGGTTGAGCTGGTATCTGAGATGCAAGACAGTCAGAGTGGATCATCATTAAATTGGTGTACTTGTCAAGAGGTACAAGGGGAATGATTAGGGAGCCTTCTATTCTGGTATCTTGCTCTGCCCCATCCGCTATTATGGATGAGAACACTGAGGTGGGGAAAATTGAAGTAACTTACTCAAGGTCATAAAGTTAGTAAGTGATAGAGCCAATAGTCACACCTAGAAACCGTTTCAGAATCTGCCCCTATGTAGACTCAAAAGTCCCTAGGTCAAAGATCTGTTACTTGAAAGAGAAAAGCACATAGTTTGCTCTTTTGTTCCTTATTCCATTCTGAATACTTGACAGCCGGCTGGAGGAAGTCAGGGAGTCAACATTTTAAGTCTTGGAAATTAAAATTTATAGAACAGGGCCTTTAAAAGGATTTCAAATTAACAATAAAATGTGCACCATTGACAAGTAATTACTCTGAAAAGGAGTATCACTGATTTACTTTTACAGAATAAAGGAAGAAAAGAGCTAAGCAGTTCATATGCTTTAAGAAATGTTTCCTAAAACCTCAGTGCATAATTTTCAGAAATAAAAATAAGACCAATTTCATCAAGTCTTTTAGGGGGAATTTCTCATGTCCACTATAACCAATTTCAAATGGTATCATAAGTAATCTCACTTCCTCTGACCCCAAAACCACATTTAAAGGAGATGAGTTTGAAAGACAGGATACAATGTTTTAGCAGTTTTGATGTATAAGAAAAGTAGCCATGATTCCTACAGGTGCCTGGATCATCCCTGCTGCTCTAACTTGGAGCCATTACAAACTTAGTAATGTTGCTGTTGGCAAAGTTGCAAATAAAGAATTACAGTAACTCAGTCTAACCATAACAAAAGCATACAAAACACTTTCAAATTCAATAGACATCAAACAGGACTTAATCCTTTCTACATATCATAGATACATTTAAAAAAACTATTATATTAACCACGTATATCCATCAAAAGAAAACCACGTATATTCATCAACAGTCTTTTATTAGGTTTTTTCCCCACCACATATTAAAAACCCGTCACCTAACACTTCTTTGGAAATAATTTTAAATAATTGGATACAGTTCAGGACTGCCTTATAAGAAAAATTGGCTGGGTTAAGGTTGAAATTCAAAGGTAGATTTAATATAAATAAATATTATTCACACTACTGTCTGAGGGTGGTGGGAAAACCCACAGAACATTTTTACAGGCAGTCCCAGTGCAGTTTTCTAGAGTAAAAGAAAATGGAATAGCAGCCCAATTCTTTCTGATTACATATTTTGCTAGAAGAAGATGCTGAATGATTCCTATGAAGTAGAGAGTTCTGCCCTTGATTTGAGAAGGCAGAGATACAGCTGTGTACTCATTTTATATGTGGTGTTTGCACTGCTGCTGTCAGACAGACCAGATTCATGGAAGTCAAGGGCTGTCATGCTAATCTAGAAAGAGGAAAGAGAGATCTCACCCATCTTTACTTATTGTCTTGAAAATCAGACAGAACAGCATTTGGCCTCTGAAACCAGAGAATGAATGTTTCTACTCTTAACTGATCTCTTAAATTACTTAAATGTAACTTTCTTTGTTAGTACATTCAAATAAGGAAAAAACTGGAAGAACATAATTGCAAAGGTATCTCAGTGCTCTCCACTCAAGTAAGTATAGGATGGGAACAGTGAATCTGATCCATCATAGTTTAGAGGCTTAAGTGTGGATTCAAGTTGCTTGGGTTTGTCCTAGCTCTACCTCTTTCTGACAGATCATCTTCCTGAAAGCTCCAGGTTTCTTATCTTACAAACAGGGATAATGATATTACTTACCTTAAGAAGTGGTTGTGAGTGTTAAATGAGACAATATATAAATGAAGACTGCTTAAAATAGGGCCTGCCTACTAAGAGCTCAATATATTTTAGCAGTCAGCATTAGAATTCTAAAGCATGAAACTGTACTTTCAAAAAAGCATTAACATTTAATAAAGCAGGGTTATAGTAAATAGATAAAGCAAATTCCTTGGGGTTTCACCTACTTTGGTGAGTTGTATGATCTCTAGGAACTGAATTATCTATTAATTGGATCATTGACCTGCTTACTACCTAGATAAAACCATAAGAGAACTTTTTTCCCTCCCAAGACTAGGAAAAAAGGAGATAGTCAGTATACCTCCCAAGTTTGCCCTTTGACCTGGGAAGGAAGAGCTCTTTTGGGGTGGTAAAAACCAAGTCCCAGATTATTAAGGGTGGGTCTTCACTTTCAGGCTACTTTTCCTCTTTTGAGCAAGGCGGCACACCATTTACTTCGAGTCCATTTTCTACTCCAACTTCTGTCTCCATGACCTTCTTTTGTAAACCCTCTTTTTACCTCTTGTTTCTCCAAAATTATTGCATTATGAGTGCACACACAAGTGTACACACACACACATATACACACACAATTAGACCTTCATTTAAGGAGAGAAACAAAATTTATATTTTAATGACCATATTGAATTGCCATTCATCTTCTGTAACTTTTACTACAACATGATTCTTTTATAATTGGCCAATTAATAGTATTTATTGAGTATCATCACTAGTTTCTGTTAGTTGGCAACCCTATGACCTAGGACTTTCAGCTGTGTAATCTCAGGAAGTAAGTTTTCTTTGCCTGAGACTATTTATAAATTTAGGTTTTTTTGATTGAGAAGATTCCTTTCAACGCTAGCCTTCTTGTGATTCTGTAAGAGCTACCTTTTTCCATTGGTAAATTTTTCAATTATAGATGTCATTTAATTTCTTTAAACAGCACTTTCAGCTTGGCACAAAATTTTAAGTAGATCAGCCAATAGCCAATTCTGTATACCAGGATTTATGTTTCCCTCATCGAAAATGATACTGCAAAAGGAAAGAAGCATCTTTTGAACTAAAATTGCAGTGTTCTTGCCTTTAGCACACGGTAGCAGTCTTTCTCTTTGTACCCATTTCCTTTCTAGCATTGTAATATTCAGCACAGACACTGGCCCAAAGAGGGAAGTAAAAAGTCTTCCCATTTATGAATTTCAGCCTGGATAGCCATACTGATAACGTGAATATATTTTTACTGGCTTATAAATTAACAGAGACTTGTTTGATTGAGTCGTTTTTAAAGTGAAAAGAAATACACTAATAAACTGCTAGTGCGGTGATGGCAAACAAATGTACAGATCTATAAGATATGTAAGACATACAATTCTCAGTTAAAATTAATGACCAAGTTGAAGAGATGGAGGATTTGAATCTGGAAGGACTAACCAGAAACCCTACAATCATAGGCCTAGCCTCTTCCTTTCTCATCTCTTAGGTAACTTGAAGTCCTTCACAATATATGTAGAGGCTTATAGTATATCCTTGCCTGTCCTTTTGGTATCAGTTTTCCACATTGTATTATTTTAGGCAAGTTTCTTACAAATTGCATTCTACCCAAATCTGACAGTTTCTATCTTCTAATAAGAATATTAAGCCCATTCATATTTATTTCCTTGATTAAGATTACTGATCTTTTTTCATCTTATGACATTCTTTCATTTAGGCACTGGGCTGAGTTTTAGCAATACCACAAAGCTTATATTATGGGCTAGTTTAAATATTTTGCTACATGGAATGTTATTTTCTTTGTTTCCACTGCAGTGAATTGGAAGGATTTTTTTTAATTACGTATTTTCTTTATTTACAGTGCCAAGATTGAATCAGATGCCACTTTTACAATTTAAAAATGAGCTTTTTTTTCCTGTGTCCTCCAGCCTATTTCCCTATTTTTGTTGATATTATATAATCTTAGATTTAATTTTTAGGTTTTATGATTATTTTACTAATATAATTATGTCCTTTTTCACACCTTCAAGTATTTCTTTTGACATTTGCATTATATTGAAAGTAATTCAGGTCTAGCTTGGAGGCTCATTCTTGTAATCATAGCACTTTCGGAGACCAAAGCAGTAGGATCACTTGACGTCAGGAGTTTGAGACCAGCCTGGGCAACATAGTAAGACCCCATCTCTACAAAAAAAAAAAGATTGTGCTCAATTATCTAAGTGTGGTGGTGGGTGCCTGTAGTCTTAGATACTTAGGAGGCTGAAGTGAGAAGATTGCTTCACCCCAGGGGTTCAAGGGTACAGTGAGCTACAATTGTGCACTGTAGCCTGGACAAGAGAGCAGGACTGGGTCACTAAATTAATTTTGTTTTTTTTTTTTTGTTTTTTTTTCAGATGGAGTCTCACTCTGTCACCCACGCTGGAGTGCAGTGGTGTGATCTCGGCTCACTGCAAGCCCGGGTTCACCCCATTCTCCTGCCTCAGCCTCCCGAGTAGCTGGGACTACAGGCGCCTGCCACCATGCCCGGCTAATTTTTTTGTATTTTTAGTAGAGATGGGGTTTCACCATGTTAGCCAGGATGGTCTCCATCTCCTGACCTCGTGATCCACCCCCTTGGCCTCTCAAAGTGCTGGGATTACAGGCGTGAGCCACCGCACCCAGCCTGTTCATTCTTTATACTGCACTCTAGCCTGGGCAAGATAGTGGGACTGGGTTGCTAAATAATTTTTTTTAATGAATAAAAATAAAAGTAATTCAGAATTAATTATATTATTTTCATTGCTGAACTTCAGTTTTTTTCATATCACAACTTTCCACTAAAAATGTATTTTTAGTACTGGCTATTGGATCATCTTCTAATAATTTTCACAGGAAAAGTCCATTCCTAGTATTTTTTCCAAACCCTTGTGTGTCAGAAAATGTATTTTACTTTTACCTCACATATAAACAATAGCTTGGCTGAATATAAAATTTTTCTAAGGGCAGCATAATCTTTTGTCATCAAAATTGCTAATGATTCTTTTGGAATTTATAGTCATTAAAGAGAAGATATGCTTCTCTTTTATGTGTGAGTTGTAGCTTTTGTTTTAGTTTCATTTATGTAGGACTAGGTATCTGTCTCTTTTCACTTTTTTTTTTTTTTTTTGCTGGGAACTTGGTGAGTCCTAAATGATTTTGAAAATCCTGCTTTAGATCAGGAAAGTTTTACCCGCTGTTTGATTATCGTAATTTCTCTATATGTTTAGTTTCGTCTTTTTGGAAGTCCTGCTCTGCGCATATTGAATCTCCCAGATCTTGCCTTCACTTAAAAAAAAATCTATTTTTATTTTTGTTTCTTCATCTAGGGACTTCTGGTAGAATTCTCAAGCTTGTTTTCTGTTTCTGCAGAACCTAATTTTGTAATTCATTGTTTTCATTGCAATTTTTAATTCAACAGAAGTTCTTTTCATTTTTATACAATCTTTACTGATCTTAAATTGTTCTGTCTTCAAAAGTACCAACTTATCTCAGTGCCATGAATGCAATATCCTTGTGCATATTTTCAAGACATGAATTGTTTTCTCTTTTTTGGTATTAACTTATTTCAGTATTGTTCTGAGTCTTCAAATTGGGCCCTCATTTGAACTACAGTGTCTGTTGATGTGTGTTGATTTTTCTGTCCCTTTTTAAGGAGTTTTTGTTTTCTAACACTGGGTGTTGAGATAGATCCTCTTTGAAATATTATATAAATGGCTCCCTGTACAGATATTTCAGTCTGAGACAAAAACCAAAGGGAAATTGTAGATTTTCTTCAATTTTATTAAAATTCAGGGATGAGAAACACCATATGTGCGGAATAGCAAATTGTTTATTGATATTGAAGCATAGGGTAAACTGTCTGATGTCAAGTGGGGCTGCAAGCAAAGTAAGTAGCCTACTCTTTGTTAATTTACCAGGGATGTCCTCAGTGTTCCAGAGCAGGAGGGTGGTCTTGCAGAGCATGTTTCAACCAACCTGGAAGGAGAAAGTCCTATTAGGAGGTTGCTATTCTGTAACTTAGGTGATATGCCCTGAGGGTTTGATATGGGACAATTACAGTGAGAGGGAAGAGATTGGATTTCCACCCCCCACCTCCCAGCTTTATTAAGGTATAACAGACAAATAAGAATTGAACATATTTACAGTGTACATTGTGATGTTTTGATATATGTATATGTCGTGACATGATTAAATCAAGCTAATTAGCATATCCATCACCTCATATACTTGTCATTTTTCTTGCTTTCTAACTGAAACTTTGTCACCCTTTGACTAAAATCTCTTCACCCCTGTCACCCCCATCCCCTAGCCCAGTCTCTGGCAACTGCCATTCTAATCTCTTCTCTGAGTTCAATTTATTAAAATTTTACATATAAATGAGATCACGCAGTATTTGTCTTTCTGTGCCTGGCTTATTTCACTTAATATAATGTCTTCCAGGTTCATCCATGTTGTCACAAATGACAGGATTTCTTTCTTTTTTAAGACTGAATAGCATTTCATTATGTGTGTGTGTGTAAGTGTGTGTATGTGTATGAATGTGTTTATCCCACATTTTCTATATCCATTGATCAGTTTGGTTTTTTCCATATCTTGATTATTATGAATAATGCAATGAAAATGGTAGTGCAGACATCTTTTTGACATACTGATTTTACTTCCTTAGGATATATATCCAGAAGTGGTATTGCTGGATCATGTGGTAGTTCTGCTTTTAATTTTTTTAGGAAACTTCATATTGTTTTCCATATTTATATTAATTTACATTCCCAACAACAGTGTACAAGGGTTCCCTTTTCTCCATATCCTTGCTAACACTTGCTATCTTTTCTCTTTTTGATAATAGCCATTCTAACAGGTGTGAGGTGATATCTCCTTATTGCTTTAATTTGTATTTCTCTGATGATTAGTGATGTTGAGCATTTTTTCATAAACCTGTCTTCTGTTGAGAAATATCTGTTCAGGGACTTTGCCTATTTGGATTATTTGTTTTCTTGCTGTTTGGTTAAGTTCCTTGTCTATTTGGGATATTAACCCCTTATCAGATGTATGGTTTGTAAATATTTTCTTCCATTCAGTAGGTTGTCTTTTCACTCTGTTGATTGTTTCCTTTCTGTGCAGAGCTTTTTAGTTTGATGTAATTCTATCAATCTGTTTTTGTTTCTTGTGTTTTCGAGGTCATATCCCAAAACTCGTTCAGACCAATGTCAAGAAACTTTTCCCCTATGTTTTCTAGGGGGAAAGTTTATAGCAATTTTGGTTTTATGTTTTACTTTTAAGTCTTTAATCCATTTTGAGTTGATTCTTGTATATGGTGTGAGATAAAGGTCCAGTTTCATTCTTCTGCATGTGGATATTCAATTTTCCCAACAATTTATTCAAGAGATTGTTATTTTCCCATGGCGTGTTCTTGCTACCTTTGTTGAAAATAAATTGATCATGAATGTGTGGATTTATTTTGGGGCTCTCTCTTCTGTTCAGTTGGACTACATGTGTTTGTTTTTAATGTGAGTACCATGCTGTTTTGATTACTATAGCTTTGTGGTATATTTTGATATCAGGAAGTGTGATCTCTCCAGCTTTTTACTTTTTGCTTAATATTATTTTGGCTCTATAGGGTCTTTTGTAGTTCTACATAAATTTTATAATTATTTTTTCTATTTCTATAGAAAAAGTCATTGGAATTTTGATCTGTCCATTATTGAAAGCAGGGTATTGAAGGCTCCTACTATAATTGTATTGCTATTTCTCTCTTCGTTTCTGTCAATATTTGCTTTAGATATAAAGGTGCTCTGGTGTTGGGTGCATATATATTTATAATTGTTATATCCTTTAGATGAATTTACGCCTTTATCATTATAAAATGACCATCTTTGTCTCTTGTGAAAGTTTTTGTCTGATAAAAGTATAGCCACCCTGCTCTCTTTTGGTTACCATTTGCATGGAGTATGCAACTGATGTTAACAGCTTAACTGTGACCACATACAAAAACTACATTTTAACTTCTCCTCCTCCCCCATTTTGCTGATGTCACAATTCACATATCTTACATATGTAATGTAAAATGTATTCATTACCAAACTATTTTAGCTATAATTATTTTATTACTTTTGTCTTTTACCTTTTATACTAGAGTTACAAGTGATTTATGCACCACCACTTTATTGGAATATTCTGAATTTGACTTTATCTTTACATTTACACTAAGTTTTATACTTTCATGTGTTTTCATGTTTTTAGCATCCTTTTGTTTCAACTTGAACTTCCTTTAGCATTTCTTGTAAGGCAGGTTTAGTGGTGATGAACTTCCACAACTTTTATTTCTCTAGGAAAATCCTTATCTCTCCTTTATTTCTGAAGGACATCATTGCCAAATATGGTATTCTTGGTTGCCAAGAATACTTTCTTTTCCTTTAGCACTTTGAATATATCTTCCCACTCTTTCCTGCCCCGCAAAGTTTCTGCTGAAAAATCTGCTGATAGTGTTAAAGCTACCCTTGTAAATAATGAGTTGCTTTTCTCATGCTGCTTTCAATATTCTCTCTTTGTCTTTGACTTTTGAGAATTTGATTATAATTTGTCCTGGTGAAGATATCTGTATTTAATTGATTTGGGGTTCTTTGAGATTCTTAGATCTGAATGTTCATGTCCCTCTTCAGATTTTGGAAATTTTCTCTCACTGTTTCTTTAAATAAGCTTTTTGCCCCCTTCTCTGGCTTTGCTTATTCTGAGACTTTCATATGCATGCATTGGTTCACTTGGTGTGGCTCAATAAGTACTGTTGGCTTTCTTCACTCATTTTCATTATTTTTTTCTTTTTGTTCTACTTACTAGGTAATCTCAAACAATGTTTTCAAGCTCTGTGGTTTTTTTTCTTCTTCTTGAGTCTGCTGTTGAAGCTCTTTATGGAATTTTTTGGTTCAGTCATTATGTTATTTAGCTCCAAAATTTCTCTTTGGTTCATTTTTATTGTTTCTTTTTGTTGAACTGTAGTTTTGTTTGTGTATTGCTTACCAGATTTTGTTTAGTTGTTTAATTTTATTGTTGTTTGTTAGTTTTGTTAGTTGTTTGTTTTGTTTAGTTGTTTATTTGTGTTCTCTTGTAGCCCACTGAGATTAAGGCAATTATTATTATTATTATTATTATTATTAATTTTTGAGACAGGATCTCACTCTCTCTCCCAGGCTGTAGTGTAGCAGCATGATCTTGGGTCACTGCAGCTTCAACCTCTTGGGCTCAAGGGTTCCCTCCACCTTAGCCTCCTGAGTAGCTGACACTACAGGTGAATACCACCACACCCAGCAACTTTTTGAATTTTTTGTACAGACAAGGTTTCACCATGTTGCCCAGCTGGTCTCAAACTCCTGGGCTCGAGTGATTCTCCCAAAGTGCTGGGATTACAGGCATGAGCCCAGCCAAGACAATTATTTTTAATTATTTGCCAAGAAGACATTTAGGGCCACTAACTCATGGTTTATTTTGTTTGTTTGGTACTGTCATGTTTCTCTGATTATTTGTGATCCTTGGGGCTAGGCATTTGTGCCTGCACATTTCAAGAAGTAGCCACCTATTCCAGTCTTTACAGACTCACTTCATCAGGGAAAACTCTTCACCAGTCAATTGGTCTAGAGATTCTGAGTGTGACATCTGGTAGGGTCCATGGCCAGGCTGGCCTGCTACCTGGGTCAGCAGGTGGGTGGGCTTGGCACCTGGATTCATAGGGACTTGCCTTGAGCCTGGGTCTATAGGATCATGCCTGGAGCTAGGTCCACTGGGATGAGCCTGGAGCTAGAATCTACCAGGACAGGCCTGAAGCTTGTGTCTGTGGTGGCTGGGTGCAGCCAGGGTTCTCTAGTGTCAACCTGGTACTCTGTGGGCCTTGAGCCTGAGTCTGTGGGGGCTGGCCTAACACTGGGATAGGCCAGTGCTTGGGTCTTTGGGGATAGGCCTGGAGTCTGAGTCATGGAGGTGGACCTGGCTTCTGGAGCTGTACTAGGGTGAGCCTGGATCCTGGGCTCACAGGGGTAATCCTGGAGCCTGAGTGTGTGGGTATCAGCCCAGTGCTGGAGTATATTAGGGCACACTGGAGCCTAAGGCAACAGTGACTGGCCTGGAGCCTGGGTCCATGAGGCGTTGGTCTGGAACCTCTATCATTGGCTTCAGCCCATGGGTTCTAGCCTGGTACCTGGGGCTATGGATGCTGACCTGAAGCCTTGCTCTGCAGGGTAGGGCGTGGAGGCTGGGTTTGTGCATAATGGCCTGGAGGCTATCTCTGCAGGAGCTAGCTTAGAGCCTAAGGCCACAGGGGCCAGCCTGATGCTGGAATAGGCCTCCAAGGCTGGTTCCCCAGTAGCTGTCCTGGTGCTAGGGTCTCCTGGGATGGGTTTTGACTGTGAGTCCATTGCAGTGTGATGCTGCAGGGGCTGGCCTGGAGACTGGGACAGTGGATAGCAGCCTCCTGCCTAGAATCACGGGTGCCATCCTGGTGTCTGAAGTTGCACGTGCTGACCTGGAGCTGGGGTGTGCATGTGCCAGCCTGACAGTGGGGGAGGCTTGGAGACTGGGTCCATGAGTGCCAAGCTGTAGTCTGGGGCTGCAAAGGCCAGAGTGGTGCCTGGGGTTGTAGGGGCTAGCCTGGTGCTAGAGTCCCAGATAAAGTCAGGTACTCAATTCATTCTCCTTGCCTCAAATGGTGGGTGTCTTTCCATGTTGTGCTGCCGAGGCTTGGGGAAGGAGAGACAGCTATAATGTAAAAGTTTCCTTCCTAGCCTTTTCAATACATCTTTTCTTGTCTCTGTGCTACCCCCAAGTGCTGTAATCTCTCATCTGGTTTCCTTAGCTCTTGTGAAGGTATGTTTGTGTATGAATAGTTGTTCAAATTGATGTGTCTGTTTAGGGGATGAGCACTGGAAAGTCCTATTTTGCCATCTTGCTGACATCCTCCTAGGAGGCTAGGTTAGAGATGATAGGATTTCTGAACTGGTTTGTTGGTAGGGGTGGGGAAGAGGGAGGAGGTCTTCTGAGAACGCCTCACTCCCATGAAAAGTCCATCTGTCCCTGGAATGCTAACTGTTGGATCAGCCCAGGCTCCCCTTTAAATAAGGAAGGGAATGTTTAATGAAAGGCATTGTAAGTAATAGAATGTATGTAAGAATGGAGAGGTTCTGGTAGTTAGAAATGAGAACTAGTTCAAGATGATTTGGGGAGTATAAGTAGAGATATTTTTAATTTATTCAACACCCTTCTCTTCAGCAAACATCTGTGTCAAGTGCTGGGCATGGTGGATACTGTGGTGAGCCATATATAGTCCTCTTCCAAGGAACACACAGGCTAAACGGAGATACAGACAGTGAAACATGCAAGTTGAGTAGGATGTGGATGTGGTTGGATGGGAGTTAACATAGTGTGCTATGGAAGTGCACAAGACATTCCTGGGAGGGCTTGGGTGTTTTCTCGTGAAGAGAAGTGAGGAAATTCCTGGAATAAGTGACTATAAAATGAGATCTGAAGTGGAGGGGACGAAACAGAACAATATATGCATGTGTGGAGGCCTGGAGATAAGCGATGGAAGAAATTCCTGTGTTGTTTTGTGTGCTTATTTGAATATTATTCAAATATGTGTACTTATGAGTCTGTGTATCTTGTCAACAGACTAAAGTATAAACTTTTAGAAAGTATCTTGAAGTTTTATTTGTTTTGCATGCCCTTTATAGTATTATAGACAATGCCTTGGAGTCACTAGATACTCAAGAAGTGCTTAGAAGATGGTAGAATATCCTCACCAATTGATACCTGAGCTCATCTAGCTAACTTAGCCTCCTTATTCCGAAGAGAAGAAAACCAAATCTCTGATAAATTAAATGACTCACCCAGGATCACACAGTCAGAGCCAGCTGGCAGCCTACATCAGAATACCAATCCAGGCCATAGTCCAGTAACGTTGAACCATTGGTTTCTTGTGGGTTATCCTTGATGGCTTTGTAACTTTCACATCCCAATTTTTACTCTGTAAAATATAGGTAATAAACCTGTATCATTTGATGCATAGAAACAAAAAAAATGAGGCTGGGTGCAATGGCTCACGCCTGTAATCCCAGCACTTTGGGAGGCCGAGGCGGGCAGATCACCTGAGGTCAGGAGTTTGAGATCAGCCTGACCAACATGGAGAAACCCCATCTCTACTAAAAATACAAAATTATCCAGGCGTGGTGGCACATGCCTGTAATCCCAGCTGCTTGGGAGGCTGAGGCAGGAGAATCGCTTGAACCCAGGAGGAGAAGGATGCCATGAGCCGAGATCGCACCATTGCACTCCACCCTGGGCAACAAGAGTGAAACTCCATCTCAAAAAAACAAACAAACAAAAAATGATGATCACAGGGGCTACTATGATTAATAGGAAATATAGAAATGCTTATTAATACTACTAAGTACTATTTTAAACAGAATTAAAAACACATATGACAACAGACCAAGGCTCCTCTGGCATTGGAACTCAGAGATTTACCATCTCAACTTGCAACAGTTTCTCGTTCCCAGGGGCTTTACTTTTGGGAGCTCAACTCAGCATAGAGTTTGCTAACATTTTTCACCTTGTGTTTATGTTGCACCTCCATACAAGGAGCTTAAAGAGCTTTACAGACATTAGCTCATTAATCCTCCCAAAACCTCTCAGAGAGGGCGGAGACATAAATCATTATTCCCATCTGGGAAAAAAAATGGCCTAACTTATCTCTTTTAATTTTACTGGTGCTCTAAATGGCTGATTAAATCCCAAGTTATACCCTCTACATTTAGAATATCACATTCTTTTTTCTCAAGGATATTTTTCTTTCTTTTTTGAAATTAATATTATTAGGATAAGTGTAATAATAGATTGAAAGGTTTGATGTTGAATGTTCTTTTGAGAAGCATAGACTAGGCAGTAACCTAGGTTCCTCTTTTCCATCATGCCCTCTGCCTTTTTCCTCGTGCCCTCTGCCTTTTCTCAAAATATCCTTCTTTATTTTTCTTTAGTCATGATTGGGAGAAATGACTTTTAGGAAATGGAAGGATGTTTCAAGACCCATTTACTCCTTATCCAAGCCAAGACCACCAGCAAAAGAGCCAATGAGTGTCTGTTTAGTCATGCTGTATGAAGCCATTCTTGCATTGCTATAAAGAGATACCTGAGACTGGGTAATTTATAAAAAGAAAAAAGAGGTTTAATTGGCTCACAGTTCTGCAGGCTTCACAGGAAGCATGGTGCTGTCATCTGCTCAGCTTCTAGGGAGGACTCAGGAAGTTACAATCATAGTGGAAGGCAAAGGGGGAGCAGGCACAACACAAGGCAAAAGCAAGAGCAAGCAAGGGGGATGGGGAGGTGCCACACACTTTTAAATGACCATATCTTGCAATAATTCACTGTCATGAAGACAGCACCAAATCGTGAGGGATCTTCCCCCATGACCCAAACACCTCCCACCAGGCCCCACCTCCAGCATAGGGGATTACACTTCAACATGAGATTTGGGCAGGGACAGCTGTCCAAACTATGTCACATGCCATTCTAACTCTTAATAAAATACTGGTGCAACAAATTTCAAAACTTTATCAAAGCAACAATGGAAGTTACATTTTCAATCTTGTTTGCTTTGCTTACGCATGTGGTTCTCACTATAATGTTATTTGGAGTTAGACTTTGAAGGTGTTAGAACACGACCAAGACATGAACGGAATCTGAGACCAAACAAGGTTGTTTCATGCAAATTATTGCAACAACACACTTATCCAGTTAAAGCCAGCAATAAAGGCATATTGAAATTAATATTCTGACACCCCTAGAAGTTAATCAGAGAAGATGAGAACCAACTTATATCTTATGTGAGAGATATTCAAAATTGTATTTTATAATTATTTTTTAAAAGTCCATCTTAGATCACCAGAGGACATTTATCCTGTCTCAGAATAAGGTTATATAATATTTGATCCCAGAAGATGTTAGAGCCTAAAGGATCAATGCATTTTAGAGAAAGAGTATGGAGGGCACATAGAAGTTACATGTTTTACCTGAGATTGCACAAGTAGTTATTATCAAACTAGGAGAAAACTCTTAAGTTGTGGTTTGTTTTTCAATCCACATTGCTTCTCAGATATTCAAATAAAACACCTTTATGATTAGTGACTTGTGTTCTGTCTTGCTGCCAAAATGTTAGATGGCATAAATGAAAGTACTACCCTCCCGTGTATTCAATCTTCTTTGAGAGAGCAGGCAGGAGAGAGGTGTGGTGTCTTTTCCCAGAAGAAAATAAAATTTATTCCTCTAAAGGAAAATTAGCTTTATTCAAGAAAATGGTCTTGAAAAATTCTCCTAGATCTTCACTTTGTTTTAGCTATAAGAGTGTTTGATGAATGAAGTTATTATATTTCCTTTTCACAGGGTTGAAATACTGCTTGAAGCTAAATAATCATTATAACAATTTACCAGTTGACTAATATTTAGTCAATATCTCTCTACTACCTAATATCATATTTGAAGAGTATTTTGCTGTTATGTATTGGTTAAACTTCTAAATGACCCTGAGAGTATTACCACACATCTGGGAATACTGAAAACTGGTGAAAAGGAATCAAGTTGCCTTGAGCTTCCACCACAAACGGAAAGGAAAGAGCTAAGAAGCAAATACCCAGTGGTCCGAACTCATAGGAAAATGTACTATTTATTTTAGACGCTATGAAAATAAAAACAGAAATATGAAGTTTATAAAGCCATCTCTACCTTTGCCTCTTCCGAGTCACAGAGGAGTAAATGAATAAACAGTATGTCTTTTCTAATGTTGACTTTTTCTCTCTAGTATCATTTTCCTTCTTTTTAGAGGTGTTATTTCCCCATGCTTGACTCTCTTCCTGCATTCTTGTTATGTCCCTAGAGTTCTTGAATCCATTTATTTCCCTTCTGTAGCATTCTGGAATAATAGGAAAACTTTCCTAAAATACCTTTTCCTAGCGTTTATACTTCAAGTAACAGTCTGAACTTTGTGACGAGTTCTAGGAGTGGCTTGTTAGAAAATTAAGAATATATTAGCTAAAAATAAGTCTGGAAAAATAAGGCTTGCTAGAGGAGAAGGGTGGAGAATAGCCAACTACGTATGGATGAGAGAGCAAGAAAAATACCATGCAGCAGGGTTGAGCAAGTCATGAAACTAATTAGTAAATAATCTGTCCTCTCCCATGAGTCAGGTCGCCTGTGTGTTCTACATTATCCCTAGGAATTCCTCTTGGGTCATCATCCTAGCTCCTGTGTTCTCTTGCTTTCTTTCTTAATGTTATTTCATACCCTTTTGTGGCCTTTTATTATGATTCTTTTTTCAGAGAGTTTACTGACGGGGTGTATGGCACCGTACCCTCTCATACTGAATCATTTCCTTCCTTTCTTCAAGACTGTCCTGCATATCCTTTGACCTGACCAGTGAATACCCAAGATCTATTAAAAGCAAAGATGATTTCAGGTAGCTAGGATCAACAAATAATCTAGAGAAGGAAAATGCCTTCATCCATTCCCCAGAATTACTTTGAACTAATTCCCACAGAATCAATAAAAGATAAAAAGCACAGTGGGTGTTGTAAATAGATTTCAAAATATAATAATATAAAAATAAATGGCAATTAATGCTTATCTGCTTAGGAAAAGTGTGATTGTGGGGTTTTAAGGAAAAGTATTTTGTAGTATAATGGCTAAGTCGTGTTTATATCCAGCACCTTTTTCCCCCTACTACTAAAAGTTACCTTCCTATAATTGCAATCTATTTGAGCATTTTAACAATAATGGACATGTTTTTAACAGATTATTGCTAAAATTGCATACTTTATTCCAGGGAGACTCTGTAATAGATACCAGCATTTTAGTAATGATACAAGCAATCTGTAAGCTATTACAGTTTTCTTTAGAGTAACTTAATCTTCATATTGTTTTATATGTCTGGAATTTTAATAGTGTTTTTAATTTAGAAAAGGAACGATATAACATATTATTAATTACATGTGAATATGAACTAAACACTGAGCTTGACTGGCCACTGAGCTTGACTCTTAAAAACAAACATATTTAAAAGTATGTAACTTAGTTTAGGGAAAGTAACAAAGAAATTAAAGAATGCCACACAGAGATAACCGCAGCTTTCGTGGGATAACTCACTGAGGGTCTACATTTTTAGAATGGTTATTATATTTTGGCCCTCAGCTACACAAAAGCCAAGAGGAATAGAAATGCCCCTTTCCAAGTAAAATTAATACATATTTTTTCCAACAGAAAAAAATACAAACTATTAAAACAAAATTGTGAATGTTTGTAAAAGAATGATTCTTTTCCCTTGATGTATCTATTCATCCAAGGATCTTCAAGAATTTACAGTATTAATTAATAATCCTGGTTGCCCTTAATGATTCAACTTGATTGGTGAGTATACCAGATGGCAAGAAAAATTAAGATCTTTAGGTCAAAAGGTCAGTTCAATAAGGCCATGGAGGTAAAGGTGATTGCGGTAACTTTAGACCTCACTTATTTGTGGACTGGGTAAACAAACAGAGGGGAGGTAATTTTTCTTAAAAATGAAAAGACTTACTGAAAATATTTTTATTTTAAATGGTTATAAGAAATAATTTAGTGTTTGAATCTAGACTTATAATATCATGTACAATGTCGAAACTATTTTGGCACACTACCCAACTCCTCTTCAAGAGCCAATAGAAATATGCTTGGTGAACCAACTCAGGAAGCTTTAATGCTATTTTTAAAATCTAGCTTTTACATTGAATAAACCAGTTTGCTGTTTTGAAAGAAGTCATAATCTACTTAAAACTGTCATTCTCTGTTTCTGACTTGCAATTAGATGATATTTCCAAAATGTCAAACTTAGATTCTGCTTCTACCATCACCATAATAAAATGTGACAGCCAAGATATTATATCAATACCTTTTCCATAATTAGCAATAAGGATCCTGCCAAGGGTTAACTAGAAAAGTTTCATAAACGTTTTTCTACAAATGGTCCTGAAGACAGTGTTATGCTTTTAAAATCTGCTAATGTGGCAAAGACTCATGACAACCAGGAGACAAATCTATGAGCAAAACTATTTGGAGAGAATAGTTTTGTAGTATATGATGTATGTTATGTAAATGAGCTTATTAGGACTCTCATCTATTTTATTATTGGTGACCAATTTAATAGAGGCTTTTAAAAAACAATATTTCTGCCTGACTCCTAGAAATGAAGAAGATACATTGATATAATTGAGAGCAAATGATTGCATGTTGTGCCATTTAATCATGTCATTTTTCAATTGCTATTTTTTGCACTTCACTGCATGCTTATAGAATATTTAGCTTCAATATAGATTAAGTTCCAGGGTTTGCAACTGAGCTGAATCTCTATATTGGCTGACGTTGTCTTTTAAGTTTGTAATCAGTTAAAACACCCAGATGTCATTTGCCTATATTTTCTTTAAAATATGCAAGTCATTATTCATACTTCATTTGAGGTATTTTAATGTTTTGCTATTTTGAAGAATTACTTCTTACAATTCCAAGATACAAATTCTTATTTGCAACATTTATATGCAAGGTATAGTTAAACACATAATTGGCTAGAGAATAGAGCTATCAGGACCAAAAGAGCTTCTGACCCCTTGCTGGAAATGTTGATAATCACTTGCCTAAATGAATGTTTCCTACCTTTTTAATCTCTTCTTTATTATTTATATAATTTACATCTTCCTCAGGAAAGAGATTACTCCCACTGTCCCCAGGAATATGAGGTCTTTGAGAAAAGGTTTTGTCTGTTTTGTTCACTGAAATTCTGAAGTACTTACAACACTGTCTATTATGAAAAGTGTTCCATAAATATTTGTTCAATGAATGAATCAGTATTTTTCCCATCCCTGTTATTATAACCACCCTGAGCTTAAATTCTGTATAGATTACTAACTGTTACATATTTGCAGGCCTGTGAAGATTGGACCTCTAAAAAGGTTCAATCTCCTTCCCTTTGCAGAAAGAGGTTGTTGGCTGTCTTAACAATAACTTTATGGCTATGGCCACTTCTGGTTAGAAATCAGGGACAAGATTGTCTGAAAATGTAGAAATCATACAGGCTTCTTCAGCTTTCTTATGAAAAGCAATGTAGCATATTGTTTTTGTGAATCAGCTTTGGATTCAGGCTGCCTGGGTTAAAATCCTGCCTTTGTTGCTTATTAGCTGTGTACCTATGGTCAGCTACTTAACCACTCTGTGTCTCCATTTCCTCGTTTGTCAAATAGATAGATGACAATAATACACACACACACACACACACACGCACACACACATATTGTAGTGTTGCTGTGAGGATTAAATGATTCAATACATATAAAGTACCTTTTAAAATGTGTGGCACACATAAATATACAAAAAATGTTGGTCATTACTGCTGGAGATTAGTGAAAATAACCAAGAAAATATTATTTAAAATAGTGCTCCAGCAATTGATAAGTCCCAATGATTATAGGCTATTATTTTGCATTCAAGTGAATCTTTTTTTTTTTTTTTTTTTGAGACGGAATCTCTCTCTGTCACCAGGGCTGGAATGCGGTGGTGCGATCTCGGCTCACTGCAACCTCTGCCTCCCAGGTTCAAGCAATTCTCCTGCCTCAGCCTCCTGAGTAGCTGGGATTACAGGTACATGCCACCACGCCCAGCTAATTTTTGTATTTATGGTAGAGACGGGGTTTCACCATGTTGGTCAGGCTGGTCTTGAACTCCTGACCTCGTGATCCGCCTGCCTCAGCCTCCCAAAGTGCTGGGATTACAGGTGTGAGCCACCGCACCCGGCTTCAAGTGAATCTTGATGAAATATTTGAAGAGAATGTAACATTATTTTTATTTTGTATTGGTTCAGATGCATATAGTCGACTCAGAATGATCTTTGGTAAAGTATGTGAAGCACATCTGATATGTCAGGTCTCTCATTTTTGCACTGATACTAACACCACAATAGATTACAGTTTCATAAGATGTATATGATTATATATGAAATTCATCACTGCAATAATTAGATTTAGTTAACATTCTTCATTTCCCACATTTGCTTTAACTCCTCTTTCAGATTCATAGTCTTCTATGTTTACTTTTATGTTTATGTTTTATGCTATTTCTAGGAGTAGGACAGCTATATTAAAAATGACACTGCATTATTTTTATCATACAGCAGAATGTCTGATCTGTTGGCAGAAATACATAGATGTATATGGCAGAATGTATGTATAATGTAGTAATGACTCTATCCGAGGACATTTTATAGCCATAACTTAAAAAAAAAAAAAAAACCTACAAGTTTGCATTGGTAAATTAATCCTTGTATCCACCCATGGTTGCAGAACCATAGTGATTGTATGGTATTAGTTATATCATTAGCATCTGTTGTATGACACACCCTAGCAGAATGGTAAATTCTCTGATTGTATAATCATTTATGGGGTTGATAATATATTTCTGGCCTTACCAAGAGGTTTTCTTAAAATAATATTTTCATTGAGATATAATTTACATACCAGAAAATCTTATTTCAGAATGTTTTCACCACTCTTAAAAGAAACCCCTTACCCATTAGCTCGCTTTTTGCCCCTCACTGGAGGCCATGGCAATCACTATTCCACTTTCTGTTTCTATGTATTTGCCTATTCTGGACATTTCATATAAAAGGAATCGTAAAATATGTGACCTTTTGTATCTGTCTTCTTTCACTTAATATGATGTTCTCAAGGTTCATCCATGTTATGATATGTATAAGTACTTCATTTTTAAATGCCAAATAATATTACATTATATGTATTTACTGCATTTTTTTAATCCACTCACAGTTGATGGGTGTTTGACATGTTTCCACTTTTTGGCTTTATGAATAATGCCATTATGAATATTTGTGTGTAGGTTTTTATGTGGTCATATGTTTTCAGTTCTCTTGGGTATATATTCAAAAGGAAATCGCTGGATCATACAGTAATTATATGTTTAACTTTTTGAGGAAATGTCATACTGTTTTTTCATGTGGCTGCACCATTTTGCAATCCCACTAATGGATGAGGGTTCCAATTTCTCCACATCCTTGTTAACACTTGTTATTTCCTTTTTAGCCATCCTACTAGGGGGTGAAGTAATATCTAATCATGGCTTACATTTGCATTTATCTGATGACTGATTGTGTTGAGCCTTTTTTCATATTTTTTTGCCATTTGTATGTGTTTGCAGAAATGTCTATTCAAATACTTTGTCCATTTAAAAAATTGAGTTACTGGTCTTGATATTTTCTCCCATTCTGTGGTTTTTCTTTTCACTTTTCTATGGTATCATCTGAAGTGCAAAAGCTTTAAATTTTGATGAAGCCCAAAAGTTGCTTATACTTTTGTGTCATAAAGAAGAAGCCATTGCCTATGAAGTCAAAAGCTGTTTCTACTTTTGATGTAATATCTACAAAATCATTGTCTAACCCAACATGATGAATATTTACCTCTATATTTTCTTCTAAGATTTTTATAGTTTTAGCTCTTACAATTAAGAGTATGATCCATTTTGTGTTAGTTTTGTAGATGGTGTGGGATAGGGGTTCAATTCATTCTTTTGCATGTGGATATCCAGTTGTCTCAGCACCATTTGTTGAAAAAACTATTCTTTCCTGACTTAATTATACCAGAGCTTTTTAATTTTACTTATTTTATTGAAAGGTATCTTATATTTAATCTTTAATATGCCATAATTAACTGTAAAAGAAGTCTTTTATGGCATAAATTAGTCTTGATTGTATGAACATTATCTTGTCTACACTATTACAGCATCAGAACACTAGGTGATATTTTGTTTCTACATTGAACTTGTTATTATGTGAAGTCACCTTCTCAGAGAAGCTTTATTGAAAACCCAAACGAAAATAACTCCCAAGCCACTTTCTGTCATATCACCCTGTTTTATTTGATAGCTTTTAGCACTATCTGATATTTTCTTGTATATTTCATGTTTTGTTTCCAGCCTCTCATCATTCACATGCATACAAATGTGAATGTAAATTCTATGAAAGTAGACATTTTGTGTGTCTTGCTCACTGCTATATCCCCACCACTGAGAGCACTGCTTGGCAAATAAAAGGCACTCAATAAGTACATTTGGATGGATAGATCAATACTTGAATAATGATTATTACCACACCCCACTTGAACTTCCATCTTGTTTTAAAATGTTACAAAAATTATGGCTTCTTGGCCTTTTTAAATGTGTGCTCCCCAACCTGTAATGCCTATCCTCTCTTCTCTCCACCTTTCTTACCTTCAGCAACTTTCACAGCCTGGTTTTAGTCCCATGAATCCTAATCTGTCTACTCCAGTTAATAATGATCTTTTTTATTCTCAAACTCAGTGCCCATAGTTTAGCATATATATCAATCACACCTTACATTTGGGTCATGGCCTCACTATTCTCAAAGCACATTCACCTCCCTTACCTTATTTAGAACCTACTACAACCTGATGGTCTTACAGAAAACCTTTGCCTCGTATTTATTTCTCTCACTTTGAGGAATCAGTGTCTTCTCTTTGCCACCAGCTCTTAAGAACAGGTACATTTTATTACATGCCTCTTATCCACCAACACTAATTCCATAATGAAAAGTATAAAGTTTGGCACATAAATGGTGCCCAATGAATGCTTATTTGCTATGAAAATTATCATTTGCCAACCTTCCCCCACAAAACAATGATCCCAAAGCAGCCAGACAAATGCATCTTCTAAAGAAGCATAGAGGTACCAGAATAGCCTCTTATTTTCCCCACTTGCTCTATTTCTTATTAGAGTATAGCTTCAGGCATTAACATTATCTGTACCTGAATAGCTTGTACCTTCCAAGTAATCATCATTGTTTTGCTTTATTATGTGTGCTTTCTGGGAGCAGAGTTTCTTTTTAGCTTAGCAAAATGCCATATGTATTAGAGTCATTAATTAGCAAATGACTTATTTGATAAAAATGACAAAAAAGAGTAAAATCACCAAATACTGGATCCAAATGACCTAATACATAATTGCACTGGAAATTCTGGAGATCATCAAGAAAATACTAGTAACATAAAGATATCACTGGATGAAAAGATCTATTCATTGATTCACTCATTTCTTTTCAGTCATTTGATAAAAATAGGAAAGTAATTGATCATCAACAATTGTGGTCCCTAGGCTCTTGGCTACCAGTTTCATTCCAGAATTAGAACATAAAATTTCTATTACTATTTTTATACTTTAAAAAGTCTACTCAGCTAGATTAATCCTCTTACCTAAAAACTAAGTTTCTTTATTTCCTGTAGACTAGTGTTCTCAAACTTTAGCATGTATTGGAATCACCTATAGGGCTTGCTTGTTAAAGCATGGTTCATTGGGCATCACCCCAGTATTCCTGATTCAGAAGACGTATAGTAGCATCAGAGAATTTGCAGTTCTAACAAGTTTCTGGGTGATGTGAATACTGCTTGGCGTGGGCACCGTACTCTGAGGACCCTTGTTGTAGAAAATCTGGTCATAGGTAGCAGACAAAGAGGAGACAGCAAAACACATGGAAAATTTTAGGAAACTTACAACTAGGGGATGCAGCTGCTCTTTTGATTTTTTTTTTTTTTTTTTTTTTTTTTTGAGACAGAGTGTCACTCTTGTAGCCCAGGCTGCAGTGCAATGGCACGATCTCGGCCCACTGCAACCTCCACCTCCTGGGCTCAAGCCATTCTCCTGCCTCAGCCTCCCGAGTAGCTGGGATTACAGGCACCCACCACCACACCCAGCTAATTTTTATATTTTTAATAGAGATGGGGTTTCACTGTGTTGGATAGGCTGGTCTTGAACTCCTGACTTCAAGTGATCCGCCTGCCTCCTCCTCCCACAGTGCTGGGATTACAGATATGAGCCACTGCGCCTGGCCCCTCTTGATAATATTTAAACTAGAAGTCACCTGTGTTTGTTCACACTTCCCTTCTCTCTCCAGCTAGATTGAAGGCAGGTACATTATCATATATGCAGATTATACCTTCTTTGTTGTGCTTGCCACATAGAAGCCATGCTCAACTGATGTTAAACAGTTGATCAGTTTAGAAGGCGAAGTCTGAAAGTGGGAATTGCTTCATGGGTTTTTTTTTTTTTTTTTTTTAACAGATCAGCTAAAGTCCCACCACTTTGTTCATATTGGCCTACCTAATGATGTTTAATCAACCTACAAAGTTAAATTATGTAATAAATATTGGAGACAAATTGCTTTGGAGTTTCTCAGCTAAATTTGTTTCTCTCTGTTTTTAATATATACTTAGTTTTGGTGTTTTTAAAGTATTATTTTCCTTCTCATCTCTCTTTTTTTCTGATCTGGTTCTTACATCTCATTTGCTGTAACAGTTCTTGGTGTAAATAAAGCTGTTCTTTTATTATAAGCTTATTTATATCCTTTTATAAACTATATGACATTCAATGTCAAGTATGTGTATACAAGTAAATATAAGTAAATATCTATCTGTTTGCATATATGCACATATTTGATATATAATGAAGACTAAATACCAGTATTGAAAGTCTTAACTTCAATGGTGTTAAACTGAAGCCAATGTGAGGAATAATATTGCACATTTGCTCAATAATATGATTGGTTTAAACAGTTGAAAAGAGTGACAGAGGAAGTCAGTAGAGGAATAAAACCCAGATAAACCAAAAAACACCCCTGCACATTGCCACTGGTAAATTGAAAATCAAATTGACGGTTTACAAATGTGAAACAAAAGCCTTAAGCCTGTTGGTAACTACCTTATAATGTGGATCGGAGATCATTATAAAGGGGGAAAAAAGACAGATAATGACCTCCATTCTAACAGATTTAACCTTGCAAGACGAAATTGCCTAAAGATTATCAAATTATAGGTAAATATAAAAGCACTTGCAATCCCTTTCTTAGGCATATTGATAGTTGTGTTTTTCTTTCTTTTTAAATTTTGTTTCCCTCTTCTTTATAGTTTTCTAGGAAGGCAATATGACTATGCATGGGAACCAACATGATCTCATTAGATATCAAGGAAAATGCTTAAAAATGGCAATAATGAAAAGCATTTCAAACTTTTCTGTTTCCTACTTCCTTTTCCAGCTCAGCTGCTTCACTGTCTCTCCCCAACACACCAGGCACTCCCACTGCCAGAGGCTACTTACTTGTTTTCCACTTTAACATACCTCTCAGCCTTCTACCCATGTAACCACCACCACCCATCTTGGTCCATCTGGTTCACACCATTCCCCTGAATATTTCATTGACTCTTCAATAGCAACTTGCACATACTTCTGTTAGCACCTTCCTCTTTGATATTATACTTATTTGTATAGTTTACTTCCAGTAGACTCTCAACTCCTTGAGGGTAAAAGGGAACTTGCTCCTTTTTGAAAGCTTCATTCCTGAAACGGTGCCTAGCATATGGAAAGTGCAGTACACATTTGAGGAGATCAGGGAGGTAGGGATGTGTTTGTCTTATTTCTGTGCTTTACTTAGGTTACTTACCTTGAGTTTCTGTTTCAAAGCACATTTTCTCTGAAATGAAGCCAAAGATAGTTATAATAATTGTTTCTATCTATGCATATTTTATTATGGAATTAATATAAACTACTGATTCTAAGAAATGTTGCCAGCACATCCACTGATTTTATTATGAATTTTTGATTACGAATGCATATGTATATTTTAATGGCTGTCATGGAAGCCCATTTATGTAGAAAAATGTTATTTTATTAATTATATCTTCTAGGTATAAAAAAGTACTGAAAAATATGTTGGTCATGTAAAATTTCCAATTTTCCCCTCCTTTTTAAAAGTAGCATTATTTCCCAAGTGCACATGTAGGATAAATTTTTAATTCAGAATGTAGACTAAGCCCTGTGTTCATTTAAAGGAAAAAAAAAAAAAACCCTGCAGAATTGTGAATATCCAAAAATCAGATATTGAATATCAACAGTAATTGCCTTCTTAGTTTTTAAACCACTGTATTCATCTTGATTATTCATCTTAAGATAGGAGTGGGGATCACCTAGATACTTAAAATACTGGATACATTCTAGATACTTACAAAAAAATTTATGGCCAATGATCTTTATGAAAAATTTCTCCTAGCAACCTCAGATGTCCTGTTTCAGAACTTTGAAAATGCCTATAAGGTGAATGAAGTCTGTTTGGGGTGCTTTGCAAATGTTGCCTGATGTGGCCTGTGCTAACTCTGCACATACCTTTAGTGCCATCCATTGCAAATTTTCATTTGGCTAAGAACTTTGGGACTTTTTGTTGGCTTAAGAAATACAGTTATTATGCTAGTTAACTTTATTTTAAAGACAGTTTTGCAAAATTCAGTTCTATGGCACAGAAACATCTCTTTTGATTTTTCTAGGCCTTTACGCTTAACAAGTTAACAAAACAGAAAGAAAACCCCAAATCCTTAATATTAATATTTATAGGACTCACTTGGGCCAATTTCATTTGGCCGTAATGTTATCTTGAAGTGTTTAATATTGGGCCCCAAATTGGCAGGTATTAGGTGGCCTTCATAGTTTGACTTGCCCAACAGTCGTTCTAGAGCAAGAGATAAATTGAAGGGTGTGTGTGGATGTGTGTGTGTGTGTTTGTGCGTTTGAGTGAAAAGAAGAGACAGAGAGGGAGAGAGAGAAAGAGAACATGCACGTGGGGTTGAGGGGAGACATTTGACAGGGTTGTAGGAAGAGATGGTAACAATGCTGGTTGCCTTAGTAGGCTTAGGTTTTATCTTTGAATGTCTTAGGGATTTCTCCTCATTCAGCACTGAACCAATTAATAGCAGCAGTAAAGAAATTTGTCAGACATGGTGGTTATATCAGGACTTATATAGGAAAATAGTAATGAACTCTAGGAAAATAAATAAGGATAAGTTCAAGAAACATAACTGAAACTGCTGCGCTGGTATAAATTGAATAATAAAATTTCTAGTCATATTTTGCCATAAATAGAGGTTTGGGAATTTGTCATTCACCTTATTTAAAATTCAGAAATATTAAAGGTACAGAGTTCTCTCATTACAGAAATAATAGAATTCCAGCCATTACTGAGTCAGGGTCATTTAAATGGCTCTAGCATGCATTATATCAGTAAGTGGGACATCTGTATGAAATGTCCACCTGCTGATCTGATACCCCCACTCCAAGCACATTTCAGCGCACCACACTTAATCATTTTAAGATTTCTTCTAATGAAGCCTTATCTAGATTAACATTTTAAGCACAAATACTTTCAGGCATTAAAACTCTCACACTAAATGAAATTGCATTGTCTTGTTTACCCTTGTTGATTAATAAGCACTCTGTTAACTGTTAGAACAGTCCAATTGTGGCAGTAGAAGGAGATTAGTAATTCAGTGATGTTTGTGGATATAATCATCATTTCTCCTGAAGGCTCCGAATTAGAATATCACTTACACACTATCTGTAGGCAAAGAAAGGATATAATATTTTTAGACATGTGTACCCACTATTTTGCTTGAATCATTCAGTTTAGGGTCACTGCAGCAATACAAATGCTTCTGGGGGCAAAATGCTATTTTGGTGCCGGCATGTCCTTCTTAAATAGTGTGAATGTCTATTAAAAGAAACACAGCAACCAACAAATAGTGCAGTAATAATCCAGTATCTTAATTTTCGCTTTCAGAACATTATTGCTTTGTTAATCAAGCTTTGGAAGAGGAATATTGCTTATCTTTTTTTTTCAGATAATAGATTTTATATATAAAAATTCTTTGCAATCTTGTTTAACTTGTTCTCAGCCAGTAGAAAACTGAACTTTTTGCCTCCAAAGAATGTAGGAGTAAATTTGGAAAAATTCTATTTCTTTTCGGAGGATTTTTCTATCTTCTGCGTTTCCTTCGACCTTATGTCAAAGCATGTCAATCTGTTTGGCATTCATGTGACCTAAATGATTTATTTCATTAGGCTAGAAATTGTTAATTACCCAGGTGTCTAGGGAGGACCCTACATTTCGGAGGGATAAATCAGTGAAAAGTGTGGAGGAATGGGATGCAGCTAAATTCTTTAGCATATTGGACTTCTGTAGGAGGCCTCCATTCTAAAAGGGACATCAGAGCTCTTCTTGTCCTATTGTTGGTAGCTGAGTGTATCACTACAATTTGAAATTATGATGGAAGAAGGTGTTTCATGTTTTAGGGAACTCTGCCCTATAAACACTCATAGATTGGTTTCTCTCTATGTTGCAGTCCCTCTGTCGTGAAATCAAGCAACGACGTCGAGGAGTTGCCTCCATTCTGCGACTATGCCAGCATCTTTTGGATGACCGGGAGACTTGCAATCTGAATGCAGACCACCAGCCCATGCAGCTGATCATTGTAAATCTTGAAAGAAGGTGGGAAGCCATTGTCATGCAAGCCGTCCAGTGGCAAACACGTCTACAAAAGAAGATGGGAAAGGAATCTGTGAGTGATGCTTTTTTTAAGCATAATTGTCTGTCATTTTCTCAGACAAAAAATAATTCTTTCAGGCTTGGAAACGGTGTTCATCTTATAAATGGTTTTACTAACTAACTTAAAGTGGTTTTGCCATCTTACAAGTGGTTTTAACTAACTAAAGCTCATAGTTTTACTACGAACTAGCTGTCCACTAAATGAAACTCCATTTGTCATAACACTGACATTTATTTGCTTTATTAAAATTCCTTTAGTGTACCTCATTGTCTTTTTGAAAAAAATCACATGGAGATTTCGCTTAACCTTACCAACCTAAGCCATTAATTCTTTCAATCATTCCTTCACTAACAATATTCATTAATCATACAATAACCCATGAATATTTTGCTAGAAAGTAGCTTAGTACTGTCAGAGCATATGGAGTAATGTGTATGCTCTGCAGATAATACAACGAAATAAAGTACATTGTTTACTTTTCCCTGACATGACATGAGTTAACATCATCTATTTGTACAGTAATCTCCTAGTGTTCCTGCTTAGAGCTTCTTCTGATAGTTACATTGCTGAGAATTGGCAAGTTTCCTCTTAGAGTTTTAATGCAGTGCTCAAGGTGGTGAGTAGAGATTCCTTTTAAGGATTTTCCAAATTGAGTACAGGTTTAAGCTGTTGCTAGATGAAGGAAATAGATATAACTAGAAGTTGTTTCCTTGTAATATACGATGCATATTTGTCCAGAGAGCCTTCATATCCTTTAGGAAAGAATTTATCGATAAAAAAGATTGCATACTCCAAATGACCTTGAGGTCAATGTCTATTAGTTGAAGGCCCAACTCCCATGTTTGACTTATATAAATGGAATGCATACATACATACATACATACATACATACATAGAATGGAAAGTTTTCCTTATATGTTTATATTTTTCAGTTCTATAACTTTGGAAAGTTCAGGATCCAAAATTGAAAAATCAAATGTAAAAATCATGAAAAATCCTCCTATGAATTCTGATTTTAACGAAGCCTTAATATCTGCTCTTTGACGTGTTAGGCACTTGGGACTGGGAACAGAAGGGACAATGAATCAGCAAGCCATCTAATTCTTTTTGCATCTGTAGATATATTGAGTCTAGGGGGTGATTTTATCGTCAATAGTTCTGTTTAATTGTTTTAAGCTGAAGTTGTTAAATTTCTTAAGACTTCCAAGTTATTACTAGTAATCAGAGTCAACATAATTAGATGTCTTTTCTTGAAATGACCTGTTTTTTTGTAAAGCTATTTAGCTGGCATGTTTTTTGTTTGTTTTGAGAGTGTTTGGAAGGGCAGATGAGATTATTATTATTACTTTCTATACTTTTAAGCCTGTAATCGTGGTAGTGGCCATAAGATATATGCAAAAATCAACTGCAGCAGGCAAAGTTGTGAAATTTTTGAAGCATTCAAACTGCTTTGGAGGAGGCAAAGTTGTGTTTCTTTGAGGATTTATTTGAAATCGTATGATCAGGGGTTCTAGAGCAGTTCTCTGCAGACTAGATGTAGACATTTTTATCCTTTTTTTTTTTTTTTCAAGGATGGAGTCTTTCTCTATCTCCCAGACTGGGGTACAGTGGCCTGATCATAGCTTACTGCAGCCTCAAACTCCTGGGCTCAAGTGATCCCCCCACCTCAACCTCTCAAGTAGCTAGGACTACAGGCATGTGTCAGCATGTCTGCCTAATTTTTATTTTACTTTTTGTAGAGACATGGTCTCACTATGTTGCCCAGGCTGGTCTCAAATTCTTGGCGATCCTCCCACCTTGGCCTCCCAATGTGCTGGGGTTGCAGGTGTAAGCCACTGCACTCAGCCTTTTATTCTACTTCTATGGTAAAGGCAAGCTTTAGCTTTGAGGCAACCCTGGCTGCTTCTTAAAGGTTCAAGCTACTACATACAGGTAGATACAAATTCCAAACAGAGAAAGGTGTTTCCTTTTGTTTAAGGTGACTGCTGAATGTGTAGACTGGAAAAATGAAGGTAGCAAATAAGGTCCTCTGTGCTGAAAGTTGAAAATCTCTGTCAGAAAAGGAATGAAGAGAGTGGTCTAATGCCAACAAATACTGTGAGCACCGGGTACATCATTCAGTGGGAGATATTTCTCTGCTTCTTATCTCTGTTGGTTGAGTGAAGAGTCCAGGTTGCTTTGAAGTTGCCAATGTGGGAGGCTGCCTTTGCAGAGAATCAGAATCCTCTAAGTTGGCTCTTCAGTTATCATATGTCCCCACTCCCATTTCATCCTTGCTTGTGCATTGGGACTTTCACTTCTTTGATATGGTTTGTCTGTGTCCCCAACCAAATCTCCTCTTGAATTGTAGCTCCCATAATTCCTAGATGTTATGGGAGGGACCGAGTGGGAGATAATTGAATCATGGGGGTGGTTTCCCCCATACTGTTCTCATGGTAGTGAATAAGTCTCACTAGATCTGATGGTTTTATAAGGGGAAACCCCTTTCACTTGGTTGTCATTCTCTCTTGTCTGCTGCCATGTAAGATGTGCCTTTTGCCTTCCACCATGATTGTGAGGCCTCCCCAGCCACATGGAACTGTGAGTTCATTAAACCTCTTTTTCTTTATAAATTATTCAGTCTTGGGTATGTCTTTATCAGCAGTGTGAAAACAGACTAATACACTGCTATATCCCCCAGGGCCTGGGAAATACTTGCACATAGTAGGTCTACAAATAAGTATTTGCTGAATGAATGAGTACATGTGTTCATTTAATAAATTTTGTTTCATTCTGGCATTTGATTTGGAGTTACTGTATCTATATTCTAAATTTTTACATTTTTTCACAAAGTAGCTGAGTGTTATGTTTCTATAAGAACACCAAGAAGATGATCTTTAATCTTTCTTGCTTAATAAGGCCTCCCCAGACTCTCAGACCTGTTTCCTAAACTCAAGGAGACTGTCAGTCTCTAAGTGGAGTCTAAGGAGGCTAAAGTGGCTAACATTGCTACAGGGCAGAGTGCCAAAGAGGAAAGGGCTACACAGACAGGGCGCACCGGAGATATACAGAGGGATGCTCTCAAGTACTCAGCAGAAGGAACCACCTGAAAGGATTAGAGGGAACACTCCCTGGAGCTTGCACAGAGCTAGAAATCATTCCCTTTTCCCTCACTCATAGTAGAAACCCTCATCATTCACAAGGCATGTGATAGGGTACCAAGAAAAGTTTTTGCCTTAGTAATGGGGCAAACTTAGACTAAATGCTGCTCTGGTCTTGCCCAAAAAAAACTTAAAAGCAAGACCTGAAAGGATCAAACTGTTTCAAAGTAATTTAACTATACTCCCAGGACAAAGCTCAAGAATATTTATAGGAATACAAATACCCAACATACAACAAGTTAAAATTTATAAAATTTATAGTGTCTGACATCCAATCTAAACCTACCAGGAATGGAAAGAAGCAGGAATAGTCAGCTGATGTGAATATGAATATTAATCAATATAAACTGATCCAGAAATGTCACAGAGTATAGAATTGGTAGACAAAAACATTAAAAGTTATTATACCCGCATTCCATATGTTCAAGCAGCTGGAAAAAATATTGATCATATTAAGTAGAGACATTAAAAATATCTACCTGAAATCACATTATAAAGAGGAAAACTATCATTACTGAGATGAAAAATACACTGGATGAGATTAACAGCCAATTAGACATCACAGAAGAAATAATTTGTAAACCTGAAAACATAGCAATAAAAATTGTGCAAAATGAAGCAGAAAGAAAAAAAGACAGAGCAAAATAAAATCAGAGCATCAGTGAGCTCTGAGGTATCTTCAAGCAGCCTAATTGAAGATTAGAATTAGAATCCCATAATAAAAGGAAGGTGGAAGCTGGGTGCTCTTGCTCACATATGTAATTCCAGCACTTTGGTAGGCTGAGGTGGGAGGACTGCTTGAGGCCAGGAGTTCAAGACCAACCTGGGCAACATAGCAAGACCTCATTTCTACAAAACAATACAAAAATTAGGCAGGCCTGAAGACACATGCGTGCAGTCCCAGCTACTTGGGAGACAGAGGCAGGAGGATCACTTGAGCCTGGGAGGTTGTGGCTGCAGTGAGCTGTGTTTGTGCCACTGCACTCTAGCCTGGATGACAGTCAGACCCTGTCTCAGAAAAATAAAAATAAAAAGATAGTGGAATAAAATAACCTAGAATTATATATACAGAGAAAATATCATTCAAAAATGAAGACAAAATAGTTTTCATTCATTAAAACCTGAGGATATTCATTACCCATCGACCTGTACCACAAGAAATGTTAAAGGCAGTCCTTCAACCAAATGGAAAATTATATCAGATGGAAACCTGGATAAGCACAAGGGAATGAAGAAGACTGAAAATAGTAACTATGTGGGTTACTATGAAATTTTTTTTGTATTATTTAAATCTCTTTAAGTGGTAATAGACTGCTTAAATCAAGTTGATAACAGCTTATTGTCTATTTATAACATATGTAGAAGTCAAACGTATGACAACAAAATATTGCAACGGCCAGGAACTATGTGGTTTTTATTCTATGTGAGGTGGTATAATATCATTTAAAGTTTTTTTTTTTGAAAAGAGGATTAAAGAAAAAATTAGACATGTGATAAGATAAAATATATGGTTTTGGGTTTTTTTTATTTGTTTGTATTTTTAGATACGGGGTCTTACTCTGTTGCTCAGGCTACAATGCTATGGCACAATCATGGCTCACTGTAGCCTTGACCTCCTGGGTGCAAGCAGGTCTCCTGCCTCAGTCTCCAAGTAGCTGAGAATACAGGAGCATGCCAGCATACCCAGCAATTTTTTTTTTTTTTTTGGAGAGATGGGATCTCGCTATGTTGCGCAGGCTAGTCTCAAACTCCTGGCCTCAAGCAGTTCTCCCACCTTGGCCTCCCACAGTGCTGGGATTACAGGCATGAGTCGCCATGCCTAGCTTATAACTCTTTAAAAACATAACAAAAAGCTATAATGAGTAGGCCAACAGAGGAAATGAATAGAATCATTTAAAAAAAAATAAAAGAAAAAGAATAAAAAATAGATGCAATAAATAGAAGAATAGCAAGATGGAAGACTTAAAACAACTGCATAAATAATCCTGTTAAATGGGAATGGACTAAAAGCCCCAATTAAAAAGGAACAATGATCGGATTAGGTTTATAAAGCTCTACTGAGTTACATGTTGCCTATGAGAAACCCAATTTAGGCCAGATGTGGTGGCTCACACCTGTAATTTCAGCACTTTGGGAGGCTGAGGCAGCAGGATCACTTAACCCCAGGAGTTTGAGACCAGCCTGGGCAACATGGTGAAACCCCGTCACTACAAAAAAATAAAAATAAAAAATTAGCCAGGCATGGTGGCAGTGCACCTGTGGTCTCAGCTGCCCACTACTCAGGAGGCTCAGGTGGGAGGATCACTTGAGCCCAGGAGGTTGAGGCTACCATGAACAGTGTTTGTGCCCCTGTACCCCAGCCTGGGCAACAGAGTGAGACTCTGTCTCAGGACCAAAAAAAAAAAAAAAACAAAGGAAACCCACTTTAAACATAAAGATATAATAAAGCTAAGAGATGGAAATATATATATTAAGCTAACACAAACAGAGTTGGAGTGGCTGTATTAATAGTAAACAGTGTAGATTTCAGAGCAAAGAAGATTACAAATTATAAAGAAGCTCATTCTTAATGATAAAGATGCCAATTAATCAAGAAGACAACATTACTAAATGTTTATGCTCTAAAACAGAGCTTTAAAATACATAAAGCAAAAATTGATACAACTGTGAGGAGACAACAAAAACAGACCATTTTGGGCAGAGATTCCATTACTTTTTCTCAATAGCTGATAGACCAGAAAAATCAGTAAAGATATAAAAGACTTGGAATGATACTATAAAGCAATTTAATTGGCACTTAAAACACTCTATCCAAGGCTTTTATCAAAAGGATAATGAATAACAATTGTTGGTGAGGGTGTAGAAAAAAGGGAACCCTTGTCCACTGTTGGTAGGAATGTAGATTGGTGTAGCCTCTGTGGGAAGCAGTATGGAGGTTCCTAAAGAAAGTGAAAATAGAACTACCGTATGACCCAGAAATCTCTCTTGTAGGTCTATACCCAAAGGAAATGAAATCACTGCCTCATAAGGATGTCTTTAGTCACATGCTCATTGCATCATTATTTATCATAGCCAAGATATGGGAACAACTGAAGTGTCCATTAGATGAATGGAAAAAGAAATTGAAAAAAAAAACATATATATATATATGCATGCTTATACACATATACACACACAATGTAATATTTGGCCTTAAAAAAAAAGGAGATCCTGCTATTGGTGAAAACATGGATGAAACTGGAGGACATTATGCTAAGTGAAATAAACCAGACACAGAAAGAAAAATATTACATGATCTCACTTATATATGGAATCTAAAAAGAAAAAAAGAAAGAAACAGAGAATCTGAAGGGAAATGGAAAGATGTAGGTCAAAAGATATGAAGTTGGAGTTATGGTCCTATTAAAAAATCTAGAGATCTAATGTACAATCTGAGATGATGGATATGTAAATTTGCTTGAATATAGAAGTCACTTCACTACATGTATCAAAACATCATGTCGTACACAATATATACATTTAAAAATCAGTCATGTCATCCAGCAGCAGCAGAATATACATTTAAGTGCACACATAACATCTACTAAAACTCTCTTCTGAGCCACAAAACAAGTCTTAAATTTAAAAGAATTCAGCCAGGTGCAGTGGCTCATGCCTGTAAGCCCAGCACTTTGGGAGGCTGAAGCAAGAGGATGGCTTCAGCCTGAGACTAGCCTGAGCAATATATCGAGACTCCATATCTATTTTTTTAAGTTAAAATAACTCATGTCATACAAAGTATGTTATTTGACTATAATAGAATTAGTTTCAAAATAAGTAATAGCAATATATTTGGAAAATCCTCAAATACATGGAAGCTAAATAACACACTTATATACAACTCATGGGCCAAAGAAGAAATGAAAAGGGAAATTAGAAAGTATTTTTAATTGAATAGTAACAAAATATTAAAATCTGTGGGATGCCACCAAAACTAAGATCTTAGTTTTCACCTTATGAAACTAGAAAAAGAAGACCAAATTAAACCCAAAGTAAATAGGAGAAAGAAAATAATAAAATCAAAGCAGAAATCAGTGAAATAGAAGACAGAAAAAATAATAAAGAAAAAAATCAATGAAATGAAAATCTGGGGTTATTTTTGAGAAGACCAATGAAATTGATAAACCTCTAGCTAGATTGATTAGGGAAAAAAAGAGAAAAATAAATTATCAGTATCAGGAATAAGAGACAGACATCACTACAGCTTCTACCAATACTGAAAGAAGACTGTCAGCCAAGATCGCGCCATTGCACTCCAGCCTGGGCAACAAGAGTGAAACTTACTCTCAAAAAAAAAAAAAAAGAGAATATGAAGGTAATTTTATGAATAATCTTTTGTCTACTAAATACATTGAGTCATTAGTTTAAAACCTCCCCAGAAAGAAAATTTCAGACCTAGTTGGCTTTATAGGTGAATTCTACCAAACATTTAAAGAATACATAATATTAATTTTATGCAAAGTTGTCCAGAAATTGAAAAGGAAAGAATATTTTTCATTCTCATTCCTTGGGCAAGCATTACCCAGATGTCAAAAAGGCAATACAAGAAAACTGCTGGATGATATCCCTTATGAATGTCAATAAAAAGATTCTTAACAAAATTTTATCAAATCAAATAAAAAGTATATAAAATAGAAACTACATCATGATATTGTGAGGTTTAGCCTAGAAATACGTAGTTTCATACTTGAAAACAATCAATGTAATTCATCGTATTTGCACACTCAGGAAACCCATTTGATTATCTCAATGCTGAAAAAGCATTTGCCAAAATCCAATATCCTTCCTGATAAAAACTCTCAGAAACCTAAGGAAAAAATGTCCAGGTGTGGTGGCTCACACCTGTAATCCCAGCACTTTGGGAGGCCGAGGTGGGTGGATCACTTGAGGCCAGGAGTTCGAGACCAGCCTGGTCAACATGGCGAAACCCCCATCTCTACTAAAAATACAAAAACTTAGCTGGGCATGGTGGTGCGCGCCTGTAATCCCAGCTACTCTGGAGGCTGAGGCAGGAGAATTGCTTCAACCTGGGTGGTGGAGGTTGCAGTGAGCCGAGATCACGCCACTGTATTCCAGCCTGGGTGACAGAGAGCAACTCTGTCTCAAAAAAAGGAAAGAAAGGAAGGGAGGGAGGGAGGGAGGGAGGGAGGAAGGGAAAGAAAAAGAAAGGAAGAAAGGAAGAAAAGACCTAAGGAAAAACTTAATAATGGGGATCCACAGCTAAGAAACAGTTAACATCATACTCAATAGGAAAAAACAGAATACTTCTCCTCTAAGATCAGGAATAAGGCAAAGATGTACAATTTCACCATTTCTATTCAAAATTGTATTGGAAGTTTTAGCCAGATCCATAAAGCAAGAAAAATAATTTAAGACATGCCATTTGTCAATTAAGAAGCAAAATTATTTTTACTCAGAGATTCCATCACCATCTATGTAGAAACTGCTACAGAATCTACAAAAAGATACTAGAACAAATAAGGGAAGTTAACAAGGTTATAGGATACAAGATCAATATATAAATGTCAATTATATTCTAGATATTACTGATAAATAGTCATAAATTGAAATTTTTAAACATTCAATTTATAATATTAATAGTACATGAAATGCTTAGGGATGTATCTAACAATAGATATGGAAGAACTGTATGCAAACAGCTACAAAATATTGCTGAGAGAAATTATTAACAAATAATAACTAAATTAATAGTGGACTATACTGAATTCATGGATCAGAGGATACAATATTAAGATATCAAATCTCCCCAAATTTATCTATAGAATTAATGTAATCCCAATGAAAATCTCTGTGATTTTTTTTTTTCGTAAAAATTTGTAAGCTGATTCTAAAATTCATTTGGAAATGCAAAGGACATAGAATACCCAAAGCAACTTTGAGAAAGATGAGTTAAATTGGAGGATTTATACCTCCTGATATCAAGAGTTATAATAAAGCTACAGTAGTCAAGAAAGTATGGCATTGCTGTCAAGGTCAACAAATACATCAATGGAACAAAATAAATATTTCAGAAATAGAGCTACACATAAATGGTCAATTAATTTTTAATAGAAGTACAAAGGCAATTCAATGAAGAAAGGATAGTCTTTTGAACAAATGATCCTGGAACAATTGAATTTCCATATGCACAGACATAGATTGATCCGTATAATGTGCCATATAAAAATTAAGCAAGATAAATAATTGACCTAAATGTAAAATGTAGAAAATTTTAGAAAAAAAATCATAGGGTAAAATCTTGTGATCACTGGAGCAATAATAAAGGGTAACGAGAAATCTTTTGGGAGTGATAGAAATATTCATGATCTTGTTTGTAGTGATCATTTTGTATGCATATTCTTATATCAAAGCATAAAATTTTACATTGTAATATGTATAATTTACTTTATTTAAATTATACCTCAATAAAGCTGTTTAAAAAAAACACATATTCAGAATTTTAATTACAAAGGAGTTGATAGATTACCCTGAAGCCTGGCAGTGAGTATCCTTGTCTTGGTATAAGTAAATGAAAATGGGCATTCCTTTTCTGAAGAACCAAACAATGCTAATAACAGCTAACACATCGCACTTGATATATATCAGGCAATGTTCAGTCCTTTAAGACTCTTAATAACCATATAATTTACGTGCCATTATCCTCTATTTTACAGAAGAAAAAAATTGAGGCAAAGAAAATTTCAGCAATTTTTCCAGAGTTACCACCTGGTTTGTAACTCATCTGAGATTTGAACCTGGGAGCTCTGGCTTCAGAGTCAGTGTCCTGAATCAACAACCTAAACTGCCTCTCTAAGACAAAGCCTTCTTTAATGATAAGAATGGTACATATGCAGCCACCTTTAAATCAAGTAAATGAACAAGACTTTCATAAATACAAATTAAGTGACTTAGATTTGGAAATTAGGTGATTCTATTTTCAATATATTTTGGAAAATTATGGATCAAATTTTCGTATCACATGTGACATATGGAGAAGTTTTAATTGTCAAAAATTATATCTAAATGGGCTATGAAAAGCAATAATTTCTTATGAGAACTTTAAGAAAAAGGCGTAAGCAAGCACTTTCTGTTTCAATGTGCTAGAGAAACTAGAGAAGAGGATTTGGGCTGCTGTGTGAATTGGTTGACCACTGATAGTTCACTGACACTTATTTAAGCATTTCCTATAAGTCCATGGGAATTCTTATTAAATTCACACATGCTTCACAGAAACTCATGACATTTATGGAATTTGTAGTAAGAAGGACACTTTTCCAGCAGTGATTTGTATATACCACAAATCAAATTTCTCTTCTCAAATGCCATCTTAACAAACCTCTCTACTGAACAGGTTCAGTCTAGTATACACAATTTCCTCAGGGGAATCTGCAAAATTGCTAACACAAGAGGGTGTTATACATTGTGAGGAGACATGTTTCTGTTTTTAACTTTTTTCCATATTAGTTTTGTTTGTCTAACTTACTGTTGGAGATCCCTCTAAAAAGCCATGTGGCATATCTTAAGTGTCACTCACCAAGAGAGTGGGGCTGTTGTATTACTTGCTAACAGCATTGAACATGTACTGTTTCTCAGTTGCTGTGTTACCACTTTTAATATGTTGTGTTATTTAATCTTCATAACAACCAAAGATGAAGAAACTAAATTTTTGATAGATTACATAAATTATACAAGGTTATGCAGCCAGTAGGCGGAGAAAGGTGTGGACGCAGGCGTATCTGACTCCAAGATGTAAAGTTCTTTTAGTTCTTAAAGGGTTTATTGACAACAATTTCTTGCCTTTCTTCCCCCTAAGACTACTTTGGTTGTTTAGTATATCTTGGTTAATGATTTATATTGTTATTCTTTTTATTGGAGACTGCCTGGAATTCCTTTTTGAATTGAATACAAGAAGAATCATATAAATGATTGATAGCACAGTAATTTTTGTTAATATACTGTTTTCTATTCATTAGTCAGTTCTGAGGACTTTGGCATGACATATTAAAGATCTGCAGACTCAAGTTAGACTGGATTGAATTAGAGAACACCATTTGGAAATAAATCCAGTGCTTCCCTCCATTCTTGTTCATTGGCTCTTTTTTCTCTATTGCATGTCCTTCCAATGAAAATTGGCTCTTACATAAAGAGTTGGATTCATCAGAAGAAATACATGAATAGAATTAACTATTGGTATTATTTGGAAAAATTTCAAACCAAAGAATGAGAAATAACAGAATAAAGAAAGTAAATCTTGAGAGGGAAAACATTTCTTTTGAATAATTGAAATTTAAAATTAAATTTTGAATTGAGAAAGTTTGAATAATTATTAAGTTACAGTTTAGATTTTTAATATATATTTTTAAGAATGAAATACTTTGGATAACATCATCATATATGATCATTCAATGTTTTTTACTTTTAAAATATTACCAAAAGTAATAGAATGAGTTCTATGTAAAACTCTCTTGAGTTTCCTGTTGGCAGTTTTCTTGAATCCAAAGACGAAAATGAAGGGAAAACTGATCTGACAGTTAATATACGTGTGAAGCTTAGTTGGGGAAGTACTTGCAAAGTGTTGTAAATATAAGGCTCTTTGAGTGTTGGTTGGAAGTAGTATGGGATTTTGCTATAAATATCCTTGCTTTGCCAGTCTTTGAAAGATCTTGTACAGGACAACTTCTTTCTCTCACAACTTTCCCAGTTCAGATTCTTACGTCATCTGTACCATATAAACGAATGCTATACTTATTTGGACATAGTCAAACCAACCAAGACATAAACTAATAAGTAAAAGGACACAAATTTCTCTTTAGTTTTCAGAAATATGAGAATGTGATTTAAAAAAAAACTGGTGAAGACACAAGTATCATTCTCAGAAAATGAAAATGATTTCACAAAGTGTCGTATTACATTTATTGATGATGTCCCCAAGTAATGTCCAATTCACTCCCAGATTTTTTAGGAAAATGTTCTGGGGTCATTTCTAACAACTGAGGACACCACTGCCATTGAGTGGGTGCATCTGGGGAGACAGTAACAATGCATGAAACAACCCCGTATGCAGACAGATTTTTCCACAAATGCCAGCAGCGTCCCCATTGGAAAACACTTTGTTCTGTAACCATTTTGGTGCACTGTTACTTTCATGTTCGCTCTGAGGACAGATCTCTGATAATATACATCTGTAAAATACTCATTTCAGCTCTACTTAGCCCTCTGAAAGACCTAAACCTTTATCTTTTTTTTTTTTTTTTTTTTTTTTTTTGAGACGGAATCTTGCTCTGTCGCCAAGGCTGGAGTGCAGTGGCGCCATCTTGGCTCACTGCAAGCTCCACCTCCCAGGTGCATGCCATTCTCCTGCCCCAGCCTCCTGAGTAGCTGGGACTACAGGCGCCCACCACCACGCCCGGCTAATTATTTTATTTTATTTTATTTTTTTATTTTTAGTAGAGATGGGGTTTTACCGTGTTAGCCAGGATGGTTTCGATCTCCTGACCTCGTGATCTGCCTGCCTCGGCCTCCCAAAGTGCTGGGATTACAGGCATGAGCCACAGCACCCAGCCTAAACCTTTATCTTAAAAGCAAGAAAAATTTGCCTTTCCTGTCTGTTTTCTTACCTCTCTAACTCTCATATAAGTCCTCTGAATAGTCCTATCACTGTTTTCTGAGTTCAGACAAGTAGTTATCAGTAGCAAGTAAATTATTCTTGCTTTTCAATTAAATGTTTTAAACAGAAATAATGTGGATTCCTTTGAAATATTTTTATTTCAAAGAGTGTGCTTTTGAATCCTTTGTGAATTTAGGGTTTTAAGTTTTTATTCTTTGTACAAATATATTTTTTTCTTTTGCTCTGGCACTCCAGAACTCCAGCATTGAAAACAGAACATCGTGTCTAGAGAAACCTTACACATTTATTGGCCCCAAAAATACATAACACATCTAGCCACATAATTGAAAATAATAAGGCCACGATAAATGGGATGGCCCCAGGGTAAAACACCCAAAGGATTCAATTGGTGTCACTTTGCATCAATGTCCATGCATCATGGTAATTGAGGTAACATAACCAATTACCACATTTTAATTAGAGTTCTAAGAACTCGAGGAAATTTGCAATGATCAGACAGCTCACTTTACAAAAGAAAGGAAAGAATGAAAGAAAGGGGGGGAACCCCACACTTTTTCTGCCTCTCAATCTTATTATTTGGTGATGCATATATTAAGATAAATAGCATTCTTATCTTAATCTGACGAATGATTTCAGAAATGTATGACCAAAGAAATTCTCTAGATTGTGACCTCAGCTTATAATTTCATTTCCCATCTAGGTGTACCTCGCCATTGTAACTTGGGGATTCATTCTAAGTTTTTAAGTCAGTATCTGAACACAGTGACACGTTATTAAATACATATTTATCTGGGTTTGGTTGCTGAACAAAAATAGATCTAGATTTCACCCCCCCCAAAAAAATTAAAAGCAAAAAGAATTACTACATTTAGAAAATAATTTTGACTTGTGGCAATTATTTTTATAAGGCTAGAGTTTAAGTGAAAAACCTCCTGTAAAATTTTAGTGCTGCTACATAATCAAGTAATTATGTAATTACTTGTACTTAATTACTTACAAGAGAGATCGCTGTTAAAAAAAGTCTTTATGCATGTCAAAAACAGCTCTCTTCTTTAGAGTATTTCTAGGTAAGCTTCAAATACCAAAAAGCTCTTTCAAAGTAATCTCCAATAAATTTATTTTTCTTTTATAAATCCCTCACCATTTTTTTCAAATATATGCAAGTACATTACATAGAGATCTATATGCCCTCCCTCCTGTTTCCACTTATTACAGCCAAAAACAAATGTGTCATTCCAAATCCTTGGGAGGCTGAAACAGGAGGACTGCTTGAGCCCAGGAGTTCAAGGATGCAATGAGCCGTAATTATACCACTTCATTCTAGCCTGGGCAACAGAGTGAGACCCCATCTCAAAAAAAAAAAAAAAAAAAAAAGAAGGTGGGAAGGAAGAAATGATTTTTAAATTACACATGAAGGGCTTGGTATTAAATATAAGAATATAAGACATGTATCCTTAATGTGACAGTTTCCAGTAGACAGAGTAGATTTTCAAGAAAGCTGGGAATTTTCTTGAGTATTATAATACAATATGGTGATTAAGAGCTAGAGCCAGACTCTCTCACTTAGTAGCTGTGTGATCATGGCAAATTATTTAACTTTTCTGTGCCTCAGTTTCTTCATCTGTAAGATAGAGATAACAATGATAAACTATAAAAACCCTAGAAGGGAGGTTCAAGATGGCCAATTAGAAGCAGCCGTGGTCTGTGGCCGCGGAACTCACGGAAAGGAATGAAAAGGGGCAAGGGAATTCAGCACCTTCAACTTATATATCCAGGATCTCACATTGAAACTAACTAAGCAAACAACTCAACCCATGCAGAATGAAGAAAAGCAGGGGGTGGGGGCAACAGCCCACCTGGGAGTGGCACGGAGCGAAAGGAACCCCCACCCTCAGCCAAGGGAAGCAGTGAGTGAGCGTGCAACCCCCCCCAGGAAACCATGCTTCTCCCATGAATCTTTGCAACCGGCGGATCAGGAGATCCTCTTGTGAGCCCACTAACTACCAGGTCTTTGGGTCCGAGACACAGAGCTGTGTGGCGTCTCAGCAAAGCAGCCACTCAGGCACAAACAGAGACCCAGGAGTTTTACAATTCTGGCCCTGGCATCCCTGGCAAGGCGGGAAATCCATCCATTCATATCCCTAGGAAGGGTGCTGAATTCAGGGAGCCAAGCAGCGTCATTCTGCGGGCCCCACTTCCACGGCACCTCACAAGTTAAGACCTACTGGCTTGGAATTCTAGCCAGCCAACAACAGGCTGGAGTCTGCCTGAGACAGGACTGAGTTCCTGGGGAGAGGGTCGGCCACCATCTATGTGGTTCGGTAGACTCAGCCATTCCAGCCTGCCACCTTTGGACAATACAAACCGTATGAACAAGGAAGGGTCCTCCACAATGCAGCACGGCTGCCTTGCCAGATTATGGCGAGACTGCTTCTTTAAGCGGAACCTAGATCCATTCCTCCTCACAGGGTGGGATCTCCCTGTGGAGGCTTTAGCCACTCCAGCAAGGGTTCTGCAGACAGAGCTCTGATCTCTCCCTGGGACAGAGCTCCTGTGGGGAGGGGCAGCTGCCATCTCTGCAGTTCAGTTGACTCAGCCATTCCAGCCTGCCAGCTTTGGAGAATACAAACTGTCTGGACGCGGAAGGGTCTCTCCCAACGCAACACACCTGCTCTACCAAACAGCAGCCAGACTGCTTCTTTAAGTAGATCCCTGATCCCATTCCTCCTGACTGGGTGAGACCTCCCAACAGGGGTCTCCAGCCACCTTCTACAGGTGTGGTTGGGCCGGCAACAGGTCAGTACCCTACTGGAACGGAGCTTCCAGAGGAAGGAGCTGGCTGCCATCTTTGCTGTTTCACAGCCTTCACTGGTGAAACCTCCAGTTACAGGAAAAAACGAGCCAACTAGGGCCTGGAGTGGACCCCCAGCAAACCGCAGCAGCCCTATGCTAGAGTGGCCTGACCGTTAAAAGAAAAACAAACAGAAAACAACAATATCAACAAAAAAGACCCTACAAAAACCCCGTTCAAGTTAGTATCCTCAAAGATCAAAGGTAGATAAGCCCACAAAATGAGAAAGAATCGATGCAAGAATACTGAAAACTCAAAAAGCCAGAGTGCCTCTTCTCCATATGACTGCAACACCTCTCCAGCAAGGGCACAGAACTGGGTTGGGGCTGAGATGGCTGAATTGACAGAAGTAGGCTTCAGGAGGTGGGTAATAATGAATGTTGCTGAGCTACAGGAGCATGTTGTAACCCAATGCAAAGAAGCTAAGAATCACGACAAAACAGTACAGGAGCTGAAAGCCAGAATAGCCAGTTTAGAGAGGAACATAACTGACCTAATGGAGCTGAAAAACACAACATGATAACTTCACAATGCAATCACAAGTATCAATAGCAGAATAGACCAAGTGGAGGAAAGAATCTCAGAGCCTGAAGACTATCTTTCTAAAATAATACAGGCAGACAAGAATAGGGAAAAAGAACAAAAAGGAATGAACAAAACCTCTGAGAAATATGAGATTATGTAAAGAGACTGAATCTACAACTGATTGGGGTACTTGAAAGAGACAGGGAGAATGGAACCAAGTTGGAAAACATACTACAGGCTTTCATCCAGGAGAACTTCCCCAACCTACCAAGACAGGTCAATGTTCAAATTCAGGAAATGCAGAGAACCCCAGTAAGATATTCCATGAGAAGATCAACCCCAAGACACATAATCATCAGATTCTGCAAGGTCAAAATGAAAGAAAAAATGTTAAGGGCAGCCAGAGAGAAAGGCCAGGTCACTTACAAAGGGAAACCCATCAGACTAACCGTGGACCTCTCAACAGAAACCCTACAAGTCAGAAGAGATTGGGGGCTAATGTTCAACATTCTTAAAGAAAATAATTTTCTTTTCTTAATTAATTTATTTATTATACTTTAAGTTCTGGGATACATGTGCAGAACGTGCAGGTTTGTTACATAGGTATACATGTGCCATGGTGGTTTGCTGCAGCCATCAACCTGTCATCTAGGTTTTAAGCCCCTCATGCATTAGGTGTTTGTCCTAATGCTCTCTATCCCCTTGCCCCCCACTCCCTGGCAGACCCCGATATGTGATGTTCTGCTCCCTGTGTCCATGTGTTCTCATTGTTCAGCTTCCACTTGTGAGTGAGAACATGTGGTTTTTGGTTTCCTGTTCCTGTGTTAGTCTGCTGAGAGTGATGATTTCCACCTTCTTTCATGTCCCTGCAAAGGACATGAACTCATTCTTTTTTATGGCTGCATAGTATTCCATGGTGTATATGTGCCACATTTTATTTATCCAGTCTATCATTGGTGGGCATTTGGATTGGTTCCAAGTCTTTGCTATTGCGAATAGTGCTGCAATAAACATATGTGTGCTTGTGTCTTTATAGTAGAATGATTTATAATCCTTTGGGTATAACTCAGTAATGGGATTGCTGGGTCAAATGGTGTTTCTGGTTCTAGATCCTTGAAGAATCACTACACTGTCTTCCACAATGGTTGAACTAATTTACACTCCCACCAACAGTATAAAAGCGTTCCTATTTCTCCAGAGCCTCTCCAGCATCTATTGTTTCCTGACTTTTTAATGATCACCATTCTAACAGTCATGAGATGGTATCTCATTGTGGTTTTGATTTGCATTTCTCTAATGGCCAATCATGATGAGCTTTTTTTCATATGTTTGTTGGCTGCATAAATGTCTTCTTTTGAGAAGTGTCTGTTCATATCTTTTGTCCACTTTTTGATGGGGTGGGTCGTTTTTTTCTTCTAAACTTGTTTAAGTTCCTTGTAGATTCTGGGTATTAGCCCTATTAGTCAGATGGATAGATTGCAAAAATTTTCTCCCATTCTGTAGGTTGCCTGTTCACTCTGGTGATAGTTTCTTTTGCTGTGCAGAAGCTCTTTACTTTAATTAGACCCCATATGTCAATTTTGGCTTTTGTTGCAATTGCTTTTGGTGTTTTAGTCAGGAAGTCTTTGCCCATGCCTATGTCCTGAATGATATTGCCTAGGTTTTCTTCTAGGGTTTTTATGGTTTTTGGTTTTGTGTTTAAGCCTTTAATCCTTCTTGAGTTAATTTTTGTGTAAAATGTAAGGAAGGGGTCCAGTTTCAGTTTTCTGCTTATGGCTAGCCAGTTTTCCCAGCACCATTTATTATATAGGGAATCCTTTCCCCATTGCTTCTTTTTGTCAGGTTTGTCCAAGATCAGATGGTTTTAGATGTGTGGTGTTATTTCTGAGGCCTCTGTTCTTTTCTATTGGTCTATATCTCTGTTTTGGTACCAGTACCATGCTGTTTTGGTTACTGTAGCCTTGTAGTATAGTTTGAAGTCAGGTAGCATGATGCCTCTAGCTTTGTTCTTTTTGCTTAGGATTGTCTGGACTCTGTGGGCTCTTTTTTGGTTCCATATGAAATTTAAAGTAGTTTTTTCTAGTTCTGTGAAGAAATTCAGTGGTAGCTTCATGGGAATAGCATTGAATCTGTAAATTACTTTGGACAGTACGGCCATTTTCATGATATTGATTCTTCCTATCCATGAGCATGGAATGTTTTTCCATTTGTTTGTGTCCTCTCTTATTTCCTTGAGCAATGGTTTGTAGTTCTCCCTGAAGAGGACCTTCACGTCCCTTGTAAGTTATATTCCTAGGTATTTATTTTCTTAGTAGGAATTGTGAATGGGATCACTCATGATTTGGCTCTTTCTTTGTCTAGTATTGGTGTATAGGAATGCTTGTGATTTTTGCACATTGATTTTATATCCTGAGACTTTGTTGAAGCTGCTTATCAGCTTAAGCAGTTTTTGGGCTGAGACGATGGGGTTTTCTAAATATACAGTCATGCCATCTGCAAACAGAGGTAATTTGACTTCCTCCCTTACTGTTTGAATATCCTTTATTTCTTTCTCTTGCCTGATTGCCCTGGCCAGAACTTCCAATACTATGTTGAATAGGAGTGGTGAGAGAAGGCATCCTTGTCTTATGCTGGTTTTCAAAGGGAATGCTTCTAGCTTTTGCCCATTCAATATGATATTGGCTATGGGTTAGTCATAAATAGTTATTATTTTAAGATATGTTTCATCAATACCTAGTTTATTGAGTGTTTTTAGCATGAAGTAGTGTTGAATTTTATCGAAGGCCTTTTCTGCTTCTATTGAGATAATCATGTGGCTTAATAAAAGAATTTTCAACCCAGAATTTAATATCTGGCCAAACTAAGCTTCATAAGCAAAGAAGAAATAAGATTCTTTTCAGGCAAGCAAATGCTGAGGGAATTCATCGCCACCAGGCTTGCCTTACAAAAGATCTTGAAGGAAGCACTAAATATGGAAAGGAAAAAATGTTACCAGCCATTACAAAAACACACTGAAGTACACAGACCAGTGACATTATGAAGCAACCACATAAACAAGTCCACAAAATAACCAGCTATCATCATGATGAAAGGATCAAATTCACACATAACAATACTAACCTTAAATGTAAATGGACTAAATGCCCCAATTAAAAGACAGAATGCAAGCTGGATAAAGAGCCAAGACCCATCAGTATGCTGTCTTCAAGAGACCCATCTCACATGCAGAGACACACATAGGCTCAAAATAAAGGGATAGAGGAAAATTTACCAAGCAAATGGAAAACAGAAAAAATCAGGGGTTGCAATCCCAGTTTCTGACAAACCAGAGTTTAAACCAGCAAAGATTAAAAAAGATAAAGAAGGGCATTATATAATGGTAAAGGGCTCAATTCAATAAAAAAAAGCTAACTATCCTAAATATATATGCACCCAATACAGAAGCACACAAACTCATACAGAAATTTCTTGGAGACCTACAAAGAGACTCAAACTCCCACACAATAATAGTAGGAGACTGTAACACCCCACTGACACTACTTGAGAGATCACTGAGACAGAAAATTAGCAAAGATACTCAGGACCCAAACTCAGCTCTGGATCAAGTGGACCTCATAGATATCTACAGAACTTTCCACCCCAAAACAACAGAATATACAGTCTTTAAACCATCAACGATTAAAAAAGACAAAGAAGGGCATTAAATAATGGTAAAGGCTTCAATTCAATAAAACTGACTATCCTAAATATATATGCACCCTATACAGAAGCACCGAAATTCATAAAGCAAGTTCTTGGAGATCTACAAAGAGACTCAAACTCCCACACAATAATAGTGGGAAACTGTAACACCCCACTGACAGTAGTAGACAGATCATTGAGACAGAAAATTAGCAAAAATATTCAGGGCCTGAACTCAGCTCTGGATCAAGTGGACCTGATAGATATCTACAGAACTTTCCACCCCAAAACAACAGAATATACATTCTTCTCAGTGCTGCATGGCACTTACTCTAAAATTGATCACATAATCAGAGGTAAAATACTCCTCAGCAAATGCAAAAAACTGAAATCATAACAAACAGTCTATCAGACCCACAGCACTGTCAAATTGAGAAATTCACTCAAAATCACACAACTACGTGGAAATTGAAAAACATGCTCCTGAATGACTCGGGTAAATAATTAAGGCAGAAATCAAGAAGTTATTTGCTAGCCAGCTGCAGTGGCTCACACCTGTAATCCCAGCATTTTGGGAGGCTGAGGTGGAAGGATCACTTGAGGCCAGGAGTTCAGACCAGCCTGGCCAACATGGTGAAAACTCATCTCTACTAAAGATATAAAAATTAGCAATGCATGGTGGTGCCCATCTGTAATCCCAATTACTTGGGAGGCTGAGGCACGAGAATCTCTTGAACCCAGGAGGCAGATATTGCAGTGAGCTGAGATTGCATCACTGCATTCCAGCCTGGGCAAAAGAATGAGACTGCATCTCAAACAAACAAACAAACAAACAAATAGTTCTTCAAAACTAATGAGAACAAAGTGACAACTTACCAGAATCTCTGGGTTGCTAAAGCTATGTTAAGAGGGAGATTTCTAGCACTAAATGCCCATATCAAAAAGCTAGAAAGATCTCAGGTTAACAACCTAGCATCTCAACTAGAAACTAGAGAACGAAGAACAAGCAAACCGCAAAGCTAGCAGAAGACAAGAAATAACAAAATTCAGAGCTGAACTGAAGGAGATAGAGACATGAAAACCTCTTCAAAAAATCAGTGAATCCAAGAGCTATTTTTTTTTAAATTAACAAAAGAGACCACTAGCTAGACTAATAAAGAAGAAAAGAGAAAACAATCAAATACACACAATCAGAAATGATAAGGGGGCATATTACCACTGACCCCACAGAAATACAACCATTAGAAAATACTATAAACACCTCTATGCACATAAACTAGAAATCTAGAAGAAATGGATAAATTCCTGGACACATGCACCCTCACAAGACTGAACCAGGAAGAAATTGAATCGCTGAATAGACCAATAATGAGTTCTGAAATTGAGGCAGTAATAAATAGCCCACCAACCAAAAAAAGCCCAGGACCATTTGGATTCACAGCTGAATTCTACCAGAGGTACAAAGAAGAGCTGGTGTCATTTCTACAGAAAATATTCCAAAAAAATTGAAAAAGAGGGACTTCTCCCTAACTCATTCCGTGAGGTCAGCATCATCCTGATACCAAAACCTGGCAGAGATGCAACAAAAAAAGAAAACTTCAGGCTAATATCCTTGATGAATGTAGATGCAAAAATCCTCAATAAACTACTGGCAAACTGAATCCAGCCAGCAGCACATCAAAAAGCTTATCCACCACAATCAAGTCACCTTTATCCCCAGGATGCAAGGTTGGTTCAACATATGTGAGTCAATAAATGTGATTCATCACATAAACAGAACTAAAGACAAAAATCTACATGATTATCTCAATAGATACAGAAAAAGCCTTTGATAAAATCCAGTATCCCTTCATGTTAAAAACTGTCAATAAACTAGGTATTAAAGGAACATACCTTAAAATAATAAGAGCCATTTATGACAAATCAATAGCATGCTGAATGGGCAAAAGCTGGAAGCATTCTTGTTAAAAACTGGCACAAGACAAGGATGCCCTCTGTCACCACTCCTATTCAACATGGTACTGGAAGTTCTGCCCAGCACAGTGAGGCAAGAGAAAGAAATAAAGGGCATTTAAATAGGAAGAGAGGAAGTCAAATCATCTTTGTTTGCAGATGACATGATTCTATACCTAGAGAACCCCATCATCTCAGCTCAAAAGCTCCATAAACTGATAAGCAATTTCAGCAGTCTCAGGATACAAAATCAATTTGCAAAAATTGCTAGCATTTCTATATACCAACAACAGGTAAGCAGATAGACAAATCATGGATGAACTTCCAATCACAATTGCTACAAAAAGTATAAAATATGTAGGAATATAGCTAACAAGGGAAGTGAAAGACCTCCTCAAGGAGATCTATAAACCACTGCTCAAATCAGAGAGTACATAAACAAATGGAGAAACATTCCATGCTCATGGATAGGAAGAATCAGTATTATGAAAATGGCCATACTGCCCAAAGTAATTTGTAGATTTAATGCTATTCTCATTAAACTACTATTTACATTCTTCACAGAATTAGAAAAAAACTTTAAAAATTCATATGGAACCAAAAAAGAGGCTGAATAACCAAGACAATCCTAAGCAAAGGGAACAAAGCTGGGGGCATCATGCTACCTGACTTCAAACTATACTGCAAGGCTACAGTAACTAAAACAGCATGCATGGTACTGGTACAAGAACAGACACGTAGATCAATGGAACAGAATAGAGAACTCAGGATTAAGACTTCACACCTACAACCATCTGATCTTGGACAAACCTGACAAAAAGCAGCAATGGGGAAAGGACTCCCTATTTAATAAATGGTGCTGGGACAGCTGGCTAGCCATATGCAGAAAATTGAAACTGGACCTCTTTTTTATACCATCTACAAAGGTTAACTCAACCGATGGATTAAGACTTAAATGTAAAACCCAAAACTATAAAAACGCTAGGAGAAAATCTAGGCGATACCATTCAGGACATAGCCATACCATTCAGGACATAGCCATGGGTAATGATTTCGTCAAACACTGAAAGCAATTGCAACTAAAGCAAAAATTCACACATGGGATCTAATTAAACCAAGAGAGCTTCTGCATAGCACAAGAAACTCATCAGAGTGAACAGACAACCTACAGAATGGGAGAAAGTTTTTGCAATCTATCCATCTGACAAAGGTCTAATACCCTGAGTCTACAAGGAACTTAGAGTTACAAGAAAAATCAAACAACCCCATTAAAAAGTGAGCAAAGGACTCTTCTCAAAAGACATACATGCAGTGAACTAATATGAAAAAAGCTCAACATCACTGATCATTAGAGAAATGCAAATCAAAACCACAATGAGATACCATCTCACGCCAGTCAGAATGACTATTGTTAAAAATAAAAAAACAACAGATGCTGGCAAGGTTGCAGAGAAAAAGGAACACTTTTACACTGTTGGTGGGAGTGTAAATTAGCTCAAATATTGTGGAAGACAGTGTGGCAATTCCTCAAAGACCTAGAGGCAGAAATACCATTTGACCCAGCAATCCTATTACTGTGTATATACCCAAAGGAATATAAAAGATACATGCATGCATATATTCATTGCAGCACTATTCACAGTAGCAAAGACATGGAATCAACCTAAACCCTATCAGTGATAGACTAGATAAAGAATATGTGGTAGATATATACCATGGAATACTATGCAGCCATAAAAAGGAATGAGACCATGTCCTTTGCAGGGATATGGATGGAGTTGAAAGCTGTTATCCTCAGCAATGTAATGCAGGAACAGAAAACCAAACATTGCATGTTCTTACTTATAAGTGGGAGCTAAAAGGCTAAATGATGAGAACACATAGACACATGTGGGTGAAACAACACATGCTGGGGCCTTTCAGAGGGCAGTGAGAGGAGAGGGAGAGCATCAGGATGAATAGCTAATGATGCTGAGCTTAATACCTAGGTGATGGGATGATCTGTGCAGCAAACCACCATGGCACATGTTTACCTATGTAGCAAACCTGCACATCCTGTACATGTACCCATAAACTTAAAAGTTGAAGAAAAAAAAAACAACCCTAGAAGAAAACACAGTAAATGCCTTTCTGGACATAGGCCCTTGCAAAGATATCATCATAACTAAGATGCTAAAAGCAAAAATTGACCAATGGAACCTAATTAAATTAAAATGCTTCTGCACAGAAAAAAAAAAAAAAACCATTAACAGAGCAAACAACCTACAGAATTGGAGAAAAGATCTGCAAACTATGCATGTGACAAAGGTCTAATATCCAGAATCTAGAAGGAACTTAAATCAACAAGAAAATAACAAACAACCCCCTTTTAAAAAATGAGCAAAGGACATGAACAGACACTTCTCAAAAGAAAACATGTATGCAGCCAACAAACATATGAAAAAGTGTTCAATATCATTAATCATTAGAGAAATGCAAATCAAAACCACAATGAGATGCCATCTTACACCAGTTAGAATGGCTATTATTAAAAAGTCAAAAAATAATAGATGCTGGCAAGGTTGCAGAGAAAAGGGAAAGCTTATACACTGCAGGTGGGAAAGTAAGTTAGTTCACCCACTGTGGAAAGCAGTTTGGAGAGTTCTCAAAGAACTTAAAACCATTTGACCCAGCAATCCCATTACTGGGTATGTTCCCAAATCATACTACTGTAAAGATACATACATATGTTCCCCACAGAAGTATTCACAATAGCAAAGACATGGAATCAACCTGAATGCCCATCAACAATAGACTGGATAAAGAAAATGTGGTACATATATACCATGGAATACTATGCAGCCATAAAAAAGAATGAGATATGTCTTTTGCAGCAATGTGAATGGAACTGGAGACCATTACCCTAAGTGGATTAATACAGGAACAGAAAACCACATACCACAATGTTCTTACTTATAAGTGGGAGCTAAACATTGAGTACACATGGACACAAAAAGGAAACAATGGACACTGGGGACTACCTGAGAATGGAGGGTGGGAAGAGGGTAGAATAAAAAAACTACCTATCAGGTACTGTACTTATTACCTGGGTAACAAAATAATCTGTACACCAAAATCCTGCAACATGCAATTTAACCACATAACAAAACCACATGTACTTTCTGAACCTAAAATAAAAGTTGGAAAAAAAAAAATAATACCTGCTTCATAGGTAATGGGAGGTTTAAATGAATTAATATGTAAAAACTGTTTTGAACAGCTGCTGCCACATAGTCAATGAATGTTAATTGCTATTATTAGTTTAGTTATGCTATTGTAGTAACTAAGTCTTATTTATATTTGTAATTGTCTAGAAATAATACGTTGTGTGGCATAGTAGACAATATATTTTTGCTTAGTAAACATATGAACAAATGACAGAGAAGTGAATAGAGGAGGAAATCCTGTCTTAAGTGATGGATTTCATGTTAGACTTCATTTATCCTTGCTCTCCTCCTTTTCAGCAAGAGTGGGCCAAAGCTAAACCAGTTGAATTATTCTAGATGTATCCCTTTCAGTACTGGCTGATATAGTTGATTTTCTCTGCTGTTTCCTTGTTTTCCATTTCATTGACTTTTATGCTCTTATTTTTAATATTTTTTTCTTCTGCTTCATTTAGGCTTAAATTGTTTTTCTTTCTCAGTTTCCTAAGGTGGGAGATTAGGTTGTTGATTTTAAATTTATCTTCGAATATATGCACTTAATGCTGTAAGTTTCCCTCTAAGCTCTAAGCACTACTTTTGTTGCATCCCGTCAATCTTGATAAGTTGTATTTTTGTTTTTATTTAGTTCAAAATATTTTAAATTTTTTATTGAGACTTCTTTAACTCAGGTGTTATTTAGTAATGTGTTGTTTATTTCTCAATATTTGGGAAATTTTCAGCTACTTTTCTGTTAATGATTTCTAGTTTAATTTCATTATGGTCGGAGAGCATTCGTTGTATGATTTCTATTCTTTTAAATTTGTTAAGGTGTGTTTTGTGGCCCACGTTGTAGTATGTCTTGGTGAATGTTCAATATGAACTTGAGAAAAATGTTTGTATTCTTCTGTTGTTGGATCAAGTATTCTATAAATGTCAATTAGATCAAGTCAAGTGATAATGCTGTTCAGTTCAACTATGTACCTATTGATTTTCTGCCTGCTGGATCTATCACCTACCAAAAGAGAGGTGTAGAAATATCCAACAATAGGCTGAGTGTGGTGGCTCATGCCTGTAATCCCAGCACTTTGGGAGGCCGAGGTGGGCGGACTGCTTGAGCCCAGATGTTCAAGACCAGCCTGGGCAACATGGCAAAACCCTGTCTCTCTCTCTCTCTCTCTCTCTATATATATAGAAATATATATATATACAAAATATATATATAGAAATATATATACACATATATATACACACATATATATACACACATATATACATATATATACACATATATATACATATATATATACACATATATATACATATATATACACACATCTATATATACATATACAAAAATATATATATACAAAAATTAGCCAGGCATGGTGGTACACACCTGTAGTCCCAGCTACTCAGAAGGCTGAGGTGGGAGGATTGCTCAAGCCTAGGAGGCAGAGGTTGCAGTGAGCTGAGATCCTACCATTGCAGTCCAGCCTGGTCAGCAGAGTGAGACCTTGTCTCAAAAAGAAAAAGAAAAAAGCAATATTGAGCAATAATAATGGGTGTTCTGTTTCTCCTTGCAGTTCTTTCAATTTTTGCTTCACATATTTTAATATGTTCCATTGCTTTGTGCATACATGTTTAGAATTGTATGTTTTCTTAGAGAATTGACTCATATATTATTGTGTAATACCCTTCATTGTCCCCGATAATTTTCCTTGTTTTGAATCTGCTTTTCCTGAAATTAATATAAACACTCTAGCTTCCTTTTGATTAGTGTTAGCATGCTATCTTTTTCTTCATCTCCTTACTTTTAACATAGCAGAGTCTTTGTATTTAAAGTGGGTTTGTGGGCCAGTTGCTGTGGCTCATGCCTGTAATCCCAGCATTTTGGGAGGCCAAAGTGTCCAGATTGCTTGAGCTCAGAAATTCGAGACCAACCTGGGCAACATAGCAAAAACCCATCTATGCAAAAAAAATACAAAAATTAGCTGGGCATAGTGGTGCATACCTGTGGTCTCAGCTACTCAAGAGACAGAGGTGAGAGGATCACTTGAGCCCAGGAGGTCCAGGCTGCAGTGAGCCATGATTGTACCACTACGTGCCAGCCTGGGCAACAGAGTGACACTCTGTCTCAAAAATAAATAAATAAATAAAAAGTGAGTTTGTATAGACAGCATATAGTTGGGTCTTGTTCTTTTGTCTATTCTGGCAATCTCTATATTTTAATTGCATTATTTAGACCCTTCATATTTAAAGTGATTATTAATATAGTTGGATTAATATCTATCACATTAGTAACTATGTTTATTCATTGCATTTGTTCTTTCTTTTTTCCTTCTTTTTCTGCTTTTTTTATTTTAAATGAACATTTTATTTCATTTCATTTTGTTTCCTCTTTTAATGTATCAATTATATTTCTCTTTAAAAAATTTAGAGGTTATCCTAGAGCTTGCCATAAACATTTTAAACAAATCCGAGTTTACCTTCAAACAATACTATACTGCTTCGCATGTATAGTGCGGTTAACTTATAACAGAGTATACTCAATTCCTCCCTCCCATTTCTTACAACATTGCTGTCATCACTTTATTCATATGTATGGCCTAATCACCCAGTACGTTGTTACTACTGTTAATTTAAACAGTTTTCTTTTAGATCAATTAAAAATAAGAGAACTGAAAGATTTGATTTTACCTTATTTATTTCTTCTCTGAGGATTCTTTCTTTATGTCAATCCAGGTTTCTTACCTCTGTTATTTCCTTCTCCCTAAATAACTATTTTTAATATTTTTTGTAGGGCAGTTCTGTTGGCAATGAAACCACCCAGGTTTTGTTTGTCCTGAGAAAGTTTTTATTTATCCCTCACTTTTGAAGGAGAATTTGTGGATTTGGAATTATAGTTTGGTGGTTTTTTTCTTATAACACTTTAAATATTTCACTTCACTCTCTTCTTGCTTGAATGATTTCTGATGAGAAGTCCACTGTAGTTCTTATCCTTATTCCTCTATGGATACAGTTTTTTATCCTCTGGCATCTTTTAAGATTTTCTCTTTGTCTTTCATTTTCTACAATTTGTGTATGATTTGCCTAAGCATAGATTTTTTGGTATTTATCCTGCTTCCTGGCTCTGAGATTTGTCTGTCATTAGTTTTGAAATACTCTCAACCATTTCACTTCAAATATTCTACTCCATCCTTTCTTTGCTTTCTGGTATCCCAATTATATGTATGTTATACCATTAGAAATTTTCCCACAGTTCTTGGGATATTTTATTCTTTTTACTTTTTTCTCTGCATTTCAGTTTGGGAATTTTTTGTTTATTGTAATTATGTTATACCACTCAGCAAGGATATGTTTTGGCTTCATTTTGCTTGTAAATCAAAGTTCATAATCTTCCAAGCCTCCATAGTCTGGTACCACTGTGACTATATAAATATTTTGCCCCAAGAATAGCCTACCTATCCAGTTGGTTCTAAGTATCCCAGAAATGGGCAGAAGATATGACCAAGTGATTCACAAAGTAATAAATACAAAAGGTTACTAAACCTATAAATAAATATCCAATCCAAATAGTAGTGAAAGAAATGCAAAGTGGCAGTTTGTCATTTGCTATTTGTTTACTCATCAAAAAGAGGGAAAATTAAAGACAAATTTCAGTGTTAGAGAGGTAGCAATCGGTTGCAAATTCACATAATCTTTAGCTATTTATCAATATCCTGAAAAGTGTTCACACCCTTTGGCCTAGTATTTATCTTTATCAAATTTACCCTCAGAAAATAACCTGAGCTATGCATATAAAGATATTCATCATGCTTTATTTACAAAACCAAAAAAAATTGGAAATATGAATTTCTAACAATATGGGTTTTAAGTAAGCCTTTAAGAGTATTTAACATCCTTAAAAATCACGTTTCTTAAAAATATTTTATGAAGGCTGGGCACAGTGGCTCACACCTGTAATTCCAGCACTTTGGGACGCCAAGATGGGCAGATCAGTTGAGGTCAGTAGTTCAAGACCAGCCTGGCCAATATGGTGAAACCTCATTTCTACTAAAAATATAAAAATTAGCCAGGCGTGGTTGTGTATGCCTGTAATCCTAGCTACTCAGGAGACTGAGGCAGGTGAATTGCTTGAACTCGGGAGGCAGAGGCTGCAGTGAGCCAAGATTGCACTCCAGCCTGGGCAACAGAGTGAGTCTCTGTCTTAAAAAAGATTTTTTAGATCTGTCTTAAAAGATTTTTTAAAAGGAAATATTTTATGAATTAAGAAATATTTGTGGCCAGGCACGGTGGCTCATGCCTGTAATCCCAGCACTTTGGGAGGCCAAGGCAGGCATATCACCTGAGGTCAGGAGTTCAAGACCAGCCTGGCCAACATGGGGAAACCCCGTCTCTATAAAAAAAAAAACAAAACAAATATTTTTGATGCACAAAGAATGAAAAGCAGATATGCATATAATGCTGATCATGTCGGGTATACATAACAAGCCATCAAATATTTACAGGTGTTATCTCTGGGTTATTAAGAATAATTTTTATTTTCTTCTTTATATTTTGCTGCGCTAAAAAAATTCCTACAGAATTGTAAAATGCATCGTTTTATAGAAGAAAAGTTCTTCTAAAAATCCTACTTAACTCCCAGAGTCGAGCTCAAATACCTCCTCTTCCCAAATTTCTTTCTGACTACTCTTATTTTTTTTCGGAGATACTTCTTAGAAGTCTGATTACTTTTGTTTACATTGATCTTTCCATTTTCTCTGTTTATCTTTCTCTACCCAGCTTTTGAGTCTAGATGCTCTTTTCATTCTCTTCTTTCGCTCTAGGCAATCTCACTCATGCCCATAACTTCAAGAACTACTCATCTGAGCTCTAAACACATACATACAGCTCCACAGCTCTACTGAGGTTTCCTAAAGGCATTTCAAACTCAGTTTGTCAAAAACAAAACTGCTGATCTTCCTTGACAAACTGATTCTTCTCCATTATTCTGGCTCTCAAGGAGAGATAGCACAATCTCTTCAATCTTTCCCAAGATCATGGGTCATCCTTGGCAACTCACTCATTATCAGTCCATCTAGTCCGTTAATGGGTCTGATTGGTTTTACTTTCTAAAGAGCTCGTAAATCCATCTACTTTTGTATAACTGCAGTATCACCACCTTAGCCCAACCTACCAGAATCTCTCATAAATGAGTTAATACCTATAAAGTGCTTAGGATATTGCTTGGCACAAAGAAAGTATCCAATAAATGTTAGTTGTTATTCTTCCTATTCTTATCAGTACCACTTATCTGTGCCACTTACCTATAGCCTGTAATATTGCCTTCCTCACATCAACTTTTACCCACTTCCAGCTGTTCTCTACACTGAAGCCTATGTAATCTTTCAAAAACACTATCTGATTATCCCATCTTACCTGCTTCTCCAGGCACATAACCTTTCTCATTGCAGGCCAGACCCTCCAAAGGGAGGAATTTTACAGCTGGGCTGCTGGGGGTGACATCACATATTGGTAGGACCACGAAGCCCGCCTGAGTCTCAGACCAGCAAGTTTTTATTAAGGGTTTCAAAAGGGGAGAGTGTGTAAAACAGGGAGTAGGTACAAAGATCACATGCTTCAAAGGGCAAAAAGCAGAACAAAGATCACATGCTTCTGAGGGAACAGGACAAAAGGCAAAACAGAACTACTGATAAGGGTCTATGTTCAGCTGTGCACATATTGTCTTGATAAACATCTTAAACAACAGAAAACAGAGTTCGAGAGCAGAGAACCGGTCTGACCACAAATTTACCAGGGTGGAGTTTTTCCCCACCCTAATAAGCCTGAGGGTACTGTAGGAGACCAGGGCATATCTCAGTCCTTATCTCAACCGTGTAAGACAGACACTCCCAGAGCAGCCATTTATAGACCTCCCCCCAGGAATGCATTCCTTTCCCAGGGTATTAATATTAATATTCCTTGCTAGGAAAAGAATTTAGAGATATCTTCCCTACTTGCACGTCTGTTTATAGGCTCTCTGCAAGAAGAAAAATATGGCTCTTTTTGCCCAACCCCACAGGCAGTCAGACCTTATGGTTGTCTTCCCTTGTTCCCTAAAAATCGCTGTTATTCTATTCTTTTTCAAGGTGCACTGATTTCATATTTTTCAAACACATGTTTTACAATCAATTTGTACAGTTAACACAATTATCACAATGGTCCTGAGGTGTACATCCTCAGCTTACGAAGATAACAGGATTAAGAGATTAAGACAGGCGTAAGAAGTTATAAGAGTATTATTTGGGAACTGATGAATGTCCATGAAATCTTCCCAATTTATGTTCCTCTGCCACGGCTCCTGCCTGGTCCCTCTGTTCGGGGTCCCTGACTTCCCGCAACATTGAACTACTTAAACTATTCCTTCATCTTCTCATATATTCATGGTTTTGCCAACCAAAGAAACCTCTAGTTATACTTATCTTATGCAGAGTTGCCCAGCCATGTACCATGATTCATTTAGATGTGGACTAAGATATTGAAATTGTCATCCTGCGTGTAGGAGGAGAGATGGGTGGGGAAGGGGAGACCTGGGAGAACTATAGGCTATTTGCCTTCTGCGGTGAGCAACTTCCTTCCCAGTATGCAAATCTATGATAACATTTTCTGTGTGTTATGACTTGAAAAAGGTTGAGAAGCATTGGTCTAGAAATAATGGATATTAAGCCTCAGTATCAACTCCCTGATCATGAAGCAGCAGTCACATTTAAATTTTGACTAAAGAGAAAACATTTAAGTGGAAATGCCACTGGGGTCAAATAATTTTCTTATCCCTCTATAGAAGATCAGATTTACTCCAATTTTCTTTTTCATTTAGTTCTAATATTTTAGGTCTGTTGTTTCCCTTGAATTGTGTTTATGAATTTTTAACATATAAATGGGTAAGTTTGCAGAATATCAAACAAAAGATGCTATGTTTAGACATCCAGGGGGTTAACATTGAAATACCAATATTGAAAAAGCTAATTATTGCATAGAGAAGAGTAGCAGTGCAATACAGTACAAGCAAACTCATGAGGCCATGGTATGAAGGCTATTTTAGTATTGATTAACTATTCTTCCTATAGCCTTAGTACTATTAATGTATCACTGCTGATTATGCAAATATTGGATTCTGAATATTTAATCTATTTGCAAGGATGGTTCGTTGTATGTTTCCATGGATTGAAAGGAACTGAACCTGGGGGCAGATAATCAAGAAGTACCATTTGAGTGCCTGCCATATGCTCAGCATTGTTCTGGGATTTGCCTACACAGAAATAGAACGGGACATGAGCTTCACACCCAAAGAATTTGCAAGATAATTTTGACATAGATGAGACAGTAGTTATTCCAAACTATGTCTGGGATGGAAATGACAGCACCAATTACAAAACTAAATACAAAACTGTTAGATACTTGATAGGTGAGTCTGCTTGATTCACCTTTTTATCTGCTCAGTGCTTGGGCAGTACTATGTAATAAATATTCAGTGAGGCCTGGGGCAGTGGCTCACCCCTCTAATTCCAACACTTTGGGAGACTGAGGCAGGTGGATTGCTTGAGGCTAGGAATTAGAGACCAGTCTGAGCAACATGGCAAAACCCCTTCTCTACTAAAAATACAAAAATTAACCAGGGGCGCTGGTGTGTGTCTGTGGTCCCAGCTACTCAGAAGGCTGAGGTGGGAGGATTGCTTGAGTCTGGGAGGCAGAGGTTGCAGTGAGCCAAGATTGCACCACTACACTCCAGCCCGGGCAGCAGAGCAAAACCCTGTCCCCCTACACACACAAAAAAACTCAGTGAACATTTGTTGAATGCATAAATGAATGCAAGTGCTAAATTATGTGATTCTATCTCTAATGCAAGAATCAAATAAGCTGGAAATCACTGAGATCTGGGTTAGCAGAGAAATCTTTAAAGGAGTTTAAGATTGAATTTTGAGAGATTGGGGTAAGGGTAGTATAAACCACATTTATGTATTCATTCATTATTCAAAAAATATTTGTTGGCTGGGCATGGTGGCTCACACTTGTAGTCCCAGCTACTTGGGAGGCTGAGGTGGGAGACTCGTTTGAACCTAGGAGGCAGAGGTTGCCGTGAGCCATGATGGCCCCACTGCACTCCAGCCTGGGTGACAGAGCGAGACTCCATCTCAAAGAAAGGGGGGGAAATATATATATATATATATAAAATCCCACATCTTTGGAAGGCCAAGGCAGGAGGATCGCTTGAGGCTAGGAGTTCCAGACCAACCTGGGCAACGTAGTGAGACCCCACCTCTACATACAAACTTAAAAAATTAGCCAGGCATGGTGGCACAAGAGGCTGATGGGAGAAGATTGCCTGAGTGCAGGAGCTCAAGGCTGTAGTAAACTATGACTGCACCACTGCACTCCATCCTGGATGACAGAGCAAGACCATGTCTCAAAAAAAAAAAAAAAAGATTTAAATTTCACTCATTTTATGTGACAAAATTATGGAATGCCTTAAAGTCAGGGTAATTTAGAAGAGAAAATATCCACTGAAAGTTCTGGGTTTAGGTTCTGTTTTTGTTCTCTAGTGAGGGAAGAAAACCAAAGGATTTGTTTTAGGAAGCTTGGTTTGAAAGTGGTTCATGTGATTATCCTAAGTACATGGTTGTCTCTTCTGTTCTGAAAAAAGTCTAGTGATGAGTTTTTCACCAATTTTCATGAGACTCTGTGAGAATATTAAATTGCCTTTTTAATAATGGTTTCTTCTTGTGTATCTCACCTATTTTTTCTTGTGGCAATATCATTCCATTTCTCGAGTTTTAGAGTTGTGGAAATAAAGAACTTTTCCTGTCCAATAACTTTTCAAATACTATAGAAAAGAAGTAGACTTTCACTCACCTCGTGAAATATCACCAACTCCCTTGAACCTTCTCACATTGTTTGTTTCCTAAATTTTAAAGATCATTCCTTAACTATTAAACTTTAGTGATACATAACTAGATTCACCTATGTGGGCCTGACTTGTCCCTTTGTTTTTACGCTTGAGAAAGAGTGGTCATAATAACACTGTACCTGTAAAGATTAAAGGACTAGAAGCTCCCAAAATAACCGCATTTCAAGAGCAGTTTTGCATATATAGAAAAGTCAACTTTGTCCAATGCAGGTTAAAGAATTTTTAATTTGGTGTGGACTAAAACATCTCACATTCTCTTTATTCCTCACCCTATCACCATCATTATTATTTGTGTTACTTTCTTGAATCTTGTCATCCCCAATAATTAGAAAAGGAGTTAACAGCAATAATTATCCAGAGAGCTGTCCCTTCTTTCCTAGAACACCTATACATCTAGCTGAGGTCAGAAAGGGTCAATTGATTTGCATAAATCTGCACATGCAGGGATGAAGAGAGAAGACACATTAGCTGAGCACTCTAAGACAACTCCTGTCCATGAGATGCTATTTCCTGATGGAACTTTTATGGGCCCGTATTGCCTACTCCACCTCCTAACCAAGGACCTCATTCTGAGTTAAAAATCTCAGTGTTCAGCTGAAATTATCAAGGGTGGAGAAAGGGCTGGGTAAAACTTCAGGTGTTTTTGTATTTTAAAGGTCATTCCTGTAAGATTACTAACTCACCTCGTCTAAATTGATGCACATTAAAATTGTTTTAACTCACAAAGCAAAAGTAGAGAATATTAAGAGATCCGAAATAATCCATGCTTTTTGCTCCTTTCTTTTCTTGTTTTACGGTCCGAAAGAACCCACTTCAAATAGGGAAGGGAGTCCAATTTTCCAAAAGCAATTCTTCCGTTTTTTTTCTTTCTGAGCAGCACTCATACAGTAGCAGTGGTAAAATAAACAACGATGTGTTGAATTTTGTTTCTCTTTATCTATATGACATTTGTGTCATCACCGTAGCTCTAATCCATATTCAGGTCTTCATGTTTGGTGTGCAGTAATATGTAAATTATCTCACCAGCTGCATGGAGCAGTGTTTGTTTATTCTATTTCTTTTGGCACTGCACAGAACTGAATTTCTGCCAAAATGGGGCTGCTTCAGGGAGCACTAATGCTCTAGGAGGAAGTTTTGAAAGGAAACGCACATCATAAGTCTTCACTCTGTGAAGCAGCAAAATCAAAACAAACTTTTTGTTTACTTAAATATCAGTATTATGAATGTAAAATAATGTGTTTGTTAAAATATAATGAGCATGCTGCCCATCTCTAAGATGCTCAGTGTACGTGGGCTTTGGAAATGAGGACATAAAGCTGAGAAAGCTGGCGCATTTTTATTCTTAGAAAGAAAGTAGGTGAAATAAAACAGACAGAGACAACAGCTAGAAGTTTAAGGGGAAAGAAATATTTTAACATGCGTATTAATCTCTGGAAACACATGGCATTTACATGCATTTAAATGTGGACAGCTGTGGCGTTTAAGTGTTAAAAAATTTCATTAATGATGCATAGAGCTATCTACTTCTGTTGGCAGGCCTTTCAGTCTTCAATCTGACACTTCCTTTTTTATCCAGCAAGCTAATTTCCCCTCTTTTGTGAGGAGTAACTGTTTTCACACTACTGCTTACCCAGCAAGCCTCCTTATTGTTTCATGGTTAATTATCTTCTCCAGCTTCACCTTCCCCAGCAAAGGGAGCAGGACTGTTCCTCCCCAGCACTAATGAAAGCTGGGTTTTATGGGTACACTGTGTAAATAAATGCAAGGTCTGATCAGGCAACGTAATAAATGAGTTCCTAAAGTTTATGGAGTCACACACAGCTCATCTAGTGGCTTTACTAAATAACGAAGGAAAATGATTAATTTGGTGGGGTTGGGAGCAGGGGGCTTCAATTTTAGAGAGAAAAAAATAAAGCCTTTGTCAGCTTAGGATGGAAACTATCTGCAGGTAAACATAAGGGATCTCCGTTTATCCAAGTGTTCCTTGTGCTCAGTAATCGCAGCCATGACATTTGCCAGGAGAATGTCTTGGAGAATAGGCCTTTGAGAAATATTGTTGATTTGGTAAAAGGTGGAGGTCACCTGGTATTTTATTTCCCTGATTGCTCGCTATTTATTAAGAGAAAAAAGCAACCAAGCTTTAGGTAGTGCAAAGTATCCTACACTCTGCGCTGGAAGCAAGCAAAGCAGAGATATTCACAAATGCCACCATTGTCCAGTGCCTGGAGAAATAAATTCAGCAGGCATGGCCCAGGTAATCAACTCCACTAGCAGGTCAGTGTCTTACATCTCTGTGCGATCAACTCAGTCATAGTCTCTTAGTTGCTAGCTCAAGGCCCCATATCTTAGAGTTTGGGACTTGTAGTTATTTTGATTATTTTTTGCAAAGAATTTTAGGAGATTAAAATGACCCCAACCCCCTAATGCTCGTTTTTTTTTTTTAATTTACAAAATGAATTCACATTTTGAAATCCTTTTTCTCTATATTGAAATGTGCATTTCTTTGATTTGGGAATCTTTGATTTGGGTTACAGTTTGAATTAAGGTCCTGACATTTAAAACTCTCAAGAGCCCGTGTAAGAGCCCAGGACAAGAACTTCTATTCCAGTCAAGATTTAGTTCTTAAATTTAATTGGATCTCAGGATCCTAAGTGTGTTTCCCTTGAGGTCGCAAAAAGAAACCCTCCCAGGGGAGTCTATGTTTTTTAACGTGTCTAGGGACTCTAGCATAGGAATCAGAGTATAAAATCTCTTGGAAACTTACTTCAAAAATGTGTATTGCCTTCTAGGAAAATTCATCCTAAAATTTCAAGCAACCTTTCTAGCATCAGTGTAACTTGTGAACTTCCCAGTCGTTTTTATGGAGGGGACTCAACAGAGGTGTTCTGGCAATTCTGAGGCTTTTTAATCTCCTCTAAATCTAAAAGCAGTTATCTTTATGAGAGGCTATTAAAGCACAGATACGTTAAATGAAATAAAATCAGATGTAGAACAAGGATTAGACCATCTTAAGAAAATGACTCATAGCTGACCCACCTATTAATTAGCTTAAACCCTGGGCCAATCAAATGATAAGCATGAGGAAAGCAAGACAAGTTTCCTTGACAGGCTTAGTTAAGATGAAAAAGAGATTGGCTGGGTGCGGTGGCTCACACCTGTAATCCCAGCACTTTGGGAGGCTGAGGTGGGCAGATCACGAGGTCAGGAGATCGAGACCATCCTGGCTAACATGGAGAAACCCCGTCTCTACTAAAAATACAAAAAATTAGCCGGGCATGGTGGTGGGCGCCTGTTGTCCCAGCTACTGGGGAGGCTGAGGCAGGAGAATGGCATGAACCCGGGAGGCGCAGCTTGCAGTGAGCCGAGATTGCGCCACTGCACTCCAGCCTGGGTGACAGAGCGAGACTCCGTCTCAGGAAAAAAAAAAAAAAAGTTGAAAAACAGACTAAGATAATGTGTGCCATTTTTGGTCATTCTTAATTTGCTAATTCAAACTGACCAACATTTTATTTTTTTTCTCTGAATGACTTGTAATCATAGTCTCATTATTAAAAAACAACAAAAATCATACTCTATTTATTTGAGAGGAGCAAACAAGAACAGTAATGACATAATGTTGGCTCCCAATTTGTCCTCATTGAGAATGAAGACACAAGAGGCTCTCAATAAATAAAATATGTTCCCATGGTTAGGTTACAACTGTAACTATGGGTCAGAAGGATGGGGACTTGCGTGATTGGCATCTGAAGTGAAGGCAGTCTTGTGGGACTGAGCCCTCTCACGTATGGGATCTGATACTAACTCCAGATAGATAGTGTCAACGTTGGATTAAATAGTAAGACACCCAGCTCATGTCTGGAGAGTGGACAGTTGCTTTTTTACTTGAGAAGCCTTATATCAGAACTGTAAAGGGCACGGTTCCTAAACGTGAGTGAACTCTATTATCTGATATAAGGCTTTTCAGGTAAACCCACATGTTGGCAAAGCTCTCCTTGTACCTTCGACTACCTCGGGATCATGCCAAGAATCTTGTGTTCTTGAAACTGAGTTTGCAAGTTGGGACCTTATGTCTATCTCACAGGAAAATTCGTATGTTAGAAAACTTCACTTGTTTACATGACTATTCACCTTCTCTTTTCTACCAATATGCATTGTAGGTTTTAAAAAATGTAAGTTTTTATTAACGTAAGATCATTTTCATAAAGGAGGGAGAAGGGTATACTTTTCCCTTAGGCAAAGGTGAGGCAAAAATTACATCCAGGGGTATAAAACTCACATGTTATGTCAATCCCTGAGCAATGTCAGGAAAAAAAATGGGGCCAGATATTATCATTGGGAGAAAAGAATGTATGCAACTTTGCATGTGGTTCTGTCACTGTCATTCAAACAGATTTACCATGTGGTAGAATGAAGAAAATGCCACCATTTCATTGCAGTTGGGATTTTTACAACTTCATTGATGTTATTTTTCTCTTGAACTTTCTTTTATTTGTTTCAGTTCTATGTAATACTAAAGAGGTAAGAAAGAGAAATTCTTTTAATTGAAAAACTCTTCCTAAATTTTTAAAAAATTCATTTTAAACAGTCCTACATTTAGGTACTTTCTTGAAACTCTGGGGGGAAATTCCAGGGAAACACCAAATATAGTGACTGAGAAACAAAAAATAAACCAGTTCTCCTATTCAGGCTCTTCTCAGTGTAATAAAAATTTCAGTGTGTTGACATGTAAAGCAACAGTCAAGATAATTTATTTGCCAGTGAAAAGTAGATTATTTTTCAAGTTACTTCTAGTGAAACATTCAGAGTTAGGTGGGAAAGTAACTTTTTTCTACAGTAGATGCTTAACAACTATGAATAATGATTTGCACAAGAATTAACTTGCTTAAGAAAAACAGAGCCTGATGCAAGGGATTCATCTGTTGCCACCTACCTATAATACTATCAACACTGAGGTTATTGCACCTGAGAATTCTTTAGAAATTATGACAGTATCTAATTCTTTGATTTATTGGCACAAATATATTGCTTCTCTATAAAAAGTTTCTCTACACACACTTAAAAGTTTCTCTGCACACACTCAGACAGCAAATGTGTGGGGTTTTTTTACACCAAGCTACTGTCTGCTCTCTGGACATGAGCTGGGTGTTCTACTATTTAATCCAACTTTGACAGTGTCTATCTGGAGTTAGCATCAGATCCCATACGGGAAAGGGCTCAGTCCCACAAGACTGCCTTCACTTCAGATGCCAATCACGCAATTTCCCATCCTTCTGACCCACGGGCTGTAAATTCCCACAACCCTTCCTTAGGTTATTCTAGCCATAACTTGCTAGAATTGCTAGAAGAGCTCAAGGAAACACTTTACTCACATTTACCAGTTTATTTAAAGATACAACTCAAGAAAAACCAGACGTAAAAGAAATGTGCAGGGTAAGGGGGCGGGCAAAGCTTCCACATTTCTCCAGGTACCTTACCCACCTAGCATCTCCAGGTGTTCTGCAACCTAGAAGTTCATCAAATCTCTTTGTTCAAGAAGAGTAGTTACAGTTTTCATCTCTAACCCTACCCCCCCCCCCAACCCCTTTCCCAGAGGTCCTTCGGTGGAGCTGAAAGTTCCAGCCCTCTAATCACTTGGTCTTTCTGGTGACCACCCCCAACCTGAGGCTATCTCAGGACCCTGCCCTAAATTTTCTCATTAGCATAAACTCTGTTGTGATCAAAAGGGGCCATTATGAATAACAAAAGGTATTCTATCGCTTAGGAAATTCCGAGGGCTTTAGGGGCTCTGTGCCAGAGAACTGGGACAAAGGCCAAATATATTTCCTATTATACCACAGCTTCTTAATCAAAATAGCACTTATGTGGGCAGCCCCTCCAGTGAACCTGAAGTTACAGTAAGAAAGGGAAGAAAAGAAATCCTTATATTTTTTTGTATTGCTCTTTCTTCTCGGAATTCCTTCCTACAACTTCACAATCATCCTGTTTATAGAACATTCAAGGTCTTTGCAACTTATTCTTCACACACAAAATCAAATTCAAAAGTGATAGGATTTTTTTTTTTTTTTTGCAGGGGGCGGTTGTTATGTAGAGTTGAGATGGGCTACTGTGCTTTGAGGGTAGAGGTATTAGAACAATTGAAGGGTTTCCTGTACATTCTATGACCTCTGTGGTTTCTCCAATTGTGTTCTCCTTCCAAGACTGGTGCTGGGACAAACAAGGTGTTGAACAGTACCTGACAGGGCCACACTCCTAATTTCAACTCAAATTTTGCCAGAGAAGCTGGACTTTTTCAGGCTACCTTCTAGCACATCCTGTACTTGTTTCTTCATGCACTGGCCTCTAGCACCTGCCCTCTCTAAGGTTACAGATGATTTTCTCTTCGTTTATTCAGTGGCTTTCCCTTAATTCACATAAAGTTAATCACTTTAAAGTGAGCAGTTCTGTGGCATTTAGTAGTTTTAAAATCATTTTAAAGTGAGCAGTTCTGTGGCATTCACCATGTTGTGCAACCACCACTTCTTCCAAACATTATCATCACTCCAAAAGGAAACCCCAAGCCTGTAAAGCAGTTGCATCCCATTCCTTCCTCCCCGCCCGCAGGCCCTGGAAAGTACCAGTCTCATTCATCTCTGCAGATTTACCTATTCTGGATACTTTATATAAATGGAATCATACAATATATGACTTTATTATGTCTGGCTTCTTTCATGAAACATGTTTTTGAGGCTATTAGCTTTTACAACTGAGAGTTTGCACCAGTTGAAAGTCAGGGATTTTCCACGTGATTTTGCCACAGCACAGTTTACCCTCAGAACCTTTCTCCAGATCCCTTCAACAGTTCTTGAGACAACAGGCAAGTCTTTTTACTTTTTTCCTTCAGATCACTCAGTAAATTTTTCCTTTCTTTCTTTTTTATTTTTTGGGGACAGGGTCTCACTGTGTCATCCAGGCTGGAATGCAGTGGTACAATCATAGCTCACTACAGCCTTGAACTCCTGGGCTCAAGCAGTCCTCCTGCCTCAGCCTTACGAGTAGCTGGGACTACAGTCATGTGCCACCATGCCTGGGCAATCAGTAATCACTTTTTAAGAAGCTGCTTCATGCCAGGCACTATTTTAAGTACTGGGGCTCTAGTGGAGACAGGACAGTCAGAGTACCTGTCCTCATGAAGTTTATTTATGGGAAGAAAACCCCTGCTTCCCATTACTGGACTCCCTTTTGTCCCTGATCCCTTTTGAGAACAAAGGCAATTTTTACTGTTATAAAACTTACTTTAAAACAACATCTAATGGATTTTTCATTTTCAACTATTTCAGAATTATCTGTGTAGTCAAGACTAGGAAATGTGTCCGTGTCAGTACTGATTTTAGTGAGATTTGTGAGATGACTTTGGATTTTACTTGTCTGTTTTGAGTTTCTGATCAGCTTTGTTATTGAAAAAGAGCATTCACTAGAACAGTTTTTGATCATTAGTGTGAGATAGACTTTCAAAGCGTTTTCTGAACTGAGACAAGTTACTTTAACATTGTTGTCAATCTGATAGATAGTGAGCAGGATTTGATTGCTCTAATGGGTCAGTTGTGATAGAATTTCAGACAATGGACTTGCCTTTTTTAAAAAAAGGTTATTTTCAGGAAATAGAAAGTTCTTGAGCTATGGGCCTTGCTGAGGACTGGGCAAGTGTCTTTTCTCATTTGGTTATCTTTGTGGGATAAGTCCAGCTAGGATATGAAAAGACAAATGTATCACCTCATTTACAGTGCAGTAGAGGTGAGTAAGGGGCCTAATCAATGTTTCTTTCTTTGACTCTTTGGTCGTACCAAAGAGATTAGTCAACCAACCTCCAGTCTTAAACACTGTTAACGGTTATTTAGGATTCAGCCATACTATCGTCTCCTCACTTCACCAGAGGGAATATATATGCTGATGGCTGCCAGTCATTCCACCCCTGCTGTGTACCGGGCTCTCCCCTAGGACTTTACGTACATTTTAGTAATTTAAAGCTCCCAACAGTCTATAAGGCAGATACAATGTACTGTAATTGTCCCAAGATAAACAAATGATGGAACTGAGGCATATAGAAGTTAAATAACTTGTCCAGGATCACACAGCTAACATATGGGAGGGCTGATCCAGGATTCAAACCCAAACCTGTATGAGTACCTCCTCCAGTTGCAAAATGGCTGATAAACATTGAACATTATTCTTTTTATCCTAATTTCTATTTTATTCTATGTTTTTTCTTGCTGACTCTGAATCCATTCTCTGCTCAATAAGAGGCAGAGTACTACAAACTCAGAGTTCTCTTAAAAGTTATCTTTCCATTTTCAGAGATGGAAGCAGCTGTTTGTCATTGCTCTTATATGGTTTGTTTGTTTGTTTGTTTAGAGACAGGGTATTGCTGTATTGTCAAGCTGGTGTGCAGTGGCATGATCATGGCTCACTGCAGTGTTGAACTCGTGGCCTCAAGCAATCCTTCCACCTCAGCCTCCAGAGTAGCTAGGACAACAGGCACATGCCACCATGCCTGGCTAATTTTAAAAAATTTTTACATTGAGACAGTGTCTCACTATGTTTCCCAGGCTGGTCTCAAACTCCTGGGTTCAAGCGATCCTCCTGCCTCAGCCTCTCAAAGTGCTGGAATTACAAGCACGAGCCACTGTACCTGTCCTGCTTTTGTTTTTGTTTTTATAAAATTTCTACCTAAGTCTAATTTAGGAAAATAATTATGTAACTAATGCTCAGACACTTTGGTTTAGGTTCAGGGTTACAGGGTGCCAAGAAAAGCAGAGTATAGAATGTTGGCATTTCCCCTAGTTTAAATTGGTTCATCTATACTGAGGTATATGTTATTTTCTCCCACCTCTCCATCACCCCCTCAAACCTGTGTGTTCTGCTTTTCACCCTGGGGTAAATATGTACACCTTTATTCAATTACAGTTATTGCTGCTTATGTTTTTGTCACTTTTATTTATTTATATGTTATTGTTGTGTTCTACTTTTCTCCAGATAAATCTCTCCTGCCTGGTTTTTGCATGTGGTACTGCCCAATAAACTCCTGGATCTAGAATAAACAGGGGGAGCACATATTACAAAACCTTCTTAAAGGTTCTGCACATTCTGAGTACCAGAAGTTTGACTGTAACATTCAGTTCATCCTAGTCTTTTTGAGATTTTTTAGAAAAAAATCTTTCAAAAGATGCAACTTTTGAAAGGAAATTAAAGGTATCTAGAGGCGGCTACATCAATTCTCTATTAGGTTATTGTTTTGTAGACTGTCGAGTTCCTTTATCTTTACTCTTTAGGTAATAAAGTATTTCTCATCTCTTATACACACCCACCATTTAAGCTAAAATTGTAAGAAAATCCTGGAAATGCAATCATGGGAGACCTAACTCAATTAAAGCCATACACATGCAGAGGGTATTAATTGAGATGGGTATTACCTGCCACGGTTGGAATCTTGGTTCTTCTTTTTTTGTCATCATCATAATCATTTCTCCACCACTTTTATTGCTTTCTCTGTATATGTTGTGCTAATATAAATAAAATGCTTCCAAGTGTAAAAATAATAAAATAAACTAGCATTATTTAATTCCATTTGTTTCTTGAGCAGATCTGTATAGCTGTGTGTGTGTGTGTGTGTGTGTGTGTGTGTGTCTGTGTTTGTGTGTGTGTGTGTGTGTGTGTGTGTGTGTAATTATTTATATAATGCCTTGGTTTGGGCCAAAATTCTGTACCCATGCAGCAAGTCTATGAATAGAAGACCCTTGCATGAATTAATTCAGAATTATTTCTGGAATTGCAGGCTGTCTTTTGGAACCTCATTTATTACTCCCTATCCATTTGGTCTCATTCAAATACTCTTAGATTTTGTCTAAATTCATTTAGATTTATCACTATATCAAAGACAGGAACATTGTGCCTTTTTTAAAAAGTACCAAATAGCTCCTCTGGGAAAACAACAACAACAAAAACAAACGTTTGATTAGCTTGAGCATTATTGGTTGTGTTGGGCTATCATCAAAGAGAGCATTCAACCAAATAATTTTCCTATCAGTTACATCTTTGTATATGCAAATCTTTTTTTTCCCAAAGAGAACTTTTTTAGTTATATAAATACTCTAACATCTTTCTTGGAAACTTTTCCCACTTTCTTGCCCCAGGGGTATATTTTATGGTTGAAGTTAAATCCTGAGGAAATGGAGATTTTATTGAAAATATTGACAGAATTTAATCCACAACAGGAAGGGAGTGAGCGAGGGCAGAGTGAGTAGCACTTCTTTAATATGAAAAAATTTAAAGTCTAAAGTGAATGATTTTCTAATGAATCCTGTCAGATATTTCCTGGAATTGCCATACAAGAAATTTTCAGAAATCACAATAAATATAAGAGGTTTATAAGAGCAGAGAGTTAATAAAAGAACAGTATTACATCCAAAAGTTTAATCTTTTCCTATGGAAATTTTCCATTCCAACTACAGCTGTTTGTCAGTGTTCCTTCCCCACCACACACACACACAGATACCAAAATCCTCAGATGCCCAAGTCTCTGATATAAAATGGTTTATTATTTGCATATAACCTACAGTCATCCTCTCTCTTTACTTTAAATCATCTCTAGATTAGTTACAGTAGTTCATACAATGCCTACACATCACTTGACACAGGGAAAACTTGGGTTTTTTTTTTTTGTAACCGTGAAATTTTTTTTTACAAATATATTTGATCTGCAGTTGGTTGAATTCATGAATTTGGAACCCATGGATATGGAGGGCCAACTATATTTTACTGAGCAAAGGAATTTTTTCCTTTAGGTGCTGCTATAAATTTTATAGTTTCTTAGGCTTGAATTCGTAAAGCCGTAAAGGCAGCATTTGGTCAGAAAACGACTGTGTCATGGAAGATGAGTCTGACTTGCAGGTGCCACTTGGGCTTAGCTCCCAGCCCATCCAGATGGCACAATTCCCGCTTCTCCATGTGAGCCCCTAGGTTTGGGATCCTTGTGGAAAATCTGTGCTGCTAAATGTTAAAGTCAACCAGAGAGTTACAAAAAGAGCTCCTTTGAAAGACTAATTCAATTATTTATTAGCACTCTCAGAGTACAGTGTCAGCCAAGATAGTATTTGAAATTAATATACTATTTGATTAGACTGATTGATTGTTCCTACAGCTGAAGATTTTAACATTCATTAGCCGTACTAACTGGTCATTAGTACTTCCTTTATCAGCAAGCAAAGAATAAACAGAAATTCTAATAAAAATTCATCACAGTGAATGTACTCCGTACCTAAGCCACTGTGATGATTGCTGGGTACTAGATTAACTGCTGTAACATTGGCAGTGGGAAAGATTTCTCTTAGAAAACTTAAAAATTTCCCTTAATTAATGTTTAGCTTGTAACTGGACTCTTAAACTTAAGTAGGCTATACAGATAATCTCTTACATACCCAGTATAATAAAGTGCTAATGGGTATTTTATACTTAATGTGTTTGTGTGGTACCCTTTAACTATTAGTTTCAGGAAGGATTGAGGGCTTCTTAGGAAAGTTTGCTAACATGCTGCAGGTGACGCTTTTTCCCCACTACTGAGGAATACAAGCATCATGGGCTGTTTTTCAACCAGACAGTTAAAATAATTCTGACATTAATACAAATATGCTAGCCTGTTATGCTGTGTGATACCTCTGTCTTTCTGCCAAGTCGTGAATCCCTTGTGGTTTTAATAGCAAATTGGAAGGTATGATGTGAAGAAGAGAATGAAGCAGGCAGAGGAAACCCTTTATGAATTGACTCAAGACCACACTAGAGCGATTCTGCATGTATTAAGAATTATAGCTACTGGCTGGATGTGGTGGTTCACACCTGTAATCCCAGCACTTTGGGAGGCCAAAGTGGGAGGATCACTTGAATCCAGGAGTTCAAGACCAGCCTGGGCAACATAGTGACACCCTGTCTCTACAAAAAATAAAAATTAGCCAGGTACGGTGGCACGCACCTGTAGTCCCAGATACTTGGGAGGCTAAGGCGGAAGGATTGTTTGAGCCTGGGAGGTTGAGACTGCAGTGAGCTGTGATTACACTACTGCACTCCAGCCTGAGCGACAGAGCAAGACTGTGTCAAAAAAAGAAATACATATATATATATATGTATGGCCACCTAATACTGTCTGCCTTCTCAGCACTTCGCAAGCACTAGCTTGTTTAATACTCAGAATGATCTTGAAAAATTGACAGTGCTATCCCCATTTTACAGGCAATGAGACTGTTGCTCAGAAAGGTTATTAAGCAGCTTGTCCAAGGTCATGCATATGGTAAGCAGCAAAGTCAGCCCTTCAACCAGTCTGCAAGTTCTAGTGCCATACTCATCTGCTTGGCTACGCTGCATAAGCATAAGCTGAACTTAGAAGTTCTGTTTGTGTTTCTGTCTGTAGGTGAGCCCATCAAGTTCTGCACTATGTATATATATATATAATCTTTCTTGGCTCTAGCATGAATTCAGACAGCTGGAGAGCAAGTAAGGACAGTGAAGGAATTTGAACAGAGTCCAGGAGCCTAGCCAGCTACTGTGTCCCAAAATATGTCAAGCTCTATCTAAACAGAGGCAGAGCCAAGAAGTCCAAGGAAACATCAAGGGTCCCAAGTGGGCAGGCAGAGAGCAGCATAAGGGAATCTGGGCTACTTCATCCTGGGGTGGTCAGGAAAGTCTTCAAATAATTATTCTGGGGCTGGTGTGGGCTGGAGTGAGAGGTTCCTGTCTATCAGAAATGGGGGAAGGACTAACAGTAAGTAGTGAGCCAAGTTAACAAGGACCAAAGTGAAGTCTCTGTCACAGATAGAGACTGGAAAGAAAGGGGCTGAGAGAACTTTGACTAAGAAATTGCCCTGGAGCATTCAGGGTCTAGGAAGATACAGCTAAGGAGAATAGTCAAGTGTTGCTAGTCTTATGTCTGATTGGGAGCAGGGCCACAGTCTGAAAAGACAGATCCCTGAATAGGAACACAGAGGAAGGGGGGGTACACAGTCATGTGCCTCTGGCCCATGAAGTGCTCTACATGGTGGCTACAACTCTATTTTAAGTCCCCAGGCAAAAGCTGCTTAAAATGGAGAACCCAGGAATAGAGGCAAGAAGGAGTTTGCCATGTGTGGCTGCAGATAGTATTCTACTATGGACTCCAGAACTGAAATAGTATCAGTGTGAATGCACCTTAGGAGATGTCATAGGCTGTACTATTTTTACCTTCATTCACCTGATAGTTTTCACTCTATCCAAGATTCAAAATGTAGATGAATCAATAGGAAATGGCTAATTCCATAAATTACAATTTGACAATAATAATCTTACATTTTAGTCTATGTTATTGCCTTCAGTAACAAATTACTATTGATAGAAAAGCCTCTTTCAGTAATTTCTGGGTGTTATTTCAGAGAGGAATAGAGTTGATAATTAGGCCGTCTTTCAAGTCCATGCTTGGGGCAGTTTTCTTTCCTGAGTCTTCTGAGAGATTTTCAATGGATAAAATTTTCATGCTTGTGTTCCCTAATTCTTCTCCTTTTCTTTTTCTTTCTCTCACACAGGAGACTTTGAATGTGATTGATCCTGGCTTGATGGACCTAAATGGGATGAGTGAGGATGCCCTGGAATGGGATGAAATGGACATAAGTAACAAGTTAATTAGTTTGAATGAGGAATCAAATGACCTTGATCAAGAACTCCAACCTGTTATCCCTTCCTTGAAGCTTGGAGAGACAAGTAATGAGGACCCTGGTTATGACGAGGAGGCTGATAACCATGGGGGATCTCAGTATGCCTCAAATATTACTGCCCCCTCTAGTCCACACATTTACCAGGTGTACAGCCTCCACAATGTTGAACTCTATGAGGACAACCACATGCCATTTCTGAAAAACAATCCAAAGGTCACTGGCATGACACAGCCTAATGTTTTAACTAAGAGTCTCAGTAAAGACTCTTCATTTTCATCTACCAAATCTTTGCCAGATCTTCTAGGTGGTTCCAATTTGGTAAAGCCCTGCGCATGTCATGGAGGAGACATGAGCCAGAATTCAGGCAGTGAGAGTGGAATTGTCAGTGAAGGAGACACAGAAACCACTACCAACTCTGAAATGTGCTTGCTCAATGCAGTGGATGGGTCCCCAAGTAACCTTGAAACTGAACATCTGGACCCACAAATGGGAGATGCAGTTAACGTGTTAAAGCAAAAATTTACAGATGAGGGGGAAAGCATTAAGCTTCCAAATAGCTCTCAGTCGTCCATTTCACCAGTGGGTTGTGTAAATGGAAAAGTTGGAGATTTAAACAGTATTACCAAACATACCCCTGACTGTTTGGGAGAAGAATTACAAGGAAAACATGATGTGTTTACATTTTATGATTACTCATACCTCCAAGGCTCAAAACTCAAATTACCAATGATAATGAAACAGTCACAAAGCGAAAAAGCGCATGTGGAGGATCCCCTGCTTCGTGGTTTTTATTTTGATAAAAAATCATGCAAATCTAAACATCAGACTACAGAGTTACAACCAGATGTACCTCCCCATGAAAGGATTTTGGCAAGTGCATCTCATGAAATGGATCGCATTTCATATAAAAGTGGCAATATAGAAAAGACATTCACTGGCATGCAGAATGCCAAACAGCTCTCCCTTTTATCTCATAGTTCATCTATTGAGTCCCTTTCTCCAGGGGGTGATTTATTTGGATTGGGCATCTTTAAAAATGGCAGTGACAGCCTCCAGCGAAGCACTTCTTTAGAAAGTTGGTTGACTTCCTATAAAAGCAATGAAGATCTCTTTAGCTGTCACAGCTCTGGGGATATAAGCGTGAGCAGTGGCTCAGTTGGTGAACTAAGTAAAAGAACATTAGATCTCCTGAATCGTTTGGAGAATATCCAGAGCCCCTCAGAGCAAAAGATAAAACGAAGTGTTTCTGATATCACTCTTCAAAGCAGTTCCCAAAAGATGTCCTTTACTGGCCAGATGTCATTGGACATAGCATCTTCTATCAATGAAGACTCAGCGGCATCTCTAACAGAACTTAGCAGCAGTGACGAGCTCTCTCTTTGCTCAGAGGATATTGTGTTACACAAGAACAAGATCCCGGAATCGAATGCATCGTTCAGGAAGCGTCTGACTCGTTCAGTGGCTGATGAAAGCGATGTCAATGTCAGCATGATTGTTAATGTCTCTTGCACCTCTGCTTGCACTGATGATGAAGATGACAGCGACCTGCTCTCCAGCTCTACCCTTACCTTGACTGAAGAAGAGCTGTGCATCAAAGATGAGGATGACGACTCCAGTATTGCAACAGATGATGAAATTTATGAAGACTGCACCTTGATGTCAGGGCTAGACTACATAAAGAATGAATTACAGACCTGGATTAGGCCAAAATTGTCTTTGACAAGAGATAAGAAAAGGTGCAATGTCAGTGATGAGATGAAGGGCAGTAAAGATATAAGTAGCAGTGAGATGACCAATCCCTCTGATACTCTGAATATTGAGACCCTTCTAAATGGCTCTGTAAAACGTGTCTCTGAAAATAATGGAAATGGTAAGAATTCATCTCATACCCATGAGTTAGGGACAAAGCGTGAAAATAAGAAAACTATTTTCAAAGTTAATAAAGATCCATATGTGGCTGACATGGAAAATGGCAATATTGAAGGTATTCCAGAAAGGCAAAAGGGAAAACCGAATGTGACTTCAAAGGTATCAGAAAATCTTGGTTCACATGGGAAAGAGATTTCAGAGAGTGAGCATTGTAAGTGTAAAGCACTTATGGATAGTTTAGATGATTCAAATACTGCTGGCAAGGAATTTGTTTCCCAAGATGTTAGACATCTTCCAAAGAAATGTCCAAATCACCACCATTTTGAAAATCAAAGCACTGCCTCTACTCCCACTGAGAAGTCTTTCTCAGAACTGGCTTTAGAAACCAGGTTTAACAACAGACAAGACTCTGATGCACTGAAATCATCTGATGATGCACCGAGTATGGCTGGAAAATCTGCTGGTTGTTGCCTAGCACTTGAACAAAACGGAACAGAGGAAAATGCTTCTATCAGCAACATTTCCTGTTGCAACTGTGAGCCAGATGTTTTCCATCAAAAAGATGCCGAAGATTGTTCAGTACACAACTTTGTTAAGGAAATCATTGACATGGCTTCGACAGCCCTAAAAAGTAAATCTCAACCTGAAAACGAGGTGGCTGCTCCTACTTCATTAACTCAAATCAAGGAGAAAGTGTTGGAGCATTCTCACCGGCCCATCCAGCTGAGAAAAGGGGACTTTTATTCGTACTTATCTCTCTCATCTCATGACAGTGATTGTGGGGAGGTCACCAATTACATAGAAGAGAAAAGCAGCACTCCATTGCCACTAGACACCACTGACTCGGGCTTAGATGACAAGGAAGATATTGAATGCTTTTTTGAGGCCTGTGTTGAGGGTGACTCTGATGGAGAGGAGCCTTGTTTCTCTAGTGCTCCTCCAAATGAATCTGCAGTTCCCAGCGAAGCTGCAATGCCACTACAAGCAACAGCATGTTCTTCTGAGTTCAGTGATAGTTCTCTTTCAGCTGATGATGCAGATACAGTGGCTCTTTCAAGTCCTTCCTCTCAGGAAAGAGCTGAGGTTGGAAAGGAAGTGAATGGTTTGCCCCAAACTTCCAGTGGCTGTGCAGAAAACTTAGAGTTTACTCCTTCAAAGCTTGACAGTGAAAAGGAAAGTTCCGGAAAACCAGGTGAATCTGGAATGCCAGAAGAACATAATGCTGCTTCAGCCAAATCTAAAGTTCAAGACCTCTCCTTGAAGGCAAATCAGCCAACAGACAAGGCCGCATTGCATCCCAGCCCCAAAACTTTAACCTGTGAAGAAAATCTTCTAAACCTTCATGAAAAACGACATAGAAATATGCATAGGTAGAATGTACCCCCTCCCCAAGCATGAAAATCATCTCACTGAAAGGTACGTATAGTCCTCATGCCGTATATGTATTTAAAATATTGAGTTCAGGTCAGCAAAACCATGGCAGGAGAAAAGGCTAGTCAGAATGACCAGTTACGGCAGACAGTTATCTGAATAAGACATTTAGGTAGAAGAAATGCTCTCAACAATGAAAGTAACTGTGAAGCAAAAGAAAAAAAAAACAGGGAAAATTGACATTCTTAGTGACATTATCTTTATTACATAATTCTGGCAAGAATACAAAATTTGAGGAAGTAGTTGAACAATTTAAGGCCTCAAATTCTTCCATTGAGGGAGAATAAAAAGCTTATCCAAATCGCAATTATACTCCATGATCAAAATGCATGCATAGTAACAATGCTCTCCACTTCAGTTTCCTGCACAGAGAGCTGTCCGTTCTCTTCAGTGCCTGCAGATGAACAATGATTAGGCTAAAGGCCACATCTCCTGATTTGGCCCTTCCTTTTATGCTTCTGTCTAATGTAACTATCGTCACATTTGCTTCCCCAGTGGAAGACTGTGCTGTCACAACTCCTAATCACGGCCATGTCTAAGGATTCAAACAGGAGGGGAAAGTTGATGTTAAAGAAGAGGCTCTTATTTATCCACATACAGATTGAGAACAGGCTCAGAAAGCAAATGCAGAGAGAATACATGACAAGTTAATGGCGTTTTGATAAAAACAGAATTTTTGAATTTTGCCTGAAGGTGACAGGCTGATTTCCATCAAATTTTTTAAGAAAGTCATTCCACTCTTCACATTTAATAAGACAGCTATTGATCGATAATTCCAAGATGATGATATGTCTCTAAAAGTGACACAAAGATTCTGTTATTTCCCATTTCTAAGCCCCAGTGATGAATATGCTTTCTCAATCAAGTTTAAAGAAAATTTGAGCTTTCAAATGTGAGAGTCATATTTCACCCAAGTATGAGATGCCTAATGCCACCTCCACCCCCCACTCCAGAAGCTTAATGCCGTCACCTAAACTCGTGCTATAGGAAATGAATTACAGAAGCAATCTACCCTAATTTGTTAACTTATTCAAATAACAGTTATTATACTTAACTATGCTAAAGATTATCTTTTTTGTGGCAGATTGTTTATTTTTTGATGAGCCTAATTACTGATTTTCTAAAAGTAATTTACATTTATTACAAATACATCTTTTAAAATGTGACAGATAAATGTTGTTCCCATAATGTATTATGAAAAAAGTTACTATTTAAAAACACATTATTTAATTTGAAAGATGAATGGCAAACATCATTATTTTTTTTTCCTGCAACACCTGTGCCCTAAGCTTATTAAAATGTGTGATTCTGTGTAGAGCTGCTAGAAATGGGGACTAAGGGGGGGCATCTATACCATATATACCCTAAAAATAAACTCAGTATGCAAAATTGAAGAAAGGCATCCCACTTACTAATATAGCTCAACTAATTTTCTGTGTTTCAGACTCTATTTACAATTGGCTGCAAGTGAGAACAAAAGTAGGAGAGAGAGAAATGTATTTTCTGTGAAACATGTCCACCCTATAATCACATTCTCCATCAGTATGCAGTAAAACTGACCATTAAGGGAGAGTAACTGCAATTCCATAAGCTGCTTCAAAACAAGTCCTATTAGAACCGATTGTACTGCTGGCTCTGCCAACCTCCGCAGAAGGGCTGGTAGAGCCTGGCTGATTTTGTTTTCTGAAAGGGGATAAAGGCTTGAAAGCAACACCACTCTGAGCATGACATCATGTGACTGTGACCCTCAAGTCACCAGTCATGCTGAGATCTGGAGCTCCAGAAGCTCTGGCACTGGAGAAGCCTTTGCGAAGCACTCTCCCTTTTTTGATCCTCTGGGAATTTCTTCTCTCTCTTACATAGACGTAGAATTGAAATGAAATGTAAATGATGAGCAGCTCCATCTTTAGACTTGGAGGAAGTGAATGTGCTGGTGGATCTGTGTAACCCTCACATTTTACAAGCAGGGACAATGTCAAACTAGCAGCCAGCCCGTCTGCCAGTCAGCAGTATTTTTTGTTAAGCCCCGGTGATGCCTGGCCTTATCTCGGGCAAAGGGAGAAACAGCCAGATTTTACTTCTGCAGAACTCACATCGCCCCCAAGTGACTTGTTATAGGCCTAGAGCCATTTAAATAGCCATATTTACTGGTCCTATTCAGGATTTTTTTCAGTATCATGTGGACAAAACATCTGGATGCCTGAAATTTTTACCAGACGTTAGCATTGGATAACTGGGTATAAATAGTCACATATTGTTAAAATACTATCAACCAGGACAAATTATTTAATCTCAAAATGTTGACATGCCTTCAGTATTTAATGTCAAGAATACATAGTAAAAATTGTTTGATAAATATGAGGTTTCATGTCTACAAGAGCTTAATTGTTGTCATTGTTCTTACTACAAGTTCAGAAAAAGAAAAAGAAAAAGCTGTGCTTTTTAAAGACATTTGAAAACCATCAGTGGTGATGCTCTTTTTATCAGGACAGTAAAATTCACCAAATTCCATTTGCTTGGTTTTTTTTTTTTTCCAGAACTAAGTTTTCAGATGATGAAATGATTATAATGCCACCCAGAAGAGATATAACTTAGAATAGCAGATAGAGTCTGCAACAGTAACAAAAATGTTTTCCAGATTTTCAAATGTTTTTTATTTACTGTGTTCTAATTAAAAACCCACTGAAACTGCTTGAGAAGTTTTAACATGATCTAACAGTATGCATTTGCACTGATTTCCAGGCATACTGCTGTGCTTTTCACTATTTTCATTTTTGTGTCATGTTTCTATAAAAATAGAGGGGTCAGTTACAGCAAATCACATCAAAGGAAAGGTAACTGGATAGATCCAGATCTTTCTGCCTAATTTGGAGGAAGCACATAATGTATGTCTGGAGTGCCTCCTAGGACCTGCCTCAGAGATGTACTTTGCGCTAATCTTTTTGCTGTATTCTGACAGTTATTTCTTCATAATCCTCATCATAAGCCTCTGATCTTTGATGAATGGTTTAACCCTAAACTTCAGGCTGGATAAATCCCGTGGTATAAAAATTTAACTCATCATATGCGGCCAGTGTGTGCTTTTTCTTTTCCTTTTGGTCTGCTCTAGTGATTTGGGGTTTTGTTTTACTATGTGTATGTGTATGAGTGTGGTGTTTTGGGGGGTGGGTTGAGGAGCTGTATTTACTTACAGTGCATATATTTCCTTTAGAACTTTTTAGCTTTATTGCCTTTTCTACTTTATTGGTCTGTAAATGTGATAGTTGGTGGCCAGTAGATTTTAGATTTTAGGCAATTACTTGTATTTGTGCATGCTCAAGTACGCACATAAAGAGTTTTAAATGCTGCTGCTCAGATTTTACAAACTGAGAAAGCTGTAAGAGCAAACATTTCTCATGCACACAGCACAATTCCCATTCTGTTAATTGGATTGACATTAGGTGCTTAATATTTTCCAAAGCTGGTCAACTAGGTTTAAGAAACTACCTTTGGTGATTGTGTATGAATTTTGCACTAGACAATACAGGTATAATCTTATCAAACTTACCTTTAAAATCACTTTAATAAACCAATGTTTTGCTGGATGTGAAGTGTCTTTAAATTATCTGGCACTTCTGAATAACTAGCCCTGCTATGCTAAATGACAAGGATGTTACTGGGCATCACCTATCATCTATCTCTCTCTCTCTCTCTCTCTCTCACACACACACACACACACACACACACACACACACACACACACTCTCACACCCCAGATCTGTGCCTCAGCCAATTGGCCTGCCCATTTCCAAGTGGGCCAAGTTGAAAGAATTGATTACCTAGAGAGAATTTAAATGCCAGCATTTAGTAAGACCAGATTTGCCTCACCTAGGGAATCCCTATTCTGTGGCCAGATTTCAAATGAGTCATGTCCTCAGCATTTGAACAATGCACTGGGCTTTCTTGTGTTACTGCATTATTTTACTATACCAAATTTCATCCCATCTGTTTCTGTCTGTCTCCCCCAGTTCTTTATCTAATTTTTCTTCTTTCTCCAACTCCCCATGGCTCCAGCCAAACCACTTTTTGTTAAGGTTTTTCTGGCTCTTAAGTTGAAAGATTGTAGAAAAACAGAGAGCAAGACAAAGAGCATATTCGTTCTTGAAGGACAGTAAAACAACCTGATATGAGAAATCAGAACTCAGTTTAAGCCCAGACAAGCAAAAGCCTGCTTTCTTTGAGAGCTGGTCAGGGGGACTTACAATAGTTGCATCCTGCATTGCCTAAACTTGGTATTTAGGTGTTCCTCACATTTGACCAGTTGCTTTTAGCCATTTAGAAACAGGCAGAATGGATCAAGTTTGGAAGAAATTTATATCATAGCCATGAGATGTACAAATATAATTGAATCCATCTCGTTTCCACAATGCTGTATGTACCTTAAATGAAATGCATTACTATTTGAGCTAGAAGCCCCAGTTGTATCTTTTTATAGGCTGAAACACTTAGGATAATCACAATGTTGTGAATATTTCACCACTATACAATAGTGGAATTGTTCGATATCATGCATAAAATCACTGCAGGAAGGGTTAAGCCTGAGAGCCTATCAGCTCCCAGTCTGTGGAATCATTGTACATTGTAAATATTTTGCCGCATCACTTGGCATCAGTGGCCTCACATTTTCATATTGGTTTGAAGCTATTTTGATGTTCCAAACTGAGTGCACAGGCAAAAGAGTGGATGACATCCAGAGAAAAGGTCAAACTTGATGATTTTTCTTGTTTTCTTTGAAACCACGTCTTTTTAAAAAAAAAAAAAAATCAATGTATTTTTCACATCTACGCTGAGACTTTTTTTGTCAGTAATGTGAAGCTTGGGCTATTAAAATTATTTATATTTTATGTATCTTTATATTTCAGAACATTAGCAAGTAGTCCCACAATTGCAGCCTTCAATGGTTCCTCAAAGGGCTTGGTTTTGCTAATGAAAAATACATTTCTGAAACCTTTTCTTGTCACTTTTTTGTTTCTTGTAGATACGCCTGGCTGCAACTCAGGGGTGGCCTCATCCTCCCGCCCTGGGCTGGCCTCTGGTTCCATCACGTTTGTCACTGCCGTTTATTACATTGACTTCTCCCAAGATGAATCTTCCTTCCAAATGTGTTTTCTCCACACAAGCCTTGTGATCTGAATGTGTGCGCTGGTTCTCTTTAGGTGATCGTCTTTGAAGTTCAGCAAAGCTGCTTGTTCTCCCATGGATTCCTGTCCCAAGCTACCTCTACCAACCCTCTCTCTCCAGCTAGACTTTTCTCTTTGCCTCCTCCCTTCCCTTCCACTCTTTAAAGTTCTGCAGTTCACCAACTGGTAGTCCATTAAATTCTCCTGTCTAGAATGACCCCCCCACCAGTACTTGACCAATTTCATGTATCAATCTGGATTTTTTTTTAACGGTATAATGACTGTGTTTATTGAAAGAGTTTTACCTAAAAAGCCAACATTTGAATTGGTTGCAGCATAGAGAAGAAACACTGGTCCTTCTTTCAAAATTAAGCAACTATTAAAAGCGCCATTTTATTTATTTCATTTAAAAAATAATCTATGCAGCATTTCAAGAAACAACCATATGGTGTTGTATATTATAAACTGGTGACATTCTACTATTGAATTATGTACAACATTTTCATTTTTTATGCTTCTTGAGGTGGTAATGAGAAAAAAGTTTTTTAAAAAAGTGTGCCTTGCTGTATTTCTTATACCATTTATTAAAAAGCTGCTTTCACGGTAAAATTATGTTGGTTTGAAAGGAGGAAATAGCAAGGTTAAGATGTGTGAATAATTTCTGTATATATGTATAACCAAGTACAAACATTGATGTATAATGACAGTATAAAATGCTTTCATGTTTGTGATGTCTAGTGATGTGGAAAATATAAGCCTTAAATCCATTAGATTGCATGGTAATTAAAATTGGCATAATAAACACAGATTATTGGGGGAAAAGGAAAATTAGTGATCTCTTCTACTATGTTCTTTACCAAATTGTTGCATCTGGTTCTGAAAAAGTATAGCATGTAGCAGCTTCCAAACATATTCATATTGCTTAAGAGGCTTAACATTACCTAAACTAGAGACTAGACGTAAAGCCTTCAGTTTTCAAAATCTTTCTGGTCACTATAAAGATCTTGGAACAGCAAATGATTAAATGTCAGTTCCCCTAAACCAATAAACATTTATACTAGATTTTTTATTTCCACTTATCATTAATGATTTAATGTTGGATTTCAGGTACCTTGTATGTCTTAATTTATTTTAAATATTTATTTTGAATGAGTTTGATAGAAAGCTAGTAGAAAAGTACAGAAAATTTGACTATTATTTATAGATTTCAGGTATATTTATATGTGTAAAAGAAATTGACAAAGAAATATTTCATCTGGCCTTTACTGACTCCTGTTAAATGCAGTTTTAAATTTATATCGTAACACCTACTTAAGTGCCTGACACAGTAGGTATTCAATAAAAATTTACTGAATTAAAGGATTAAATTAGGTGACATGGTGACATCTATCCCTTTATTTTGACACTAAAACATGGACACAACTAGAAAGAGGTACAATGCAATATAAAGTCACAATAGATAATATATATCAAATTTCTAAAAGGTAAAGAATGTTGTGGGTTCATGCAGTCACAGGAATGACAATCATTCAACAGATAGTTCAGAAACACTTTTTATCTGCAAGGCACTATTCTAGATCCAGAAGATGCAATGTTGAACAAACAGACAAAGCCCTGCCCTCAGAAGGCTGTCCTGCATTAGGAACAAGTGAACACGCAAATGACATGAAGTATTTGTTGCAGAGCTGAGGAACAGAGCAAATGTAGTGATAGAAGCGCAATGAGAGAAGCAGCAGTGGGTACAAGGAGGAAGAAAAAGGGCTTGCAGAGAGTGGAAAGTTAGTGGAATATTCATGAAACTTCATTGCAGGGGTAATAGAAGAAAAAGTAAATTGGGAGGACTTAATGGAAGGTCTTTTAAAAAGTTAACTTGGAGCTTCTGTATGTAAAATGCTAGGTAATAAGGACACTTTGTACAGGCTGTTTTGCACCTGATTTTATTTATCATTAGTGCCACGCCAAGATCATTTAGACGATGCTTATCTGTAATTCTACCACTTTAATAACTATTTGTATTTTTATGCCCCTTCTGATCTTTTCCATATGTATTTCTAAATGGATAAATTATTCTAGGCTTCTTAATAGGTAGTAATTTGTTCAAAAGCGGTTTTAGCCAGACATCTAGTTGCAGTGTTCAAGAGGATTATGGGGGAAAGAGATTAGAGATAATTGTCTAGTTAGGGGGCAGCTGGAGAAAATAAGCTAAGTTTGCAATAACAGAGTACACAAGTATAGTGGCCCAGGATGTAGTGAAAGAACAAATCCTAGAGTCTTTGAAATTTCTAAGGGCATTCTAGACCTCTGTTGGGATATGGTATTATTTTACATACTGACACAACCTAAATTTTCTTTGGGTAGTAACTAATGTCAAGTCTACATCGACTGGTAAAACATTCAAAGAACAAACTGACAATGATGTTCTACCTACTTGTTACATGCTCATGGAAGACCGTGCAGTATTGAAAGTATTTGTTAATTATCTGCTTAGTATTAACACTAAATTTGTAGAATGACTTTCAGGTTTGTTGAACAATGCCTTTTCAGGTTGGAAGAAGAAAAATAGCCTCAATCTCCCACCCCATGTAGGCACTACCTCCCCAATTACCCTTAGAAAATGATCACACCAACTCTGCCTACACACTTCCAGTGATAGTGGCTCATTGTCTGTTAAGGCAAACTGTTCCACTGTTGGGCATATCTCTTTGTTAGAAAGTTCTTTCTTAGGTTGCTAAAATCTGCCTAGTACCCCGCTACCCTGTTCTGTCTTATGGAGCAGCCCAGATTATCTTTACTCCCTCTTTCTCATGGCAACCCTGAAGATAATCAAGGCCAGTTACTCATCATCTCCCAACCACTGTTTCCTCAACTGCCCTTCATATGTCATGGTTTTCAGATCCATTCCAACCTGACTGAATGTTAACAGACAGAATTCTTCACATTAAGGAACTGTCTTCATCATCATACATGTAGAAAAGAATCTGAACATTTAAGTGCGAAGTTTTCTCTAGAAATATATTCAAGATATGTTTATTCTATTATTGTAAATTTCAAACAATAAATAAATAAGAATCCATGACTTCCTTCAGTGGCCCAGTCCAGTGCCTAAGTCATCTGGAATCTTCTCCTTACATCGAATACAAACCTAACCTGTTTCCAAGTAGGGCACTCCCTCCGCTTATTTATTCATTTATTCAGCCATTCAGCAAACATTTATTAAATGGCTACCTATGTGAGGCACTATATTTGGCATTAGGTATATAAAGGCAACTAACACATGGTATCTGTCTCCAAAGGTTTACAGCTTTTCTTCTGAAAGTGCCTTTTGTGTCCTTGAATAGAGTGATTATGACTTTTGTCTCAATTAAATGATGACCTCATTTAGTTTCTGATGAAGTTTCTCTACATTTAAGAAAATCTAGTGAGCAAAACGGTATACAAAAAATCATCTGGATCTGACTACCAGAAAAAGTAAAGTGGTTTTAATTACAGAAAGAAAAATATTTGTTAGATTTCTGGTCACTGAATAAATATGCATCTTATACAACACAGAACAACCTAAATTTAGGGCTTCTGGAAACCTGAGTTTGATGACTTTGTTGTGTTTGGTTCATCCGGACTAGGTTTCACCCATTCTATAATTCCTAGAAACAAACTAGATGAAAATATCAATGAAATGATCCAGGTCTGTCTTACAAGTCAATTTGCTTTAGCTTCCAAAAGAAGTTGAAATTTTTTAGAATTTTAAAGAAAAACTCACTTTTCAAGTGTCATATAATTCTTATATTTTAAATATAAATCGAACCAACTAAATTTACCGCTATATTTTTTTCTACATATTCTTTTTTCAATTTTCATTTTGAAAAAATTCAGACCTATGTAAAAGTTGAGAGTAGAACAAAGATACTTGGTACTCATCCCTCAGGTTCATTTATTGTTAATATTTCACCATATTTACTTCATCTCTGTATACACACACACTTTTTTGTATGATTAAATCATTTGAAATTAAATTGTAGAGTATGATACTTCATCTGCAAATACTTCAGCATGTGTTAGCTGAGAACATGGGTATTCTTCTGCAAGTCTACAATACCATCTTCATACTCAAGAAATGTAACATTGGCTGGTCATGGTGGCTCACGCCTGTAATCCCAGCACTTTGGGAGGCCAAGGCGTGTGGATCACCTAAGGTCAGGAGTTCGAGATCAGCCTGGCCAACATGGTGAAACCCCGTCTCTACTAAAAATACAAAAATTAGCCAGGCGTGGTAGCTGTAATCCCAGCTACTTGGGAGGCTGAGGCAGGAGAATTGCTTGAAGCCAGGAGGCAGAGGTTGCAGTGAGCCGAGATTGCACCACTGCACTCCAGCCTGGGCAAGAAGAGTGAAATTTTGTCTCAAAAAAAAAAATGTAATATTAATACAATAATACCTGATAGTTTATATTCAAGTTTCTCTAACTACCCAAATTATGTCCTCTTATAGTTGTTTTTGTTTTAATACAGTATTCAAACAAAGATCACACACTGCTTTTAGTTTCCAAGTCTTTTTTTTTTTTTTTTTTTTTAAATCTTGCATAGTTTCCCTGTGCTTTTACTCTATTTTTCTTTGGGCTTTTATAACATCGACAGTTCTGAAAAGTCCAGGCCAGTTTTGCAGAATGATCCACAATCTTGATGGGTCTAGTTGTTTTCTCATTGTTAAACTCAGGGTAAACTTTTTTTTGTCAAGTAAATACATAGGTGACTTTGCATTCACAGCCACTCTTTAATGAAGATTGATTGAATAACTGACATTCCTGATATGTTTTAAAGTTCACAGCTTACTCTTTCAGCCCATGCTTCATCCATCTAAGGCAAGGGTCAGCAAACTGTGGCACGTGGGCCAAATTCAGCTCGTTGCCTGTTCTGGTTTGACCCATTTGAACAATTGACGAGCTTCAAACAATTTTTACATTTTTTAGTAGTTAAACAAAAGAATACTTCATGACATGTGAAAATCATATGAAATTTAAATTTTGGTGTCCATGTATAAAGTTTTATTAGAACACATCCACGCACATTTGTTTCCATAGTCTACGGATGCTTTGACACTATACAAAGTTACGTACTTGCAACAAAAGCCATATGGCCTGCAAAACCTAAAACATTTACTATCTGGATCATTACAGAAAGTTTTCTGATCCCTGGTCTATGATATTCTAAATTCCGACACATTTTCTTAGGATAGATTTCCATTTGCAAATTCAGTGTAAGACATAAACACCGGCAATAGTTGTGTTTTTTTTTTCTTTTTACTTCCTAGATTTTATTGCATTCTCAACTTGTTTCATATTACCTTAAAAAATAAAGTGCACTTAAAGATTGTTTCACATCCACAGTTTGTTTAAGGATTTAAATTTAGTTCACTATTACTGCCTGGCTTTGATTGATTTAGAGGGTTAGTCAATTACAGACTAAATAATTAGTTCAATCAAAACCATCAGAAAAATTGACACAAACTCACTTCCATGCACCAGTAAACTGGAATCCTTTCTTTAAATGTTTTTCTAAAGCAATCCGAGGAATTAAATTCAGGCCATTTCACAGTCAGTTTTTTTCAAATTCATTTTTCAACTCAAAGGCAAAACCATGATCAAAATATTGTATATAGTACACCTTCAGTTCCCAACTGCTGAATTTACCAAGGAATTAAGTATTCACCACAAACCCTGGTGTGGCCATAGGTGGACACTCTAATTAAAAAGAAGATGTTCAAAAAGAATAGTCCTTCTTTTCTTTCTTAAATTCACCTTTGATAGCACTGCCACACTTCTGGGAAGGGAACGTTCAAGGAAACCGTATAGCCACTTCTTTTTTAAAAGCAGCCACATACCTTCTATATAACAATGGCCCTTTAGTTTGAGAGTTGCCACATATTTGCATTTCCAGAGTAAAATAATAGGATGACATGGGCAGGTCAGGCCCACAATAGTATGGTTTCTTTGGCAAAGGCATTTTGGCCAATGCCGTAAGACCATTCTGGCCCTTGATTAATGGGTTCTCACCAAAGCAGAAATTACGCAGAGCTTATTTGTCCTTGCATTTTGAAGTAAATCATTGCCTGCATAAAGCAACTCTTTTGTCTCTTTTCCATTGCAACACACAGGAGTTGGAATGTGTTCATACGTGTAAGACTGTCTTAGTCTGCCCAGACTGCTTGGACTGTGTTGTTTATAAACAACAGAATTTACTGCTCAAAGTTCTGGAGACTGGGAAGTTCAAGATCAAGATGCTAGCAGATTCAGTGTCTGAGGAGGGCTCACTTTCTGTTTCATTGATGCACCTTACTGCATCCTCATCTGGTGGAAGGGGCAGTGAACAAGCTCCCTTGGGCCCCTTTTACGAAAGCACTAATTCCATTCATGAAGACTTCACAACTTAATCACCTCCCAAAGGCTCCATCTCTTAATACGATCACATTGGGGATTAGGTTTCAACATACCAATTTTGGGGGTACACAAATATTGAGGTGATAGACACTTCCAGGCTTTTGCCAAACATTAGTAAACAATTTCCAGTGAATACTCTGCCCCATTCTCTCCTACTCAAGCAGAGTATCTTAAGGCAGCAGATTGGAGTGACGTTACTTTAAGGGTAACTTTGAAGCCAATCTAATTCATACTCAAAAAAGTATTCCAAAATTTTGGTACTCTATTATGGGTTACAAACCCCTTGTGACACCATATTTAAGAGCCACTGCTATTGAGGCTTGCACTCTCTTGCTTGAAATGAGGTGCTCCCAAACCTGGGAGATGGCTCCCAAAGAACAAGAGAATCAACCCCATCGTGCATTTATGTGCTGCCCCAGGTAATCCACAGGCACAAAGAACTTGAGCTTCCTGGTGTGTTCTTCAGAAAAAAAGGAATTCAAAAAGCAAATGTAAAATGGAACAGAACTTGGCCTCAAAGTGATGTTGGAAAAATAGCCAGTCCTGATGACTTGGTCGAGGTAACTTGCTTTGCCCACTGTTAACTACAGAGCCATATGATAATGGAACATCAAGGTTTTCCAGATAAACCCAAAGCCTTTTGTGTCTATACCTTGTAACCTGTCATGTTCATCAACGTTTTAGACTGTACCATTGCTCTTTCTCCCTTCTTTATTCATTTTATATGGGGACGTTTGACTAGGATCACCAGATGTAGATTTGGTAATTTTTCCATACCATTAAGATGTATGATAATGGATTTTATTAATTTAACACAAATGCATAAAAATATGATGTAATAAGAAACAATCCTGAAATTATTAAAACATTTCTTTGTCCTTACTTAAACCTAACCTGCCATTTTAAAAGACACCTAACTCTATAAACAAATGGGCCATTACAGACGTAAAACAAATATTATTCAGTGAAATTTATTCAAGGACTTAAAATGATTGAAGGCATTAGGAACATAAAAATGCATAAGATCCTCTTTTAAATCCCAATATTCCCTAACCACTGGTTTATAAAAAATACTCTAAGGTTTATAGAATTAGTTTGGTTCCGTTAGTTGATCAAGTTACTTACACTAAGTCAGCAATTCAAAACAAATAATTCCCTCTGTGTGTGTTTGTTTGCTTGCAAATATGTTTCATTTTAAAGTGTCTTTTTATATAGAAAGCCAAGTTGGTGGAATTTATCTTGTCATTAAAATGATGTGAAAATCAAATCATTCTTCATATTTGTGCTCTTATCCCTGCCGATCTCAAATAACTAATGATGCTTACGGCAAGGTTTTATAAAGTGAAAACGCCTTAACTTTTCAGGAAACAATTCTATTTTTACATATGTACCATTTGCCTCTTTCCTAAACACTTCTATCAGTGTTCTAAGTTCCATATATTCTTTTGTAATTTACCAGTGACATCTTCCCATGCAAACTATATTTAAAAATATTTTTTAGTAAGTTAAATCACTAATCATTTACAGGTTGAGGCATTTTCTTTTTTTTTTTTTTTTTTTTTTTTTGAGACGGAGTCTCGCTGTCGCCCAGGTTGGAGTGCAGTGGCGCGATCTCGGCTCACTGCAGGCTCCGCCTCCCGGGTTCCCGCCATTCTCCTGCCTCAGCCTTTTGAGTAGCTGGGACTACAGGCGCCCGCCACCTCGCCCGGCTAATTTTCTGTATTTTTAGTAGAGATGGGGTTTCACCGTGTTAGCCAGGATGGTCTCGATCTCCTGACCTCGTGATCCGCCCACCTCGGCCTCCCAAAGTGCTGGGATTACAGGCGTGAGCCACCGCGCCCAGCCGAGGCATTTTCTATAGGAATGAAATAATGCTCTAGTGGGTAAAACTTTTTTTAAAAAGACAAAACAGATTCTGTTTGATTCAGAATGATTGGACAACAGACTATTCTTATCAACCTTAGGGTGTGATTATTTAACTCATTTGTGACTTACTGGCAACTCAAACAGTTTTAAACAAAACTTAATCCTTGACGGTTCAGCTTCACCATATGATTACCAATTATTGTTTAGTGTTGTAGATGAGTAAATTATAGGAAATCAGGCTAAATAAGTAAACATACTCTGGATATTATTTTTTAAATCAATCTAATAAATCATTATCCCTTGAGTGCTTGCTATATGCCAGGCACTGTGCTAAGCACTTTACATACTCAATTTAATCTTCACAATACTCTGTGATTGGTGCTATCCATTCTATATAATAAGGAAATTATCTCATTTGCAATCGAGATAAATAAGGATTTGCAGTAGTCCTCCCTTACCCAGTCTCTTTTTGCATGCAGTTTCAGTTACCTGCAGTCCCAAAATATTAAATGGGAAATTCCAGAAATAAACCATTTAGACATTTTAAATTGCATACAGTTCTGAGTTGCTTAATGACATCTCCTGCAGTCCCTCCTTGTCCCGTCTGGAGGCGAATCCTCTCTCTGTCCGGTGTCTTCACTCTGTAGGTGCTGCCCATCATTAGTCACCCAGTAGCATCTTGGTTATCAGAGCGACTGTCTTGATATCACAGTGCTTGAGTTGAAGCAACCCTTGAACCTAAAGTGCAAGAGTAGTGATGCTGGCAATTCGGATATGCCAAAGAGAAGCTGTCAAGTGCTTCCTTTAAATGAAAAGATGAAAGTTCTCAATAAGGAAAGATAACAAATAGTATGCCTAGGTTGCTGCAATCTATGGTAAGAGCAAATCTTCTATCCATGAAATTGTGAAGGCAGAAAAAGAAATCCCAGCTAGTTTTGCTGTTACAAACTGTAAAAGTTACAGCCACAGTGTATAATAACTTTTGTTGCAGTATAGTGTTGTAATTGTTCTATTTAATTGTTGTTGTTAATTTCTGTGCCTAATTTACAAATTAAACCTTATCATAGGTATGTATGTGTAGGGAAAAACATGGTTGAGCTATAGGATTTCATACTATCCCAGATTTCAGGCATCCATTGGGGGTCTTGGAACGTATCCTTCGAAGATAAGGGAGGATTACTATAGTGAATGGTGCTCATTTAATATCCACATATACCTTGCTAAATTTCCTGCCTATATTAAATGCTTATTAAATATATAATTCATGCCAAAACTGAAGAAAGGACTTTCATTTTAAAAAGGATTTCTTATAAAAATTCTATAGGAGAAGTGATAGCTAAATTAGCGCTTGAAAAAGGCCAAAGAAAATTGTATACTGTATATAATTATGCCTCATTATGACCTCTGCACATTTTCCAGAAAAGTTAGGCATTAAAAACACACACAACAGGAACACCTTAAAGGTCAGAGCCTGATGAAAGAAAAATGCAATACTTCATTATGAAGAATGAGATTAATGTTCTAGTACGAACATACATTTTTATCATTACATTTTGCTCAAGAAATACTTTAAAACATGCAACTTCTCATTGTGTATTTTGTTTAATATCTGAGGTGGTGGAGAGAGAGAATTCTATGAAGTATAAATTTCAATTTAGTGAAATAAAAATGTGGGTTTTGCTGTATTCCTACCACCTATTATGTGACTCTTCTTTACATGAGACTTCACCCCTCTCCTCCCAAAGACATTCTGGCTTTAAGAGTAAATACTAAAGTCTCGGTGCGCAAAAAGTTTAATTCAAACTTTCTCATTATTTTCAAGAGCTGCTTTCCTAAGATAGCACAGTTTGTGCATCATATTTGCTACTTTCACCACTGGCAGGACATCTGCTATAAACATTTAAAATAACAAATGACAACTGTTTTTTTACTTTTTAAAAATTATTTTAGGTTTATAAAATATTGTAAAACCAAAAATAGTACACTTTAACCACACTCACCTTTTCTTAATATTTCACCCCATTTGCTTTATCATTTATGAACTCTATCTACCTGTCTGTCTATGTATCTGTCTCTCTATCAGTCTATGTATTTATCTGTTTTTTACTTTTCTGAACCATTTGAAGGTAAGTTGCACACATCATGGCCTTTTATCCCTGAATGTTTCATTGTATATTTCCTAATGCGTATGTACTTATATTCTCTTAAATAACCATAGTACAGTTATCAACTTTATAAATTTCCATTGATGCATTATTTCTATCGAATCCTTTCACATTCCAATTTTGTGAGTTTTCCTAATAATATCTTTTATAGCATTTCCCCCCCTTCAGTACATGATTTGGGTATTAAATTTAGGTGTCGTATCTCTTTAGCCTCCTTTAATCTGGAGCCATTTTTCCAGCTTTTCTTTGTCTTGTTATGACATTGACAATTTTGAAGAATAGACCCCCCCGCCCCCACCCCCCCCCACACACACACTTTTTGACAAGATTTTTCTTCAGTTTTTGTTTGCCCTTTCCTTGGGATGAGATTGAATTTACGCATTCTCAGCAGAAATGTTGCATGGGTGGTGGTCTCTCCTCAGAGTATCATATCTGGAGAAATGCAATGTCCATCTGTCCCCCGTAGGTTATGTTAATTTTGATCATTTTGTGGAGAGATGCTTTAAAACCATGCAAATATCCTGCCCTCTTCAAGTTTTCTCCTATATTTAGCATCAATGGGTAATTCTTGTCTAATCAGTCTTTACCAAGATGGTTGTGAAATTGTTTTTCCAACTCTAGTACTCTGTCCACGTTTATCACTTGGCCCTTTGTATTACCCAGTAAAATCCCTTCCTTCACTCCTACTTATTTACCTCTTTATCATAGACAGAAACTTATGAATTCCTTTTCCCCAATTATTTATAATTTATTACTTAAATTATTTTGGGCTCAAATTGTCCCAGGTTTGGCCAGTGGGAGCCTCTTCAATCTGGGTCTTGTATCCTTGTGACCTCTTTTAAACAATTTCTTAATTTCTTACAAAGTGCTCTGGTCTTGCACCTAAGTGTCCCAACTCTTGAATCAGCCATGTCTCTGAGGATCCCTGGTTCTTTTTAATAGGGATTGGCATTAGAGGCCAAGATTTTAGTGTTAGGTGTGTTTATTGCTACTAGGGTATCTTTGCTTCTTGATGCTTTCAGCCAACAAGGTTAGGAAATACGTGAACTTCTATACACATTAATGTAAACATATATACAATTTTATATGCACAAAGGCATATTCATACACACATATAAATGTGTATACACACATATTTTAGAAATCAAGAGCTCACATCAATGTCTCCAATTTTAGTCCATTCTCACAGGATTCTTTCTTTACTTCCCTGATTCCATATTTGTATTTCCCTTCTTTCACTATAAGAACCATGGATAACAACATCAACATATATACCCATTTGCTAAATAGCATAATACATTTAAAATAGTGTCAGAATTGCTTAAAAACCATTATAATCAACCTACTTAAAAGAGTTCAGGATTCATTTACAATTATCCCATCTCCTACCCTCCCCTTCCCAAATACCAAGTGCTATTCAATACTAAGGGTGTGTGGTTAAATACTGTGTTCCAAAGTTCATAAGCTACATGGATTGGTTTCTTTCTCCCCTTCCCTTCCCTCCCCTCCCCTCCCCTCCCTCCCCTCCCCCTCCCCTCCCCCTCCCCTCCCCTCCCTCCTGTCCTCTTCCTCTCCTCTCCTCCCCTCCCCCCTCCTCCCCTCCCCTCCCCTCCCTTCCCTTCCCTTCCTTCTCTCTTCCTTTCTTCCCTCATTTCTTTATTCCCTTCAATATAATTATGGCATTCATTTAAAATAATTAAAGTTAAGTCCATTTGTTCCAGTTTCCTTTCAGTTTAGGTTATTTTTTTCTTCCCTCCCATTCTTATTGTTCTAATTTTATTTTTTGAACCTGTAGAATGCTGATATGGATTGAATATTTGTCCCCTCCAAATCTTACATTGAAATGTGACCTCCAAAATTGGAGGTGGGCCGGGGTGTATCCCTCATGAACGGCTTGGTGCTCTCCCAGCAGTAATCCCACTCTGATAGTTCACATGATATCTAGTTGTTAAAAAGAGCAGTGGTTCATGCTTGTAATCCTGGCACTTTTGGAGGCCAAAGTGGGAGGATTGCTGGAGCCCAGGAGTTCAAGACCAGCACGGGTAATGCAGTGAGACCTTGTCTCTACAAAAAATTAAAAAATAAAAAATTAGACACTGGGTGTGGTGGCACATGCCTGTGGTCCTAGCTATTTGGGAGGCTGAAGGGGGAGGATTGCTTCAGCCTAGGTGGTCAAGGCTGCAGTGATCACTCTACTGTACTCCAGCCTGGGCAACAGATTGAGATCCTGTTGAAAGAAAGAAAAAAAAGAAAAATAAAAGAAAGAAAGAAAGAAAGAAAGAAAGAAAGAAAGAAAGAAGAAAGAGAAAGAGAGACAAAAGGAAGGAAGGAAGGAAGGGGAAGGGAAATGAAGGGAAGGGAAGGAAGGAAGGAGAAAAAGAGAAAGAAAGAGAGAGAGGGAGGGAGGGAAGAAGGAAGGAAGGAAGGAAAAAAGGAAGGAAGGAAGACAGCCTGGCATCTCCCTTGCCTCCTCTTTCACCATGGGACACACCTGCTTCTGCTTTGCCTACTGCCATGAGTGAAAGCTTCCTGAAGCCTCCACTGGAAGTGGATGCTGGAGTCATGCTTCTTGTGCAGCCAGCAGAACGGTGAGTCAAATAAACCTCTTTTCTTTATAAATTACCCAGCCTCAGGGTAATTCCTTCATAGCAACACAAATGGACTAACACATGTGCTTTCCAACTTAAAACTATACAAAAAGCTGCACTCAAACAACCATCACTGCCTTCCCTATCTCTTCCATCCCATTTCCTCCCAGCCCTTGTAAATACACAAATTCATTGTTTCTGGCTGATTCTTCTTCGGTTTCTTTCTGTAATAATAAGGAGATATATGTATATTTTTGTATTTTCCTTCTTTCTAGCCTCAAAAGTATCATACTAAATGTATTTTTTGTCTTTGAGTTTAAAATTTAATATCCTTTAGAAATCACTCCACATTAGTTCATAGATATCTTTCTCAGTCTTTTATAATTATGTGACACACACTGATATCACAACCTTTTTGAGGTCCTTAAAAAATATGAAAGGAGATTGGATTTCATTCCATGCCTGTATTATGTGAAAGGATTAATGACATGAGAAAAACTTTTCAAGAAAGGTGTTGGCATAAATGACCATATCTGCTGTGTTCATTGTCTAAGAGCAACTGTGCTTTAAGTCCATCTTTTCATGCTTCTCTTTGACTTTCCTCTGGCAGTTACCCCTATTCTCCTGTCCCTTAACTAAATTTGATGCCCCTCTCACTCTGCCAACAACTGGCTACTTTCCCTAGGCCAGTGCAGTGTGCACGCACTGTTGAGAGAAAGTTTTGGATGGCAGCAGATATTTAAGCATGGGCTTGCACACTGCATAAAGACTCCTAGCTGGAGAGGCCAGTCAGGATGAAATCCATCCAATATTCATCTGGCCAAGTCATGCTGGCTCACATGTTGAAAAATGTCTTCCAAGAGGAAGGGATGCATTTTCTTAGTTTTCAAAAAGACACTGTAAAGTCTAGTAGCAGCCCTGTCCTCAACCCTCCTTCCCTGTAGAGTTACCATCACATCTGTCCACCCTACACAATCAGACTTCTCAGAGTTTCATCTTAGCCATATCCCTCCCATTCATTCTTCCTCTGCAGTCCTATTTCTGCTCCCTTCCCTTTCCTGTAACTGCTCAACCACAATGCCTCAGGAAATCTTAATCCTACCCAACACAAAGAAGCTTTTAGTGCTTGAAACCTTTCTTGAGAGTCCTTTTTCTTGTTTTCTGAATCCTAAAATTCTCTTTTCCCTCCTTCATTTTGACACGTGTCTCCTTCCTTATCTACTAAATGTCTTCCAGTTTCCTTCTTAGCTTTCCTCTCTTTTCACTCTGTAGTTCCTATCTGAGTTATTTCTGTATTCCTATACTATCTGCTCACCTCGAGGTGTAAAGTTCCAGCATTTCATCTCTAAACTTGACTTTTCTCAGGTCTAGGTCCATCTTTCCACTTGGTGGTTTCCTTAGGACTTCATACTTTAAAATCAAACATGATTTTCTACTCTTACATATAACATTTCCCATCTCAGGTAATGGCATTCACATTTTCCTAATTGTTCAAGATTCAAACTCTGGGATATCTCTGATGTTTTTCTCTCCTTCTCCTTCTCCTTCTTTTCTCTCTCTCTCTCCCCTCCTTTCTCTCACTCTAAATCCCCTAATGTGTCTAGAAAGGTCCTGGTTGAAGCTCTTCCCCACATTTTGAAACCCTTTTAAATACTTTTCATTTCCATTCCCACTCTGATGACAAGACTCCTATGATTTTTACATGGTGGCTATGACTTCCTGATTCTGGCTGGGTGTGGTGGCTCATGACTGTAATCCTAGCACTTTGGGAGGCCAAGGTGAAAGGGTTGCTTGAGCCCAGGAGTTTGAGACCAGCTTGAGTGACACAGTGAGACCCTGTCTCTGAGAAAGAAAGAGAGAGAGAGAGAGAGAGAAGGAAAGAAAGAAGGAAAGAAAGAAAGAAAGAAAGAAAGAGAAAGAAATGAAAGAAAGAAAGAAAAAGAAATGAAAGAAAGAAAGAGAGAGAAAGAAAGACAGAAAGACATATATATTTCCTAATTCCTTTTTCATTTGTGGGTCACTGACAGTGAATATCTAAATTTGTCCCCTGCTAGACCTGCGAACAATGCTGGTGAAACATAAGGTATATCCTCATCTTAAAGGCAATTTTCCAACTTGGGGAGACACAATTAACTCGTGGATCAATTGGAGAATGATTCTAGGCCAGTGGTTCTCAGTCTTTAGTGTGTAGAAGACTCATCTGCGTTGCTTGCAAAAAGGCAGATTCCCAGTCTACCTTGATTCTAATTCAATAGACGTAGCATAGAGCCTAGGAATCTGCAGAATTACTAGAATAACTACCAAGTTATTCTTTTCTAGATATTACACTGACCACACTTTTAGACAGTCCTCCAGGGGGTGCCTGCTCTAGTATCCAGTCTATGTTGAAGAAATATTTTTCATATGCATCTAGACACTGCCTACTTCCAAAGGTGATGTGTGATGTGGGGCAGCTTACAATAAAAATCATGGTTAAGTGGGAAACCATTAATATAATGAAAGACACAAGCCAAGAAATAAAAGTAGTGAAGGAATAATGATATGAAAATCCAGACAGAGAACAAATACTGAAACTGAGCATAAAAATTTACTCTGAGCTTCTTACCCATTAAAGTAAAGAGAAAAAATGACCAATGGGAGTACTCTTTGTCTAATAAAAGGAGCAACTTTCTCTTGCACCTGAACTTTGGGAGGAATGCTCCCTATATGTCTTGCTTTAAGGGTCATTGAATGACATGATGAATACTATAATTTAAATCCTTTTTATAAGAAGTCCACATAGAGCTACTTCATAGAATAAGCTTACATGAGAACTTAAGGCATAATATGGTTGCATTTTGGAGAATCTTGAAGATGAGTGATTGGTGGCCCCCTTAGCTTCAGCTATGCTTTTGACAGGAGATTAATAATAGACAATTCGAAATTGAGATTACTATCCATTTCTACTCACAGATAGCCCACATTGCTGACTGAAAAAAGATCCCAAGTGAAGATGACAAGGGTGTTGTTTCCTTGTGAAAATAAACAGACTTATCTGATATTTTTATTTTAATGGAAGGTCACTTCACCTGTGGCTCAACAGTGAGCCAAATGAGCACTTTCAAAGGGATCAAGTGCAATGCTCACAAAACACTTTGGGGTCTGCGCAAATTGTTGATGCAAATGCCGTAACTCTGTACCACAAGGCACAAAAGAGTTGGCCTGTCTTGAAAGCTTTTGAGGGTAAGCAGTACCAAAGGTCTGTCCTGACTAGAGAAGATCCTTAACATGACTCCTGTAAAATGCAACTGCATCGCAAGGGTTAACCAGGTAAATCACCAGTTGGGGTCCTTAGGAACTAACTATGGCTGTCAGTTGAGCCGAATAATTTGATATTATCCATCTGGACATCAAAGTGTGTCTGCCAAAATTAATTATTTCAGTTTTAGAAAAAATAATATTTAGCAGCTTTTCCTGATATACTTTGGCCAGTGGGTTGAACTGCTTGTCAGAGCCACTTCTGTGATCATATAGGAAGGCATGTCATCAACACATGAGAGGTACTTGTCGCACTGTGGCTAGGTCATCTAAAGACAACCAACTTATTCAGTTATAAAATTAAAAGGAGGGCACTTGGGATCCAGCCCTGTTTTATGCCATTTAAGATAGACATTTCATCTCTCAAAAAGAAGGCCTTTCCTATCCACGTTAATTTGTTCCATATTGCCAGCAGTAATGGCTCCAAGAGAGAATTATAAGTCTGGAATCTATGTTGAGATCATACACTTAGGCCTCTTTATAGATTCAATGACCAATGATGGATCAATAATTCCATGAAAAGTCTTAAAGTGCTCCTAACTGATTGAGAGACTGCATTTTATCCACAGACATGTATGCTGCATGCTGATTTCTTACCTCTCTCCCAACTGTCCACAACCTGTTTCCTAATCTGTCCTCAGGCCTCTTCTTTATATGCTCTTATATTATAGTTAGGTTTGCATACATCTTATGGCTTGAATTAGCTTTCTATTTTATTAGATTCTTCAACGCTTTCACAGTCATTCTATAAATATACGCCTTCTCTAAATGTTTGCTTGATGAAAGAATGAATGACTGGTAGATGGATGAATACATGGAAAAGTATTTCCTTCTTTTAGTCATGATTAAATATAAAGTTTCTAACCAAACAATTTGGAAGCACAGAAGAAAGAGACAAAAGTTCAAAGAACATGATGAATGTGATCTGTGTCCTTCAGCTCAAGAAGTTGTTTTGGCTTTCTGTCAAGGAAATTTGGAATCATATCACTTGAGACTTTCAAGGTATGGATTGTTGAAAATGGTTTGGCTCTGTCAGCACTTGCCATGGAGATACAGGCCTTGTCACTTTGGCCAAGCCATTGCAATATCCCAGTTGGATTCCTCTAATGTCCTTTTCCTGAGAAAAATACAAAGAACACCTAGACGGTCTGAATAATGGAAGCTATAAATTCATTAATTTTCTCATTTCTGTTCTGGCTCCCCTATGTATACAAAGGGATTGTATTTGGCCTCCAAAAAGCTTTCAGTTGATTGATAATATATTTGAATTTAGATACCAGTTATTTTTCAGTACATTATGCATCCAAGTCTACGATTCCTTATGTTTTTTGCCTCATGGCATACATAAGAGATGGTGTCATACTCTGGGGTAAATGGAGGAGGCTGCTTGTGGTGACTGGCCCTGTGGTCCCTCCTGGGGGCCCAACATGGGCCTAAGAAGGTCCAACCTCAGCACAACAGTAACACTGCATTCTGGTGTTCCACTTAACTAAGTTTGGGAGGCTTCGGTCTGTGATATATAAAATCAAAGTTTTGGAGTAGAAAGTGGTTATCAGTTCCAGTTTTTCATGTCCAGAAATTAGATTTAATTACTAAACATTCAGAACAGTGATTGTTAATGTTTAAAGATTTCTAGAGGCCATTATTATACTATCTCTGTTGAGAGACTGTCCTGCTGTGGGAACATCGTTTGTGTCTAAAAGTCCTTATGTTGCCCAATTTGATCTCCAATATCTCCAGTCAGCACTTTTATCTTCTCATAAATGAAAGTCAACATTCTCAGAAAAACTATCTTTGAAGCTTTGAGCCGGTCACTTGTCAGTCTTTTTTCACATAAATGAGGCCGATTCTTTCTATCGTTTATTTCAGGGCTGGTTTCTTATTTACTAAAGATTTCATTTTATTTTATCTACTCTTCTTTTATTTTTTGGTTTTATAAATTCGCTGTGATTTATTCACATATTTTTAAAAATACAGAAATCAAAGTTTGACAAATTATGTTATAAAACTCTATCACTGTGTACATATATACGGGCTTCTTCAATTCTTACTGTAGTCCACAGTAAGTCTTGTGTATTTTCCCATTATAAGCTGAGTCAATTGATACTAGTTACAATTATTCTTAACAGACAGATGAGAAAACCATGTGAAAAAGGGCCTGAAATAATAAAACTATCGATACTAATATTGATCACAGCTGTTATTAAATTAATAGTGCTTAACAAATATTATTTCATGTGATTCTCATAGCAACCTAACAGGTAGATACATTACATTTCCATTTTATAGCTGAGGAAACTGGAGCTCAGGAACTTTTAGGAACTTGTCTAAAGTCAATCTTGGATTTAAGCAGATTAATTCTCTGACCACTGCCCCTTACTGTTTTCAAGAACTCTAGTTCAGAATGACGACGGTCATACTGACTTGCATTGTATACCTTACTCTGGTTCTTTCTGTAGTTACCCTGCTGTGGATGTCAGTTCACTTTATTTTACTTTTTTTTATTTTTTATTTTTATGGGTACATAGTAGGTGTATATATTTATGGGGTACAGGAAATATTTTGATGCAGGCATGTAATGCATAATAATAACATCAGGGTAAATGGGGTATCCATAACCTCAAGCATTTATCCTGTCTTTGAGTTACAAACAATCCAATTATATTCTTTTTGTAATTTTGAAATGTATGATAAATTATTGTTGCCTGTAGTCACCCTGCTGTGCTATCAAATACTAGACCACATTCATTGTAACTATATTTTTGTACCTATTATATATTATATGTAACATAATATAAACAATATGTAATATACAATATATACATTGTATATATAATACACACAAATAGGTATATATTTGTACGTATTAGCCATCACCCCTTACCTGACCCCCACTACGCTTCCCAGCCTCTGATACCGATTGTCTTACTCTCTATCTCCATGAGTTCAATTGTTTTAATCTTTAGCTCCTACCCATGAGTGAGAATGTGCAAAGTTTGTCTTTCTGTGCCTGGCTTATTTCACTTAATGTAATAACCTCCAATTTTACCCATGTTGTTGCAAATGACAAGATCTGATTCTTTTTTATGGCCAAATAGTACTCCACTGTGTATATGTACCACATTTTCTTTATCCGTTTGTCTGTTGATGGACACTTAGGTTGCTTCCAAATCTTGGCTATTGTAAATAGTGCTTCAATAAACATAGGAGTGCAGACACCTCTTTGATATACTGATTTCCTTTTAGGGAGCGTTATATACATAGCAGTGAGGATTGCTGGGTCATATGGCAGTTCTATTTTTAGTTCTTTGAGGAACCTCCAAATTATTCTCTATAATAGTCGTGCTGATTTACATTCCAGCCAACAGTGGATGAGAGCTCCCTTTTCTCCCCATCCTCACCAGCATTTGTTATTGCCTGTCTTTGGGATAAAAGCCATTTTAACTGGGGTGAGATGACATCTCATTGTAGTTTCAATTTTTATTTCTCTGATGATCAATGATGTTTAGCACCTTTTCATAAACCTGTTTGCCATTTGTATGTCTTCTTTTTATAAATTATCTATTCAGTTCTTTTGCCCATTTTTAAATCAGATTATATATTTTTTCCTGCGGAGTTGTTTGAGCTCCTTATGTATTCTGGTTATTAACCCCTTGTCAGATGGTTCATTTGCAAATATTTTCTCCCATTCTGTGTGTTGTCTCTTTACTTTGTTGCTTGTTTCCATTGCGGTGCAGAAGTCTTTTAACTTGATGTGATCCCACTTGTCCATTTTTGCTTTGGCCGCTAGTCTTTGCCCAGTCCAATGCCCTGGAGAGTTTCCCCAGTGTTCTCCTGTAGTAGTTTCACAGTTTGAGGTCTTAGATTTAAGTATTTAACTCATTTTGATTTTATTTTGGTATATGGCAAAAGAGAGAGGTCTAGTTTTATTCTTCTACTTATAGATATCCAGTTTTCCCAGCACCATTGATTAAAGAGATTGTCCTTTTCCCAATGTATGTCTTGGTAACTTTGTCAAAAATGAGTTTACTATAGATGTATGGATTTGTTTCTTGGTTCTCTATTCTGTTGCATTGGTCTATGTGTCTGTTTATATGACTGTACCATGATGTTTGGGTTAACTACTATTTCTGTGGTATATTTTGAGGTCAGGTAATGTGATTCCTCCAGTTTTGTTATTTTTGCTTAGGATAGCTTTGGCTATTCTGCGTCTTTTGTGATTCCATATAAATTTGAGAATTGTTTTTTCCTACTTCCATGAAGAATATCATTGGTGTTTTGATAGAGATTGCATTGACTCTGTAGATTATTTTGGGTAGCATGAACATTTAAACAATATTGATTTTTTCAATCCATGAACATGGAATGTATTGCCATCTTTTGGTGTCCTCTTCAGTTTCTTTCATCAATCTTTTATAGGTTTCATTTTAGAGATATTTCACTTCTTTAGTAAGTTAACTCCTAGGTATTTTATTCTATGTGTAGCTATTGTAAATTAGATTACTTTCCTGATTTCTTTTGTTCACTGTTGGCACATAGAAATGCTACTGATCTGGCTAGGTTGATTTTTTGTCCTGCAACTTTCCTGAATTTGTTTACCAGTTCTAATAGTTTTTTGACAGAGTCTTTAGGTTTTTACAAATATAAGTTCATGTCGCCTGAAAACAAGGGTTATTTGACTTCTTCTTTTCCAACTTGAAGGCCTTTTATTTCTTTTTCTTGTCTAATTTCTCTAGCCAGGACTTCCAGTACTATGTTAAATAACAGTGGTGAAAGTGGGCATCGTTGTTGTGTTCTGGATGTCAATTCCCTTTTTTTTAAATTTTATTTTATTATTATTATACTTTAAGTTTTAGGGTACATGTGCGCAACGTGCAGGTTTGTTACATATATATACATGTGCCATGTTGGTGTGCTGCACCCATTAACTCGTCATTTAGCATTAGGTATATCTCCTAATGCTATCCCTCCCCCCTCCCCCCACCCCACAACAGTCCCTGGTGTGTGATGTTCCCCTTCCGGTGTCCATGTGTTCTCATCGTTCAATTCCCACCTATGAGTGAGAACATGTGGTGTTTGGTTTTTTGCCCTTGCGATAGTTTGCTGAGAATGGTGGTTTCCAGCTTCATCCATGTCCCTACAAAGGACATGAACTCATCATTTTTTATGGCTGCATAGTATTCCATGGTATACATGTGCCACATTTTCTTAATCCAGTCTATCCTTGTTGGACATTTGGGTTGGTTCCAGGTCTTTCCCATTGTGAATAGTGCCACAATAAACATACGTGTGCATGTGTCTTTATAGCAGCATGATTTATAATCCTTTGGGTATATACCCAGTAATGGGATGGCTGGGTCAAATGGTATTTCTAGTTCTAGATCCCTGAGGAATCGCCACACTGACTTCCACAATGGTTAAACCAGATTACAGTCCCACCAACAGTGTAAAAGTGTTCCTATTTCTCCACATCCTCTCCAGCGCCTGTTCTTTCCTGACTTTTTAATGATTGCCATTCTAACTGGTGTGAGATGGTATCTCATTGTGGTTTTGATTTGCATTTCTTTGATGGCCAGTGATGATGAGCATTTTTTCATGTGTTTTTTGGATGCATAAATGTCTTCTTTTGAGAAGTGTCTGTTCATATCCATTGCCCACTTTTTGATGGGGTTGTTTGTTTTTTTCTTGTAAATTTGTTTGAGTTCATTGGTGATTCTGGATATTAGCCCTTTGTCAGATGAGTAGGTTGCAAAAATTTTCTCCCACTCTGTAGGTTGCCTGTTCACTCTGATGGTAGTTTCTTTTGCTGTGCAGAAGCTCTTTACTTTAATTAGATCCCATTTGTCAATTTTGGCTTTTGTTGCCATTGCTTTTGGTGTTTTAGACATGAAGTCCTTGCCCATGCCTATGTCCTGAATGGTATTTCCTAGGTTTTCTTCTAGGGCTTTTATGGTTTTAGGTCTAACATTTAAGTCTTTAATCCATCTTGAATTAATTTTCGTATAAGGTGTAAGGAAGGGATCCAGTTTCAGCTTTCTACCTATGGCTAGCCAGTTTCCCCAGCACCATTTATTAAATAGGGAATCCTTTCCCCATTGCTTGTTTTTGTCTGGTTTGTCAAAGATCAGATAGTTGTAGATATGCGGCATTATTTCTGAGGCCTCTGTTCTGTTCCATTGATCTATATCTCTGTTTTGGTACCAGTACCATGCTGTTTTGGTTACTGTAGCCTTGTAGTATAGTCTGAAGTCAGGTAACGTGATGCCTCCAGCTTTGTTCTTTTGGCTTAGGATTGACTTGGCGATGCGGGCTCTTTTTTTGGTTCCACATGAACTTTAAAGTAGTTTTTTCCAATTCTGTGAAGAAAGTCATTGGTAGCTTGATGGGGATGACATTGAATCTATAAATTACCTTGAGCAGTATGGCCATTTTCACGATATTGATTCTTCCTACCCATGAGCATGGAATGTTCTTCCATTTGTTTGTATCCTCTTTTATTTCACTGAGCAGTGGTTTGTAGTTCTCCTTGAAGAGGTCCTTCACATCCCTTGTAAGCTGTATTCCTAGGTATTTTATTCTTTTTGAAGCATTTGTGAATGGGAGTTCACTCACGATTTGGCTGTCTGTTTGTCTGTTATTGGTGAATAGGAATGCTTGTGATTTTTGCAGATTGATTTTTTATTCTGAGACTTTGCTGAAGTTGCTTATCAGCTTAAGGAGATTTGGGGCTGAGACAATGGGGTTTTCTAGATATACAATCATGTCATCTGCAAACAGGACCAATTTGACTTCCTCTTTTCCTAATTGAATGCCCTTTATTTCCTTCTCCTACCTGATTTCCCTGGCCAGAACTTCCAACACTATGTTGGATAGGAGTGGTGAGAGATGGCATCCCTGTCTTGTGCCAGTTTTCAAAAGGAATGCTTCCAGTTGTTGTCCATTCGGTATGATATTGGCTGTGGGTTTGTCATAGATAGCTCTTATTATTTTGAGATACGTCCCATCAATACCTAATTTATTGAGAGTTTTTAGCATGAAGGGATTTTGAATTTTGTCAAAGACATTTTCTGCATCTATTGAGATAATCATGTGGTTTTTGTCATTGGTTCTGTTTATACGCTGGATTACATTTATTGATTTGCGTATGTTGAACCAGCCTTGCATCCCAGGGATGAAGCCCACTTGATCATGGTGGATAAGCTTTTTGATGTGCTGCTGGTTTTGGTTTGCCAGTATTTTATTGAGGATTTTTGCATTGACGTTCATCAGGGATATTGGTCTAAAATTCTCTTTTTTGGTTGTCTCTGCCCGGCTTTGGTATCAGGATGATGCTGGCCTCATAAAATGAGTTAGGGAGGATTCCCTCTTTTTCTATTGATTGGAATAGTTTCAGAAGGAATGGTACCAGCTCCTCCTTGTACCTCTGGTAGAATTCGGCTGTGAATCCATCTGGTCCTGGACTTTTTTTGGTTGGTAAGCTGTTAATTATTGCCTCAATTTCAGAGCCTGTTATTGGTTTATTCAGGGATTCAACTTCTTCCTGGTTTAGCCTTGGGAGGGTGTATGTGTCAAGGAATTCATCCATTTCTTCTAGATTTTCTAGTTTATTTGCATAGAGGTGTTTATAGTATTCTCTGATGGTAGTTTGTATTTCTGTGGGATTGGTGGTGACATCCCCTTTGTCATTTTTTATTGGGTCTCTTTGATTCTTCTCTCTTTTCTTCTTTATTAGTCCTGCTAGCAGTCTATCAATTTTGTTGATCTTTTCAAAAAACCAGCTCCTGCATTCATTGATTTTTTGAAGGGTTTTTTGTGTCTCTATTTCCTTCAGTTTTGCTCTGATCTTAGTTATTTCTTGCTTTCTGCTAGCTTTTGAATATGTTTGCTCTTTCTTCTCTAGTTCTTTTAATTGCGATGTTAGGGTGTCAATTTTGGATCTTTCCTGCTTTCTCTTGTGGGCATTTAGTGCTATAAATTTCCCTCTACATACTGCTTTGAATGTGTCCCAGAGATTCTGGTATGTTGTGTCTTTGTTCTTGTTGGTTTCAAAGAACATCTTTATTTCTGCCTTCATTTCGTTATGTACCCAGTAGTCATTCAGGAGCAGGTTGTTCAGTTTCCATGTAGTTGAGTGGTTTTGAGTGAGTTTCTTAATCCTGAGTTCTAGTTTGATTGCACTGTGGTCTGAGAGACAGTTTGTTATAATTTCTGTTCTTTTACATTTGCTGAGGAGTGCTTTACTTCCAACTATGTGGTCAATTTTGGAATAGGTGTGGTGTGGTGCTGAAAAGAATGTATATTCTGTTGGTTTGGGGTGGAGAGTTCTGTAGATGTCTATTAGGTCCTCTTGGTGCAGAGCTGAGTTCAATTCCTGGATAACCTTGTTAACTTTCTCTCTCGTTGATCTGTCTAATGTTGACAGTGGGGTGTTAAAGTCTCCCATTATTATTGTGTGGGAGTCTAAGTCTCTTTGTAGGTCACTCAGGACTTGCTTTATGAATCTGGGTGCTCCTTTATTGGGTGCATATATATTTAGGATAGTTAGTTCTTCTTGTCAAATTGATCCCTTTACCATTATGTAATGGCCTTCTTTGTCTCTTTTGATCTTTGTTGGTTTAAAATCTGTTTTATCCGAGACTAGGATTGCAACCCCTGCTTTTTTTTTGTTTTCCATTTGCTTGGTAGATCTTCCTCCATCCCTTTATTTTGAGCCTATGTGTGTCTCTGCACGTGAGATGGGTTTCCTGAATACAGCACACTGATGGGTCTTGACTCTTTATCCAATTTGCCAGTCTGTGCCTTGTACTTGGAGCATTTAGCCCATTTACATTTAAGGTTAATATTGTTATGTGTGAATTTGATCCGTCATTATGATGTTAGCTGGTTATTTTGCTTGTTAGTTGATGCGTTTTCTTCCTAGCCTCGATGGTCTTTACCATTTGGCATGTTTTTGCAGTGGCTGGTACCAATTGTTCCTTTCCATGTTTAGTGCTTCCTTTAGGAGCTCTTTTCGGGCAGGCCTGGTGGTGACAAAATCTCTCAGCATTTGCTTGTCTGTAAAGTATTTTATTTTTCCTTCACTTATGAAGCTTAGTTTGGCTGGATATGAAATTCTGAGTTGAAAATTCTTTTCTTTAAGAGTGTTGAATATTGGCCCCCAATCTCTTCCGGCTTGTAGAGTTTCTGCTGAGAGATCAGCTGTTAGTCTGATGGGCTTCCCTTTGTGGGTAACCTGACCTTTCTCTCTGGCTGCCCTTAACATTTTGTCCTTCATTTCAACTTTGGTGAATCTGACAATTATGTGTCTTGGAGTTGCTCTTCTCGAGGAGTATCTTTGTGGCGTTATCTGTATTTCCTGAATGTGAATGTTGGCCTGCCTTGCTAGATTGGGGAAGTTCTCCTGGATAATATCCTGCAGTGTGTTTTCCAATTTGGTTGCATTCTCCCCGTCACTTTCAGGTACACCAATCAGACGTAGATTTTGTCTTTTCACATAGTCCCATATTTCTTGGAGGCTTTGTTTGTTTCTTTTTATTCTTTTTTGTCTAAACTTCTCTTCATGCTTCATTTCATTCATTTAGTCTTCCATCGCTGATACCCTTTCTTCCAGTTGATTGCATTGGTTACTGAGGCTTGTGCATTCGTCACGTAGTTCTCATGCCATGGTTTTCAGCTCCATCAGGTCCTTTAAGGACTTCTCTGCATTGGTTATTCTAGTTATCCATTCGTCTAATTTTTTTTCAAAGTTTTAACTTCTTTGCCATTGGTTCAAACTTCCTCCTTTAGCTCGGAGTAGTTTGATCTTCTGAAGCCTTCGTCTCTCATCTCGTCAAAGTCATTCTCCATCCAGCTTTGTTCCGTTGCTGGTGAGGAGCTGCGTTCCTTTGGAGGAGGAGAGGCGCTCTGATTTTTAGAGCTTCCGGTTTTTCTGCTCTGTTTTCGCCCCATCTTTGTGGTTTTATCTACCTTTGGTCTTTGATGATGGTGATGTACAGATGGGTTTTTGGTGTGGATGTCCTTTCTGTTTGTTAGTTTTCCTTCTAACCATCAGGACCCTAAGCTGCAGGTCTGTTGGAGTTTGCTGGAGGTCCACTCCAGACCCTGTTTGCCTGGGTATCAGCAGTGGTGGCTGCAGAACAGCGGATATTGGTGAACCGCAAATGCTGCTGCCTGATCGTTCCTCTGGAAGTTTTGTCTCAGAGGAGTACCCGGCCATGTGAGGTGTCATTCTGCCCCTACCTGGGGGGTGCCTCCAAGTTAGGCTACTCAGGGGTCACGGACCCACTTGAGGAGGCAGTCTGCCCATTCTCAGATCCCAAGCTGTGTGCTGGGAGAACCACTACTCTCTTCGAAGCTGTCAGACAGGGACATTTAAGTCTGCAGAGGTTACTGCTGTCTTTTTGTTTGTCTGTGCCCTGTCCCCAGAGGTGGAGCCTACAGAGACAGGCAGGCTTCCTTGAGCTGTGGTGGGCTCCACCCAGTTCGAGCTTCCCGGCTGCTTTGTTTACCTAAGCAAGCCTGGGCAATGGCAGGCGCCCCTCCCCCAGCTTCGCTGCCACCTTGCAGTTTGATCTCAGACTGCTGTGCTAGCAATGAGTGAGGCTCTGTGGGTGTAGGACCCTCCGAGCCAGGTGTGGGATATAATCTCCTGGTGTGCCGTTTGTTGAGCCCATTGGAAAAGCGCAGTATTAGGGTGGGAGTGACCCGATTTTCCAGGTGCCATCTGTCACCCCTATCTTTGACTGGGAAAGGGAATTCCCTGACCCCTTGCACTTCCTGGGTGAGGTGATGCCTCGCCCTGCTTTGGCTCATGCACGGTGTACTGCACCCACTGTCCTGCCCCCACTGTCTGGCATTCCCCAGTGAGATGAACCTGGTACGTCAGTTGGAAATGCAGAAATCACCTGTCTTCTGGTCGCTCACGCTGGGAGCTGTAGACTGGAGCTGTTCCTATTCGGCCATCTTGGCTCCACCCGTCAATTCTGTTTTAAAGGTGATATGTATCTTCACATTTGATCAATTATCTCCCCAAGAGAACCAAGCAAAAACTTCAAAAAAGTTGATGCTTCTCAAAATATGCTTTTAAACATATTATCCGAATCCATTATACTTATAGTGCTTCTAACAAAATTTCATTTATTAAGCACCTAGTTACACAGCACTACTATATGTCCAAATATTCTTCAAGGTACTTTATAAATGTAAACTCAGGGTGTGGTGTGGTGGCTCATGCCTGTAATCCCTCACTTGGGAAGCTGAGGTGGGTGGATGTCCTGAGGTCAGGAGTTTGAGACCAACCTGGCCAACGTGGTGAAACCCCATCTCTACTAAAAATACAAAACTTAGCTGGGAGTGGTGGCGGGTGCCTGTAGTCCCAGCTACTCAGGAGGCTGAGGCGGAAGAATTGCTTAAACCCAGGAGGTGGAGGTTGCAGTGAGCCAAGATTGCGCCACTGCACTCCAGCCTGGGCGACAAGAGCAAAACTCTGTCTCAAAAAACAAAAAACAAAACAAAACATATAAATTCATATAGGCCTATGAATTAGATACCACTTTAAAAATGGAGCAACTGATGTACAGAGAAGTTGGGAGTTTGCGCAAGTTCCCAGAAATAGTGTGGAGTGAGAACTGGGATCTGAACTTGCACCAGAAACCAAGTGTGTAACCACTATCCAATCCTCTACTGCTTGCTGAGCAAAGCATTATTTAAAGAAGGTATGATGACCATTTTAATTCTATGAGTAGTTTAAAACCATAAAGTGTATATTTGTTGATATGTAGGGGTAGATAGATAGATGCATACAGATACACATTTGAAAATTTTAAATAAAACAAAAAAATCCCTGTTATCAAGAGATGGCTTTATAGAAATGTAAGCCAAGAAACCTACGATCAAACACACATACAAACCTCAAATTTCAAAACTTCCAGAGGAGTAACATAAATAGAAATGTCACACTTCCCCTAGTGTGGTATACATGTTTTCAAATGGATCTGAAATTTGGTGTCTTGACCTTAACCCCAAGCAGCAGAGCTACGTCAGGACAGAGCGTCCTGCAAATATCCTGGACTTTCTACACTCAAGGAAAACTGAGGGGCCTTGAAAATATTTCAGCCTTGAGCCCATGCAAGTATCAGTGCTGCCTCTTTTTCATCATTGAAGAGGATGTTATTCAGCTATGACATATCTGTCATTTTTTAATTGAAACTGCATAAATACATCACTATTATTTTATATTCTCAAATGTTGGCCATTGCATCTCTCATAAAATGCTGTTCAATTCAATTTAAACAAGAAATTTTTATCACATGACACCCTCCCCCTAGGTAATTTTAAATAATGTAATTTGGAAGATATTTGGGAGTTCCTTTACATCTAATTTTCCTTTAAAGAAGCCTGGGACATTTTGACCTTTGTTGAAATCAGCATAGATTTCAACTGGGGAAAGGAAAGAAAGAATGTTCCTTCCTACAGTTTACATGTATTGTGTGCTGTTGCACCTAAAATAAGACACTAACAGTCAGGTATCAAGAGGAATTTTAAAAGATACCACATATACATATAGGCATTGCTCAGGCAAACAGTAAAACCTATAGGCCACACTGCTAAAAGGAGGATAAACTTGGTGCATTTTGGACACACACAGCAACCACAATGAAGAAAAGAGCTCTGGGCATTGGAGTCACAGAGGCTTGGTTGGAATCCCAGCTCTGCCACTTGCTGTCTGTATGTCTTTAGGCAAATTACTTAGTCCTTCAGAGCCTCAGATCCCTCAATTATATAATGAAGATGCAAATAATTTACAAGATCACTTTGTATATGAGAGGTAAGGCCTTCAGTAGCCCAGTTCCTAGCATTTCGTAGGTATAGATATAAAAATGGCGTTCTTCTTTATTATGAAGATGTATGTTCTTATTTACAATTTTGATATGGGACATTAACAAAGAGAAAAAGGAAGTGCTGTGGCATCATCAGAATGGCAAAAAGAAGTCTCTGGCTCCCTTCTAGTGCTCAAAACCTGAATGCTATGCTTTGTTGTGAAGTGTCTCATATTAGGCGACCAACACATGGTAGTCCAATACACTCTACGCAATAACGCGGGGCCAAATTGTTTACTCTATCACTCTGGTTCACTGTGAGACATTTTATTTAAAAAAACCCATACAGTTGCAATTATGAGATAGGTTTCCATGATAGAGACAAACTTACCCAAGATAGGATTATCTTGCCCAGGCTTAGAGCCGTACGAAGTATACTATAGACAGCATGTAGAGTCTAGGTACACTTTCCCAGATGTAGCAAACTGTGATAAATTATATCTCGACAAATAAACCACTCTTATTCAAAGCAAGTTTGGAAACAATATTTCAGGAGTCTAACCCTTCTTTAATCATATACTTTGATGGAAGAATGTTCTTATGCACATAGCTCAGCTCAATTCCTTCCAGAAGGACTGACATCTTAAACTGCACTAAACAATGAATCACCTTGTCAAATAAAGTGCAAAATGGAAAACCTGTTACCAAACTCATCTGATATAATGACATTTACAACAACATGTTTGAGGTGATAAACCGACAATAATAATTATATTTCCTTTAGACTTTGATTGTACTTTGAAAGTTTGATGCAATCATACTTTCTTCCTTCAAGAGAATTTTACACCCCGACATTTAATTTCTGAAACTTCAAACCTTCTATGAACATGCAAATCACAGTTGGCATTAAAAGAAGCACTCTCTGCTCCCTTTCAGGAGTCTGCAATAATGATGACGATGATGATGAAAACAATAGCTAAGTATAGGAGACTTTTCCTGTAATTCAAGGTTGATGGAAGCATTTCAGTTCAGAAATGACAAATAGAGCACTTTTCTCCCCCTAACAAGATTTTGCTGGTAGACTCTCTTGAGGAGAATAAAAGTAGACTCAAGGTCACATGAAATGCTAGGTTACAGGTACAGGCTAGAGCTGTTGCACATAGTAGGCACTTAATTATTACTAAATGAATAGGCATTTTCTATATAATATTGTGAGCATTCAGAAGATTGGGTCCCTTCTCCTAGAGGGGTTTTAATTATCTTCACAGAACATGCTGGAAATTCTCCCTCAGGTTATAAAGCTGAGTTACTGGACCTCACAGATATTCCTGGCTCCCTCTGTGGCTCTGTCATCCTGCTTGAAGACCAGGCCCCCTCTACAGGGTCCTGGGCAAATACCTCGCTTCCCTCTGGGGTGGCCAAGCCTTGGATCCTCTCTGTGATGGTTAATATTAGGTGTCAACTTGATTGGATTATAGGATCCCTAGATGGCTGGTAAAATATTGTTTCTGGGTGTGTCTGTAGAGGTGTTGCCAGAAGAGAGTAACATTTGAGTTAGTGGACTGGGAGAGGAAGACCTACCCTCAATCTGGGTGGGCACCATCCAATCGGCTGCCAGCGTGGCTAGAACAAAGGAAGATCTACCCTCAGTCTGGGTGGGCACCATCCAATCAGCTGCCAGCGTGGCTAGAACAAAGGAAGATCTACCCTCAATCTGGGTGGGCACCATCCAATCAGCTGCCAGCGTGGCTAGAACAAAGGAAGACCTACCCTCAATCTGGGTGGGCACCATCCAATCAGCTGCCAGCGTGGCTAGAACAAAGCAGGCAGAAGAAGGTGGAATAAGCTAGCTTGCTGAGTCTTCCGGCTTTCATTTTTCTCCTGTGCTGGATGCTTCCTGCTTTTGAACATCAGGTTCCAGGTTCTTTGGCCTTTGGGCTCTTGGACTTATGCCAGTGGTTTGCCAGGGGCTCTCAGGCCTCGGCCACGGACTGAAGGCTGCACTGTGAGCTTCCACTTTTGAGGCTTTTGGACTCGGACTGAGCCACTACTGGCTTCCTTGCTCCTCAGGTTGCAGATGGCGTATCATGGGGCTTCACCTTGTGATTGTGAGTCAATTCTCGTTAATAACCTCCCTTTCATATATACATATATCCTATTAGTTCTTTCCCTCTGGAGAACCCTGACTGATACACTCTCCTACAGTCCTAAACTCTCACTGCTACAGCAGCTGTGTTCAAACACCTGTGGGTTCAGGACCACTAGCATTCTCCATCTATTTTGCTATTTGTCAGTAGCTCTGGCTGAAAGTTCACTAGGGGTAAACATTAAAACTTTCAATTAAAATGGGCTTGGAGATACTATTTGCAGGTACCAATTATCCACACTTTATCTGCCCAAGAACTACCCAGAGAATCAAGCATGGGGCTACAGTCTCTTCCCAGAATATTTATAATTATGAAAGTCTATTTATGACCCAAAAGTTCAGAGATTAAGGCACAACATAAAAACTGAGTAACATGTAGAAATAGGACTTTTATTTCTAGATATAACTGAAGATCCAACTGTTTCAGGTGCTCTATTGAACATAAAAAATTGTGTATTTTGTATTGTTTAGGAAATTGTAATTTTACATAAAGTGGAGGACGTGCTGTATACACATTTCTTTTTAAATTTACTTTTAAGATTTTAGGTTCAGGGGTACATGTCCAGGTTGTTATGTAGGTAAATTGCATGTCATGGGGGTTCGGTGTACAGATTATTTTGTCACTCAGTTAATAAGCACAGTACCTGATAGGTGGTTTTCGGTTCTCAGCCTCCTCTCACCCTCCACCCTCAAGTAGGCCCTGGTGTCTGTTGTTCTCTTCTTTGGGTCCTTGTACTCAGTGTTTAGCTCCCACTTATCAGTGAAAACATGCAGTATTTGGTTTTCTGGTCTTGTGTTAGTCTGCTTAGGATAATGGCCTCCAGCTTCATCCATGTTGCTGCAAAGGACATGATGTTGGGCCGGGCACTCATGCCTGTAATCCCAGCATTTTGGGAGGCCAAGGCAGATGGATCATGAGGTCAGGAGTTCATAACCAGCCTGGCCCACATGGTGAAACCCCATCTCTACTAAAAATACAAAAATTAGCTGGGTGTGGTGGCGGGCACCTGTAATCCCAGCTACTTAGGAGGCTGAGGCTGGAGAATCGCTTTAACCCAGAGGGCGGAGATTGCAGTGAACTGAGATCATGCCACTGCACTTCCAGGCTGGGCAACAGAGCGAGAGACTCCATCTCAAAAAAAAAAAAAAAAGATTTTGTTCTTTTTTATGGCTGTGTAGTATTCTGTGGTGTATATGTACCACATTTTTAAAATCCAGTCTACTGTTGAAGGGCATTTAGGTTGATTCCATGTCTTTGCTATTGTGAATAGTGCTGCAATGAATATAAACATGCATTGTCTTTATGGTAGAACCCTTTATATTCCTCTGGGCATATATTCAATAATGGGATTGCTGGGTTGAATGGTAATTCTAAATTCTTTGAGAAATGTCCAAACTGCTTTCCACAATGGCTGAACTAATTTACATTCTCACCAGCAGTGTATTAGCATTCCCTTTTCTCTACAAGCTCACCAGCATCTGTCATTTTTTTTACTGTTTATTTATTTATATATTTTTGAGACAGAGTCTTGCTCTGTTGCCCAGGCTGGAGTGCAGTGGAGTGATGTTGGCTCACTGCAACCTCTGCGTCCCAGGTTCAAGCTATTCTTCTGCCTCAGCCTCCTGAGTAGCTGAGATTACAGGTGCCCACCACTATGCCCGGCTAATTTTTTGTATTTTTAGTAGAGACGGGGTTTCACCATGTTGGCCAGGCTGTTCTCAAACTCCTGACCTTGTGATTCTCCTGCCTCAGCCTCCCAAAGTGCTGGGATTACAGGCGTGAGCCACCGCACCCAGCTTCTTGACTTTTTAATAATAGCCATTCTGACTGGTGTGCGATGGCATCTCTTTGTGGTTTTGAGTTGTGTTTTTCTAATGATTAGTGTTATTGAGCATTTATTGATATGCTTGTTGGCAATGTGTATTTTTTTTTTTTCTGAAATGTGTCTGTTCATGTCCTTTGCCCACTTTCTAATGGGGTTGTTTGGGATTTGTTTGTAAATTTAAGTTCTCTCTAGATTTGGGATGTTAGACCTTTGTCAAATGCATAGTTTGCAAATATTTTCTCCCATACTTTAGGTTGTCTGTTTACTTTGTTGATAGTTTCTTTTGCTGTACAGGAGCTTCTTAGTTTAATTAGGTCCCATTGTCCAATTTTTATTTTTGTTGCAATTGTTTTTGGTGTTTTCATAATGAAATCTTTGCCAAGTCCTATGTCCAGAATGGCATTTCTTAGATCATCTTCCAGGGTTTTTAGTTTTAGGTTTTACATGTAAATCTTCAGTTCATCTTGAATTGATTTTTGTATATGGTGAAAGGAAGGGGTCCAGTTTCAAACTTCTGTATATGGCTAGCCAGTTATCCCAACACCATTTACTGAATAGGAAATCCTTTCTCCATTGCTTGTTTTTGTCAATTTTGTTGAAGATCAGATGGTTGTAGGTGTGAGGTATTGTTTCTGGGCTCTCTATTATGTTCCCTTGTTCTATGTGTCTGTTTTTGTACCAGTACCATACTGTTTTGGTTACTGCCTGTAGTATAGTTTGAAGTCAGGTAATGTGATGTCTCCAGCATTGTTCTTTTTTCTTAGGATAGCCTTGGCTATTCGGGCTCTTTTTTTATTCCACATGAATTTTAAAATAGTTTTTCTCTACTTCTGTGAAGAATGTCATTTGTAGTTTGATAGGAATAGCATTGAATCTGTAAACTTCTTTGGGCAGGATGGCCATTTTAACAATATTGATTCTTCCTATACATGAGCATGGAATGTTTTTCTATTTCTGTCATCACTGATTTCTTTGAGCAGTGTTTTGTAATTCTCATTGTAGAGTTCTTTCACCTCCTTTGTTAGCTGTGTTCCTAGGATTTTGTATTCTGAAACCTTGCTGAATTTGCTTACCAGATCAAGGAGATTTTGGCCAGAGACTATTGGGTTTTCTAGGTATAGAACCATATCAACTGCAAACAGGGATAGCTGCACTTCCTCACTTCCTATTTAGATGTGTTTTATTTCTTTTTCTTACCTGATTTCTCCAGCTAGGAATTCCAGTACTATGTTGAATAGGACTGGTGAGAGAGCATCCTTGTCTTGTTCTGGTTTTCAAGGGGGATGCTTCCAGCGTTTGCCTATTCAGTATGATGTTGGCTGTGGGATTTTCATAGTTAGCTTTTATTATTTTGAGATATGTTCCTTCAGTGCCTAGTTTGTTGAGGGTTTTTAACAAGTGGATTGAATAGATGTTTAATTTTATCATAATCCTTTTCTGCATCTATTGAGACAATCATGTGTTTTTTGTTTTTAGTTCAGTTTATGTGGTGAATTACATTTATTGATTTGTGAATGCTGAACCAAACTTGCATACTAGGAATAAAGCCTACTAGATTGTGGTGGATTAAGTTTTTGATGTGCTGCTGGATTTGGTTTGCTAGTGTTTTGTCAACTATTTCTGCATCTGTGTTCATTAAGGATATTGGCCTGACATTTTCTTTTTCTTTTGTTGTGTCTCTGGGAGGTTTTGGTATTAGGATGACGATGGCCTCAAAGAATGACTTAGGGAAGAATCCCCCACTCCTCTTTTTTTGGTATAGTTTCAGTAGAAATGGTACCGTTTCTTCTTTAAATATCTGGTAGAATTCAGCTGTGAATCCATCTAATCCTGGGCTTTTTCTGGTTTTTATTACTGATTCAGTTTTGGAACTTGTTAATGGTCTGTTCAGGGATTCAGTCTCTTCCTGGTTCAATCATAGGAGCTTGTATGTTTTTAATCCATTTCTTCTAGGTTTTCTAGCTTGTATGCATAGAAGTGTTCATAATAGGCTCTTAGAGTTTTTTGTATTTCTGTGGGGTCGGTGGTAATGGCCCCTTTGTCATTTCTGATTGTGTTTGTTTGAATCTTACTCTCTTTTTTCTTTATTAGTCTAGCTAGTGGTCAACCTATCTTATTAATTCTTTCAAAGAATCAGCTCCTGGACTCATTGGTCTTCCGTATGGTTTTTCACATTTTAATTTCCTTCAGTTCAGCTCTGATTTGGGTCATTTCTTGCCTTCTGCTAGCCTTGGGGTTGATTTGCTCTTGTTTCTCTAGTTCCTCTAATTGTAATGTTTGGCTGTTAACTTGAGATCTTTCTAATTTTTTGATGTTGGCGTTTAGTGCTGTAAACTTCCTGATTAACACTGCTTTGGCTGTGTCCCAGAGATTCTTGTATGTTGTACCTTTTTTCTCATTAGTATCAAAGAATTTCTTGATTTCTGACTTCATATCATTATTTACCCAGAAGTTATTCAGGGACAGGTTGTTTAATTTCCATTAAATTGTATGGTTTTGAGTGATTTTCTTAGCCTTGATTACTATTTTTTTTGCAATGTGATTTGAGAGGATGGTTCGTACGATTTTGTTTGTTTTTTAATTTGCTGAGAATTGTTTTAGGCCTCAAAGTTCTTCAGCTGTGGGTATGATCTTCCTTCAGTCTTTTAGGTTGCTATCTTGGAAGAGGCTCCTTAAATTACTGTCTCTGTGCCCATGTTTCTTTTGTTGGGTATTCCAGTCCACAGAGCTCCCTTAGGCAGGGGCCACCATTGGCAGAGAAGTTGTATCCTTGCCAGGTTGGCCCTAATCTGCTGTCCCTGTGCTTCCTGGAAAAACACAAGGTTGTGCCTGCCCCCAGAATTCGAGCAGCAGTGGAACTGCTGGGTTGGAAGCTCTAGTGGGTGTGGCTTGTCTGGCTACAAGAAGCAGGGGTGGGTGGAGTTGTCCGCCCTGCTCTCTGGGTGTTTCCAGGGCAAGAGGAGGCTGTCCCCCTCAGCAAATTCAGGCAGAAGTAGGACTGCTGGGACAAAAGCTCTAGCAGGCGTGGCTCACCTCGCTACCAGCAGAGAGGGTGGGTGGGGACACCTGCCCTGCCGTCTGGGTGTTTCCCAGGACAACAGAAGGCTGTACCCTCCAGCTGAGTTCCCACAGAAGCAGGGCCACTGGGCCAGAAGCTCTAGCAGGCATTGCTCACTGGCTATCAGGGGCAGGGATGGGTGGGGTCATCTGCCCTGGCATGTGGGTGCTTTCTGGGACAACAGAGGTTGTGTCCACTGTCCACTGCCTGAATTCACACAGAAGTGGGACTGCTGGGCCGGAAGCTCTAGCAGGTGTTGTCCACCAGGTTCCCTGTGGCAGGGTTGGATGGAGGGTCATGCACCCTGCCATCCAGGTGTTTTCTGGGACAACAGGAGGCTGTGCCCTCTAGCAGAGTTCACACAGAAGTGGGGCCACTAGACCAGAAGCTCTAGCAGGCATGGACTGCCTGGCTACCGGTAGCAGGGGTGGGTGGAGTAGCTGGCCATGTTTAGGCGACATGGGACTGCTGGGCCAGAATCTCACATCAAGCCCTATCCAGCAAGGGGCAGGATGGAACAATCTTACTGCTTCTAGGCACCAGGACTGTGGCCTCTATTGGTGCTATGGAATGGGCGCTGGTCTACTCTGGAGCCCAAGGCTAGTAGAGTTCCTCTTAGTTGACCCTGCAAAACTGCTGGGTGGCTCTCTGCTTCAGTCTAGAAGTGCAGTGGGTGGTGGAGGGCGTTCAGAGGGATTCTCCCATTCCCCGTGTTGCACATGTCCCCATGGGGAGCATGAATTCCCCTGAGGGCTCTCACTCACTGACTCTCTCCTGTATTGGAGAGGTTTTCTTGGCTCTGCACTGAGCCCAGATGAGCTGGTGCCCAGCTTTGTTTCTCTCTGCTCTCTGTGTCCCCTCGCTGCCTTGATGGATCCCCAGGTGTTTCTCAGATGAACGGCCTGCAGGGTCAGTGTTCACTAGTGCTGTGTTTCCTCTCCCTGAGAGCTGCACACAGGAGTTGCTTCTAGTCTGCCATCTTGGCTCTGCCCCTCCACATTTTGTTCTCTGATTCCTTAGATCTTACATGGCCTCCTGCAATAGAGATAATAAACTATAATATTCTAGACCTAAATTATGAACATGTTTACTAAGTTACTTGTTTGAAATACTTTGCCCACAGCTGCATCAACTGTTAGAATACAACTTCCTAGTGGTCTGTATCTCAGCCTTCTGATGCCTTCCAAAGTAGCAGCAACCAATAAATAAATTGGTGCTAAAATTGAAATACATGTAAATATTTAAATAAAAATACCGTGGTTTTTTAAAATATAAAAACGTCTTTTGACACAGTTTTTCAAAAGGCAAGGAGATTTCCAGAGCAGTTTGACTGATGTCAGACTTAGACATCATAATTCCACAGTTTATATTTGTTAAACGAATAAATGAGGAAAGACAGGGAGATGTTCAATATATGGAAGGGAAGAGACAGTTTCACAATACAGAACTGTAGGGAAGATGGTGGTATTGATAAACGAGCAAATCAGAGTGCAATGAGAATTTAGGCCATGGTACAGGCAGCCACAATGACAGCTATGATCACTTAGTACATCGCAGGTACTTCATATGTACTATCTCTAATACATGTACAATCTCTAATGCTTACCTTACAAGATGTTTATTTAGTACATGTACAATTTCTAACACTCACCTTTCAAGATGTTTATTAAACCCACTCCACAGATTAGGACAAGCAACTTTCCTGAGGTCAAACAGCAATGATGGGGATAAGCCAATATTTGAAGTCAGGCCCATCTCTTCTAAAGCCTGTTATTTTCCATCTACCCTGCACTGCCCTGCTTGCCACCTGACATGCGTAGAAGCAACGAGAGTAGGGAGCATGGAGGAGTGGGAAGAGGATATCAGGTTTACAGCTTTTCAGGATCATTGCAGGCAATGAAGATTTGATGTAGTGACGCCATTTGGGAGAAGATAGTGTGATTTTGTTGATTCGAAGAATGAAACTTCTCTACTTATGTGTGCATATGACTCTAGCAAATTTTTTAAAATTTCTTTTGACCCAAAGTGTAGAATAACACTTGCCCATTCTTTGTAAACAATAAGAGATGATTGGTGGCTACATGCTGGAATGGTTATCTTCCTTCTGCACTACACATCATTATTTGTAAAATCATTGAAAGGGGAAAAATGATAAAGACTCCATATTGTGTAAGATAGTGCTGCATTCAGATAGCTTTGTCCCTTTCTCCAGAAATCAGGCAAGAAAACATGGCTAATTGGAGGGCCAGCAGGCCCATGAAGCCCGCATAATGAATTTCAGGGACAAGGACACATCAGGTTTCACATTCTAGTAAATGGCTTGAGTAGCAGGGAGCCCATGATGTTGTCTCCCTATGTGTGGTGTCCACAGGAACAAGAGCTGTGTGGAGCCTGCCAACATCACACACACGCAGTCTGGGCTAATGTCTGTATTAATTTAACGTTTTGCTGGAATTGCTGTTTAATTTTTTTCCTTTAAATGAGTCACTGCTTTACAAAATGGAAAATCCATAAAATGTAACAAGGACTCTATGACAATTAGTGCCGTATGCCCTTTTTTAATCCTTCTCTGGAAACGGAATTTTTCATGGTTCAGATACTGTTCCAATAATTAATTTGAAAATCTGCCATATTTTTCTGAATTGGTGTTCTTCATTTTTCTCCAGGGAACAAGGTGAGGAACTGCAAACCACTTACCTTTATAGCAACCTGGTGAAAACCACAAGTTAGGATAGCAATGGCAATGTACTACTTCTGCTCTCTCTCTAGGCTAGTGAGGCTCAACAAGCTGTCACTCAGCAGCCTCTGCCTTCATAGTTCTGTCACTGAGAAGAGAATGTGAGCCTCAAACGTCAGTAGTGTGGGCAGATTTGGGAAAATTATATCCAGAATTCTCACAGGTACCTCTCAATTACACAGCTACTAATTTAATCTATCAAAGTTGAAGCTCAGCTCAATTCACTAATTTGACAAGAATTTGGGGGGCACCTATGTGTAAGGCTGGATGCTATTTAATACTATTGTATCTTACTGAAGATACACAAGTTTCTCAAGCCAGAACCCTGGAAGTCACCCTGATTAATAATATTCCCTCATCTTCCAACAGGACTTCCTTTAGCTAGTCCTGTTGATTCTATAGGCAAACCAAATCTGTTATTTTCCCCATTTCTTTTGCAAAAGTCCAAGTCACCATCATTTCTTGCCTGTACTACAGTTGTATTTATCTGTTGATCCATCTGCCCATCTACTCAGCAAACATCGATAGGACAGCCACAGTGTGCCAGATACTTTTCTGGGCTTGAGAGTCATGCTATTGAACAAGACAGACGGAGTCCTTATTCCCATGGAACAACATTCTAAACAAAGAATACAGAACATTTTAAAAACATGGAAAACCCAGTTAGTGATGAGTACAGTAATGATAATAAAGCGGCAGTAGGTAGAGAGGCATCACATTTTTGTCTGGGTCTTCACATTGTGTTGTCTTTGACCTCAGCCTTTGGAAAGGCCAAATAGCTGAAGACCTACTTCGAGGTCATTTTTGGCATCCCCAAACTTGTCAGTAGTTGCTGATTGGGTGATCATGCAGATTTTCAGCATTGCTAACCTCAGTAACAACATCAGTGAGAGAATAAGGTCTATCATTAGAACGTTGTTAGTATTTGAATATTCATTTTATTTTTTTTTATTTTTATTTGTACAAATGTATGGGTACATGGGAAATGTTGTTACATGTCTACAATGGGCAGTGGTCAAGTCAGGGTATTTTGGGAGTCCAACACCCAACTGCAATACATTTTTGTTAAGTATAGTCGCCTTACTCTGCTAACAAATATTGCATTTATTCTTCCTATCATACTGTATGTTTGTACCCTTTAACCCACTTATTTTCATCCTCCTCTCTGACCCCCACTCACTCTTCCCAGTTTCTGTTATCTATCTTTCCACTCTCTATCTCCATGTGATCAAATTTTATAGCTCCCACATGTAAGTGAGAACATGAGATATTTGTCTTTTTGTGCCTGGCATGTATACTACATTTTCTTTCTCTATTCATCTGTTAGTGAATACTTAGGTTGATTCCATATCTTTGCTGTTGTGGATAGAGCTGCAGTAAATATGCAAGTTCAGGTGTCCCTTTGATAAATTTACTTTCCTGTGCATAAATACCCAGGAGTGGGACTCCTGGACTGAATAGTAATTCTATTTTTACTTTTTATCTTTTTTAGAGACAGGATCTTGCTCTGTCACCAGGCTAGAATACGATGGTGTAATCATAACTCACTGTAACCTCAACCTCCTGGACTCAAGCTATCCTCCTGCCTCCCAGGTAGTTAGGACTACAGGCATGAGCCACCATCCTTGGCTAATTTTTTATAGAGATGGAGTATTGCCATGTTGCCCAGGCTGGTCTTCAGTTCCTGGCCTCATGTGATCCTCCTGCCTTGGCTTCCCAAAGCACTGGGATTACAGGTGTGAGCCACTGCACCTGGCCTATTTTTAGTTTTGTGGTTGAATCTTTTGCAGTTTTTATAGATATAAGATCATAGCCTCAGCAGAGAGGGACAATTTGACTTTCTCTCTTCCAATTTGGATGCCTTTTTTCTTTTGCCCAATTGCTCTGGCTAGGACTCCTGGTACTATGTTGAATAGGAGTGGTGAAAGTAGTCATCTTTGTTTTGTTTCAGTTCTTAGAGGAAAGGCTTTTAACTATTCCACATTCAGTGTTATATTAGCTGTGGGTTTGTCATATATGGCCTTTATTATTCTGAGATATGTTCCTTCTATGCCTACTTTTTTGAGAGTTTTTATGTTGAAGGAATGTTGAATTTTGTCAAATGCTTTTTCTGCATCCATTGAGACTATTCTATATACGGTTTTTGTCCTTCATTCTGTTGATGTGGTGTGTCCTGTTTATTGACTTGTGTATGTTGAACCATCCTTGCATCTCTGGAATAAAACTCACTTGATTGTGTTGTGTTATGTTTCGGATGTGCTGTTGGATTTGATTTGCTAGTATTTTGTTAAAGATTTTTGTGTCTATGTTCATCAAGTATACTGGCCTGTAGTTTTCTTTTTGTTGTTGTTGTTGTGTCCTTGTATGACTTTGGTATTAGGGTAATGCTGGCTTCATTTGTTATTAGTTATTCTTTATACCTTTGGTAGAATTTAGCTGCGAATCCATCTGGTCCTGGGCTTTCCTTTGTCGGAAAACTTTGTATTACTGGTTCAATCTTGCTACTTGTTATAGGTCTGTTAAGGTTTTCTATTTCTTCCTGATTCAACCTTAGTAGGCTGTACAAACGTAGTAGTTTGTATGTTTCCAGGAATTTATCCATTTCCTCTAGGTTTTTCCAGTTTCTCAGCATATAGTTGTTCATAACGTCTGTGATGATCTTTTGTATTTAAAATTTATTTTTTATTTTTTTATTTCAATAGGTTTTTGGGGAACAGGTGGTGTTTGGTTACATGAATAAGTTCTTTAGTGGTGATTTCTGAGACTTTGGTGCACCCAAGCGGTATACACTGTACCCAATGTGTGGTTTTTTAATCCCTCACCACCCGTCACCCTTTCCCGAGTGCCCAAAGTCCAATGTTTCGTTCTTCTGCCTTAGTGTCCTCATAGCTTAGCTCCTACATATGAGTGAGAACATATGATGCTTGGTTTTCCATTCCTGAGTTACTTCACTTAGAATAATCATCTCCAATTCCATCCAGGTTGCTGTGAATGCCATTATTTTGTTCCTTTTTATGGCTGAATAGTATTCCATTATATATATATATATATATATACCACATTTTGGTTATCCACTCATTGATTGATGGGCATTTGGGCTGGTTCCATATTTTTGCAATTGAAAATTGTGCTGCTATAAACATGTGTGTGTAAGTATCTTTTTTGTATAATGACTTATCTGCCTCAGCATAGATACCTAGTAGTGAGATTGCTGGATCAAATGGTAGATCTACTTTTAGTTCTTTAAGGAATCTCCACACTGTTTTCCATAGTGGTTGTACTAGTTCACGTTCCCACTAACAGTGTAAAAGTGTTCCCTTTTTACCACTTCCATGCCAACATCTATGATTTTTTTGATTATGACCATTCTTGCGGAGTGAAGTGGTATTGCATTGTGGCCTTGATTTGCATTTCCCTGATAATTAATGATGTTGAGCATTTTTCCATATGCTTGTTGGCTATTTGTGTATCTTCTTTTGAGAATTGCCTATTCATGTTTTTAGCCCACTTTTTGATGAGATTGTTTGTTTTTTTTCTTGCTGATTTTTTTAGTTCTTTGTAGATTCTGGATGTTAGTCCTTTGTCCGGTGTATAGATGTGAAGATTTTCTCCCACTCTGTGGGTTGTCTGTTAACTCTGCTGATTATTTATTTTGCTGTGCAGAAGCTTTTCAGTTTAATCAAGTCCCATCTATTTTCTTTGTTTTTGTTGCATTTGCTTTTCGGTTCTTGGTCATGAAGTCTTTGCCTAAGCCAATGTCTAGAAGGTTTTTTCTGATGTTATCTTCTAGAATCTTTATGGTTTCAGGTCTTAGATTTAAGTCATTAATCCATCTTGAATTGATTTTTGTATTTGGTGAGAGATAAGGATCCAGTTTCATTCTTCTACATGTGGGTTGCCAATTATCCCAGCACCATTTGTTGAATAAGGTATCCTTTCCCCACTTTATGTTTTTGTTTACTTTGTTGAAGACCAGTTGGCTGTAAGTATTCAGCTTTATTTCTGGGTTCTCTATTCTGTTTCGTTGGTCTGTGTGCCTATTTTTCTATCAGTACCATGCTGTTTTGATGACTATGGCCTTATAGTATAGTTTGAAGTCGGGTAATGTGATCCCTCCAGATTTGTTCTTTTTGCTTAGTCTTAGTTGGCTATTTGGGCTCTTTTTTGGTTCCATATGATTTTTTTCATAAAAGCATTGATTTTTTTTTTTTTAGTTCTGTGATGAATGATGGTAGTATTTTGATGGGAATTGCATTGAATTTGTAGACTGCTTTTGGCAGCATGGTCATTTTTACAATATTGATTCTACCCATCCATGAACATGGGATGTGTTTCCATTTGTCTGTGTTGTCTATGATTTCTTTCAGCAGTGTTTTGTAGCTTTCCTTGTACAGGTCTTTCACATCCTTGGTTAGGTATATTCCTAAGTCTTTTATTTTATTTTTTGCAACTATTTTGAAAGGGGTTGAATTCTTGATTTGATTCTCAGCATGGTTGCTAGCAAGATGACTCTCAGCTTGGTGTGTAGCAGAGCTACGGATTTGTGTACATGAATTTTGTATCCTGAAACTTTGCTAAATTCATTTACCAGTTCTAGGAGCTTTTTAGATGAGTCTTTAGGATTTTCTAGGTATACAATCATATCATCAGCACAGTGACAGTTTGACTTCCTCTTTACTGATTGGGATGCCCTTTATTTCTTTCTCTTGTCTGATTGCTCTGGTCAGGACTTTCAGTACTATGTTGAATAGAAGTGGTGAAAGTGGGCATTCTTGTCTTGTTCCAGTTCTCAGGGGGAATGATTTCAACTTTTACTCATTCAGTATAGTATTGGCTGTGGGTTTTTCATAGATGGCTTTTATTACCTTAAGGTATATCGCTTCTATGCTGATTTTGCTGAGGGTTTTAATCATAAAGGGATGCTGGATTTTGTCAAATGCTTTTCTGCATATATTGAGATGATCATGTGATTTTTGTTTTTAATTCTGTTTAGGTGGTGTATCACATTTATTGACTTACATATATTAAACCATCCCTGCATCACTGGTATGAAACCTACTTGATCATGGTGGATTATCTGTTTGATATGTTGTTGGATTCGGTTAGCTAGTATTTTGTTGAGGATTTTTGCATCTATGTTCATCAGGGATATTGGTCCCAAGTTTTCTTTTTTTGTTATGTCTTTCCCTGATTTTGGTATTAGGGTGATACTGGCTTCATAGAATGATTTAGGGAGGATTCTTTCTTTCTGTATAGTTTGGAATAGTGTCAATAGGATTGGTACCAATTCTTCTTTGAATGTCTCATAGAATTCAGCTGTGAATCCATCTGGTCCTGGACTTTTTTTTGTTGGCAATTTTTTTTTATTACCATTTCAATCTCGTTGCTTGTTATTAGTCTGTTCAGAGATTCTATATCTTCCTGGTTTAATCTGGGAGGGTTGTATATTTCCAGGTATTTATCCATCATCTTCATGTTTTCTAGTTTATGTGCATAAAGGTGTTCATAGTAGCCTTGAATGATCTTTTGTATTTCTGTGGTATCAGTTCTCATATCACACATTTTGTTTCTAATTGAGCTTATTTGGACCTTCTGTGTGCTTTTCTTAGTTAATTGCACTAATAGCCTATCAATTTCATTTATCTTTTCAAAGAACCAGCTTTTTGTTTCATTTACATTTTGTATTTTTTGGTTTTTTAAAATTTCATTTAGTTCTGCACTGATCTTCATTATTTCTTTTCTTCTGCTGGGTTTGGGTTTGGATTGTTCTTGTTTTTCCCATTTCATGAGGTGTGACCTTAGATTGTCTATTTGTGCTCTTTCACACTTTTTGATGTAGGCATTTAATGCTATGAAATTTCCTCTTAACACCACTTTTGCTGTATTTCAGAGGTTTTGATACATTGGGCCACCATTATAGTTCAGTTCAAAGAATTTTTAAATTTCCATCTTGATTTCTTTGTTGACCCAACAATCATTCAGGAGCAAGTTACTTAACTTCCATGCATTTGCATGGTTTTGAGTGTTCCTTTTGGAGTTGATTTCCAATTTTGTTCCACTGTGGTCTGAAAGAGTATTTGATATACTTGATATAATTTCAATTTTCCTAAATTTACTGAGGCTTGTTTTGTGGCTGATCATATGGTCTATATTGGAGAATATTCCATGTGCTGATGAATAGAATGTATATTCTGCAGTTGTTGGGTAGAATGTTCTGTAAATATCTATTAAGTCCATTTGTTCTAGGGTATAGTTTCAGTCCAGTGTTTCTTTGTTGACTTTCTGTCTTGATGATGTATCTAGTACTGTCAGTGTAGTATTAAAGTCCCCCACTATTATTGTGTTGCCATCTATCTCATTTCTTAGGTCTACTAGTAATTGTTTTATAAATTTGGGAGCACCAGTGTTAGGTGCGTATATATTTAGAATTGTGATATTTTCCTAGTTGACTAGTCCTTTTATCATTACATAATGTCCTTCTTTGTCTTTTTTAACTTCTGTTGCTCCAAAGTTTGTTTTGTCTTATATAAGAATAGCTACTCCTGCTCACTTTTGGTGTCCATTTGCATGCAATATCTTTTCCTACCCCTTTTTACCTTAAGTTTATGTGAGTCCTTTTGTGTTAAGTAAGTCTCCTGAAGACAGCAGAAACTTGGTTGGTGAATTCTTATACATTTGGCCATTCTGTATCTTTTAAGTAGAGCATTTAGGCCATTTACATTCAATGTTAGTATTGAGATGTGAGGTACTATTCTACTGATTGTGCTATTTGTTGCCCGAATATGTTTTTTTTTCTTTGTGTTATTTTATATAGGTCCTGTAAGATTTATGCTTTAAGGAGGTCCTATTTGGGTGTATTTTGTGGATGTGTTTCAAGATTTAGAGCTCCTTTTAGCAGTTCTTGTAGTGCTGGCTTGGTAGTGGTGAATTCTCTCAGCATTTGTTTGTTTGGAAATAATCATATCTTTCCTTCATTTATAAAGCTTAGTTTCACTGGATACAAAATTCTTGGCTGATAATTGTTGTGTTTAAGGAGGCTAAAAATAGAACCCCAATCCATTCTAGCTTGTAGAGTTTCTGCCAAGTAATCTGCTGTTAATCTGATAGGCTCTCCTTTAAAAGTTACCTGATGCTTTTGCCTCACAGCTCTCAAGATTCTTTCCTTTGTCTTGACTTTAGATAACCTGATGACTACGTGCTTAGGTGATGATCATTTTGCAATGAATTTCCCAGATGTTCTATGAGCTTGTTGTATGTGGATGTCTAGATCTCTAGCAAGGCTGGGGAAGTTTTCCTTGATTATTCCCTCAAATATGTTTTCTAAACTTTTAGATGTCTAAACTTTAGATGAGGAAGAAGAGTCTTCCTCAGGGACACCAATTATTCTTACGTTTGGATGTTTAACATCATCCCAAACTTCTTGGAGGCTTTGTTCATTTGTTCATTTTTTTAAATTCTTGTTTCTTTGTCTTTGGTGGATTGGGTTAATTCAAAAGCCTGTCTTCAAGCTCTGAGGTTCTTTCGTCTGCTGTTAAATTCTATTGCTGAGAATTTCCAGTGCATTTTGCGTTTCTCTAAGTGTGTCCCTGATTTCCAGAAGTTGTGATTGTTTTTTATTTATGCTATCTATTTCACTGAAGAATTTTCCTTTCATATCGTCTATCATGTTTTTGATTTATCTAACTTGGGCTTCACCTTTCTCTGGTGCCTCCTTGAGTAGCTTAATAATCAATCTTCTAAATTATTTTTCTGGCAATTCAGAGATTTTGTCTTGGTTTGGATCCATTGCTGATGAGCTGTTATGATCTTTCAGGGGTGTTAAAGAATCTTGTTTTGTCATATTACCAGCATTGTTTTTCTGGTTCCTTCTCATGTTGGTAGACTATGTCAGAGGGAAGATCTGGGACTCAAGAACTGCTGTTCAGAGGTTTTTGTCCCAAAGGGTGCTCCCTTGGTGTGGTATTCTCCCATTTCCCCTAGGAATGGGCTTCCTGAGAGCTGAACTGTAGTGATTATTTTTGCTTTTCTGGGTCTAGCCACCCAGTGGAGCTACCAGTTCCAGGCTGGTACTGGGGAGTGTCTACAAAGAGTCTTGTGATGTGATCCATCTTCAGGTCTTGAAGCTGTGGATACCAGCACCTGCTCCAGTGGAGGTAGCAGGGGAGTGAAGTGGACTCTGTGAGGGTCCTTGGTTGTGTTTTCGTTTAGTGCACTGGTTTTGTGTTGGTTGGCCTCCAGCCAGGAGGTGGTGCTTTCAAGAGTGCATCAGCTGTAGTCCTATAGGGAAGATGCAAACTTGCCCTTGGGACACCTGGTTAAGTATTCAGGTTTCTCAGGCAGTGGGCCAGGCCATAGAGCTCCCATAGAGCTCCTAAGAGATTATGACCTTTGTCCTCCACTACCAGGGCAGATAGAGAAAGACCACCAGGATGGGGCAGGGATATGGATGTCTGAGCTCAGCCTCTCCTTGGGCAGGGCTTGCTGTGGCTGCTGTGGGGGATGGGGGTGTGGTTCCCAGTCCAGTGGAGTTATATTCCCAGGGGGATCATGGCTACCTTTGCTGAGTCATACAGGTCACCAGGGAAGTGGGGGAAAGCTGGCAGTCACAGGCCTCACTCTGCTCCCACACAGCCCACAGTCCTAAAGACTGGTCTCAGTCCCATCGTGCCCCCTCCAACAGCACAGAGTCTATTTCCAGGAAGCTGGTGACCAGGACTGAGAACTTGGCCCAGATCACAAGCCTCCCCATTGAGAAAACAAGCAGACTCACTTTCAGCATCTCAGGGAGCAGGCAGCGGTGATCCATTTCCTTCAAAGGGTCTGTGGATTCTCTTCGCTTTCCTGGTATATTCCTGCAGTAGTTGTGGGAACAAAAGTTTACCATGTGATTCTCCACCTGGTGCTCTGTCCGTCCAAGCAGGAGCTGCAAGCTAATCCTGCCTCCTATCCACCATCTTCCTCAGTCACCTGATCTTTTGTATTTCTGTGGTATCAGTTGTAAGTCTCCTTTTTCATTTCTGATTTTGCTTATTTGGGTCTTCTCTCTTCTTGGTTAGTCTAGCTAGCAGATTATCAATTTTGTTTATCTTTTCAAAAAAACAACTTTTCATTTAGTTGATCTTTTGTATTATTTATTATTTATTTAGTCTCTATTTCATTCAGTTCTACTCTGATCTTTATTATTTCTTTTCATCTGCTAATTTGGAGTTTGGTTTGTTCTTGGTTTTCTAGTTCCTTAAGGTGCATTGTAGATCATTAATTTGTAATTCTTTTATTAATTTGTAATTCTTTTTTTTTTTTTCTGAGATGGAGTCTCACTCTGCTGCCCAGGCTGGAGTACAGTGGCGCTATCTTGGCTCACTGCAACCTCTGCCTCCTGGGTTCAAGCGATTCTCCTGCCTCAGATTCCCAAGTAGCTGGGATTACAGGTGCCCGCCACCACACATGGCTAATTTTTGTATTTTTAGTAGAGACAGGGCTTCACCATGTTGGCCAGTCTGGTCTTGAATTCCTGACTTCAGGTGACCCACCCAGCCTCAGCCTCCCAAATTGCTGGGATTACAGGCATGACCCATCATGCCCGGCCGTGTAATCTTTCTTTTTGATGTAGGCATTTATTGCTGTAAACTTTCCTCTTAGCATGGCTTTTGCTGTATCCCACAGGTTTTGGTATTTTGTTTCCATTTTTATTTGTTTTTCAAGGAATTTTTAAATTTCTTTCTTAATTTTTTTGTTGACCCAATGGTCAATTGGGTGTATGTTGTTCAATTTCCATGTATTTATATAGTTTTCAGAGTTTTTCTTTATATTGATTTCTAGTTTTATTCCATTGTGGTCTGAGATGGTACTTGATATAATTTCAATTTTTAAAAATTTGTTGAGAATTGTTTTGTGGCCTAACATATGGTCTATCCTGAAGAATGTTCTATGTGCTAATGGAAAGAATGTATATTCTGCAGTTATTGGATAGAATGTTCTGTAAATGTTTCTTGGGTTCATTTGGTCTAAAGTCCAATTTAAATCTAATGTTTCTTTGTTGATTTTCTGCCTAGATAATCTGTCTAATGTTGAAAGTAGATTGTTGAATATGTGCTTCCTCACTATTATTGTATTGCAATCTAGCTCTCTCTTTTGATCTAGTAATATTTGCTTTATGAATCTGAGTGCTCCAGAGTTGGCCCTACCCAACATACTCTATAGTCACACCTCCCAGAGAGGCAGGTGAAAAGACTCCTCTTCCCCTCTTGCCCTCCTGCACCACCTTCCTGACTCCCAGGCCCCATTCATTTGGTGTTCAGAGTTCCACAGAATGTTCTTTTTCCTTTGTCAATTGCATGCTGCCACTCCTCTGCTTAGCATCCTTCCAGGGTTTCCCACAGCATTCAGAGTAGTGCCCAAACTCGTAGCCAAGCTTCCAAGACAATGAAGACCTGGTCCCTGCAGATTTCTCTAGGCAAATCTCAGGACTGTATCCCCTTCACTTATTAATTTCCAGCCCCTCCTCTCTGCACATTCACATGCCATGCTCTTAGTTCAATCTGCCTTATGGCCCATAGCATTCCTTTTACTGGGCTGCACTTCCCTTCTGCTCTTTGCATGTTGTCCAAATCCTCATTTCTCAGGCCTCAGCCTTACCTTTTAAAGCCCTTCTCTAACAACAACTACAAAATGGTGTTTCTATCCCTTAACCTTATGCTAATATCCCCTTCAGCTATTTTGCCCTTTGAATTTCTTTTCTTGTTTGTTGACTGTCTTCCCCACTGGACTGAAAGCTACTTAAAGCCTGGAGCCATGTTGGTTTTCTTTACTGTTGTCACTTCAGCACCTGGAATGATGCCTGGCAATGGAAGGCATTCAATAAATATCCATTGAATAGACAAGAGAAAAAGAAAAAGAAAAAGAAAAACAACAGCAGTCCTTCAAGCTACAACTCAGTAGGGAAAATAATAAATAAATAAATAAATAAATAAATAAATAAACCTAGTAACACATTAAATGAATAGTTTCCATGTACTGACTAGTTAGTATATACCACACACATAGTGTGCCCAACATTTTATTTTATTGCCCACAATTCTATAAGCAAGATATTACTCTCCCTGTATATTTTTCTTTCCCTTTCTCCCTCCCTTTACTTTCTTTCTTCCTTCTTTCCTTCTTTTCTTTCTTTCTCTTTCTTTCTTTCTTTCCTTCCTTCTCTTCTCTTCTTCTTTCTTTTCTTTCTTTCCTTTTCTTCTTTCTTTCTTAATTTCTTTCTCCTTTCTTTCTTTCTTCCTTCCTCCCTTTCTTTACTGCTTGCCTTCTTTCTTTCTTTCTTTCTTTCTTTCTTTCTTTCTTTCTTTCTTTCTTTCTTTCTTCTCTCTCTCTCTCTCTCTCTCTTCTTTTCACAAGATTTCACTCTGTCACCCAGGCTGGAGTACAGTGGCACAATTATGATCATGGCTCACTGTAGCCATGACTTCCCAAGCTCAAGCAATCCCCCGACTTCAGCCTCCAGAGTAGCTAGGACTATAGGCATACACCACCATGCCCAGCTAATTTAAAAAAAAAAAAAGTTTCCCAAAGTGCTAGGATTACAGGCATGAGCCACAGTGTCTGGCCAATATTTTTCAAACTAACTAAGATAAAGAAAACATGGTACTTATATACAATGGAGTACTATTCAGCCATAAAAAAGAATGAGATTCTGTCCTTTGCAACATGGATGGAACTGGTCATCATTATGTTAAGTGAAATATGCCAGGCACAGAAGGAAAAACATCACATTTTCTCACTTATTTGTGGGTTCTAAAAATCAAAAACAATTGAACTCATGGAGATAGAAAATAGAACAATGGTTACCAGAGGCTGTGAAAAATAGTGGGGGAGTGGAGGGAAGGTAGGAATGATTAATGCATACAAAACATACATAGTTAGAAGAATGAATAACAGCTAGTATTTGCTAGCACAACAGAGGGACTATAGGCAATAATAATTTAATTGTACATTTACAATAACTGAAAGAGTATAATTAATATAATTGTTTGAAACACAAAGGATAAATGATTGAGGGGATAGATACACAATTTTCCATGCTGATTATTACATATTGCATGCCTGTATCCAAATATCTCAGGTACCCCATAAATATATATATCTACTAGGTACCCACAAAAACTTAAAAAAACAACTATGAAATGATAAATGATAAATGATTGAGGGGATAGATACACAATTTTCCATGCTGATTATTATATATTGCATGACTGTATCCAAATGTCTCAGGTACCCCATAAATATATATACCTACTATGTACCCACAAAACCTTAAAAAACAAACAACTAAGAAACCAGAAGCTCAGACAAAAAAAAGTACCTTGGCCAAAGTCATAGTCGGTAAGTGGTAGAACCAGGTGTTGGTTGTAGAAGGGTTTGAATACCATACTGAGAATGAAGACTTTATTTAATTGACATCTAGGAAGCACTGAGGGTGTTTTGAGCAAGGTAAAATAATTCTTAAAATATCTGATTAGTAGGAGTATTCATGCCCTGAATTATAATAGCCAATTGGTAGTTTCACCTTTGAAACCTAAATGGAGCTGATATTCAATTTCTCTCTCAGGCTTTGCCCAAGGACTCAATTTCTGATTCTACTCCCTCAATTAAAGAGAATTGGGTTAACTTTTTGAATGTAAAATTCTCCTCTGACACACAAATAATCACAAGGACAATTAAAGTGATAAAATGTCAGGTTAAATGGGAAAGAAAGTCAAACATAATTTCTTCTGAGTGTTTATAATTATTTTGTGGCATAAAATTGTGTTCTGTGCAAAAATTCAGAAACTTTAATTTTTAAGAGAGAAAAATAGCATAATCACTATACTCCCTTCCTAAATGTGTTTTTAACATAACACATTATAATTTATGCCACATTTTTAATATGAAATAATTTTAATGTGTCTGGCCTGGTTCAGTCCTGTTAAACAACAAAAAAGACTGCAAAATGTATTTCCCCATGTGGCTAGATACATTCTAACGTCGTGAAGAAACACATTATGTATATATGTTTTTCTATATTCTCAATTATAGATAGAAATCCAGGCACAAAGAGATGTATCTTTGGGCAACACGATAATTTGTGAAAAGGCTACACAGTTAAACAAGCATTTTCCAAGATTTGAAAAACTAATGAGGGAGTGTGAAAGCACAAAGAAATTAAATTGTAAGCTGTAAGGACTGACTTGAAAATATTAAAGAGAGGTATAATTCACATATAGTTGTGTGACTCTTTTTCCTTAAAAATCCATTTTGATCATTTTCTTATGTCATTAAATATTATTCATGCTGTACAATAAATATATAATACTTCAACATGGGGCTATGCCATTATTGCTTTAACAAAGCTTTCTTTTATATAGCAAAACTCCTTTTCAACTTTTATTTTTTGCTTTTTCAGTTTCAATAATGTAAAAAAAATTCCACTGGGATGAAAAAATATTTTTTATTAATCAGCTTTATTTAGCTATAACTTGCTTATGATATAATACACACTTTTTAAGTTTTATTTCAAGGAGTTTGAATTATATATATACCCATGCAACCATGATTATAGTTAGAACTCAGAGTACTCCAATCAGACAAGTGTCCCTTAGTGTCCCCCACTTCCCTGGCCTAGGGAACCATTGATCTGTCACTAAATGACCTATGCCTATTCTAGAATTTCCTGTCAGTGAAATCACACAGTGTATATGCTTTTGGGTTTGGCTTTTCTCATTCAGAATAATGACTTTGCTATCCATCCATGTTGTTATTGTAACAAGTTCATTGTTGCTGAGTGGCAGATTCACAATTTGTTTATTCTTTCTCCCTTTGGAATATTTGTGTTGCTTTAGGTTTGGGTTGTTTTGAATAAAGCCACTATGAACATTCGCTTACAGGTTTTCATGTGAGACTTTCATTTCTCCAGGGCAAACATCTAGGAGTAGGATTTCCTAGTGATATGGTAAGTGGATGCTTGATATTATCAGAAACTGCCACACTGTTTTTCCAAAGTGGTAACCCACTGAATGTGCTGCCCAACGGTGTATGAGAGTTCCACTTGCTTCAAATCCTTGACAACACTTGGTACGGCCAATCTTTTTTTTTTTTTTTTTTAAGACAGAGTCTCGTTCTGTTGCCCAGGCTGAAGTGCAGTGGCATGATCTCACTGCAACCTCCACCTACCAGGTTCAAGCAATCCTCCTGCCTCAGCCTCCTGAGTAGTTGGGATTACAGGCAGGTGCCACCACACCCGGCTAATTTTTGCATTTTTAGTAGAGGCGGGGTTTCGCCATGTTGGTCAGGCTGGTCTCAAACTCCAGACCTGAAATGATCCACCCACCTCAGCCTCCCAAAGTGCTGGGTTTACAGGCATGAGCCACTGCACCCAGCCTGGTATGGCCAATCTTTTGAATATTAGCCATATTAATGGGTTTGCAGTGCTGACTCACTGTGGTTTTAATTTGCATTTCCTGAATGGCAGCTGATGCAGAGCCCTCTCAGATGCTTTCTTGCCATTTCTACATCTTTGGGGGAAGTGTCTCCTCCAATCTTTTGCCTATTTTTTAAATGGATTGTTTGTCCTCTTGAGTTTTGGGACTTTTTTATATATTCTGGATATAAGTACTTTTGTTAGATATATGTAATGCAAATATTTTTTCCCATTTTGTGGCTTGTCCTTTTGTCCTGTGCTTTTTGTGTTCTACCCAAGAAATTGTCTTACCACCAGAATTTCAATAAACTTTGCTAATTTACCAAGTGAAAATGAATAATATATATTGCAAGTATTAAAATATATTCAGCCTCTGTTACTTTCTGGAGCTGTTGTGAGAATTGAATCGAATATACAAATCGAATATATTTACAGTGTACAGCATGACGTTTTGACATAGGTGTGCAATAATGCCTTCTTATCCATAGTTTTGCTTTCATGATTTCAGTTACCTGTGGTCAACTGGGTCAAAAAATATTTTGCAGAAAATTCCAGAAATTCATAACTTTTACATTGCATTGTTCTGATGAGCGTGAAGAATCTCAAGCTGTCCTGACCCATACTGTCCAGGACATGAATCATTTTCTTGTCAAGTATCTCCACACTGTATACCTAGGTCACAACACCCATTAGTCAACTGCATCGTCTGCTCCTGACATACAGCGTCGGCATCATCATAGCTTGATGATCCAGGATCACCTGAAGCAGCTGACTATCCTGGCATATTGTCAGAGGTCTGTAGTAGCCCTAACACTACATCCTAGGCCTATGCCATTCACCTCACTTCATCTCATCACGTAGGCATTTTATCATCTCACGTCATCACAAGAAAGGTGAGTACAGTACAATAAAATATTTTGAGAGAGACCACATTCATATAACTTTACAGTATTTTTGCAATTTAAAAAATTGTTCTTGGTGGTGCATGCCTATAGTCTTAGTTACTTGGGAGGCTGACGTGGGCGAATCACTTGAACTCAGGGGTTCAAGGTTACAGTGATCACACCACTGTACTTCTGCCTGTGCCACACAGCAAGACCCTGTCTCAAAAAAAAAAATTGTTCTTTGGGAAGACTGCTGTACACTGTGAAATGATTAAATCAAGCTAATTCATATGTCAATGACCTCACATACTTATCATTTTTTTGTGCTGAGAACATGTAAGATCTATTCTCTTAGCAATTTTCAAGTATACAATCTATTATTATTAACTATAGCCATCACACACTGTAAAACAGATCTCTAGAAACTCTTCAAGCTGTCTAACTGAAATTTTGTATCCTTTGATCAACATTTCCTCAGTCCCCTTTCCCTCACTCTTCTCACTTGCAACTTCCATTCTAATCTCTGCTTCTATGGGTTCAATGCTTCTATATATAAGCAACATAATGCAGTAGTTGTCTTTCTGTGGCTGACTTATTTCACTTAGCATAACGTCCTCTAGGTTCATCTATGTTGTCGCATGACAGGACTTCCTTCTTTTTAAAGGCTGAATAGTTTTCCACTGTATGCATATATATCACATATTCTTTCTTCATTCGTCCCTCAGTGCACACTTAGGCTTAATCTATATCTTGGCTATTATGAATAAAACTGCACTGAGCATTGGTGTGCAGATATCTCTTTGATGTACTGATTTTATTTCCTTTGGATATATACTCAGTAGTGAAATTGTTGGATCATATAGTAGTTTTATTTTTAACTTTTCAAGGAATTTCCATACTATTTTCCATAATGGCTGTACTGATTTACAGTCACATTAACAGTGTGCAAGGGTTCCCTTTTCTCCACGTCTTTGACACTTGTTAGCTTCTGTCTTTTTTATAGTATCTATTCTAATAGGTATGAGGTTATATCTTTCTGTGCCCTTACCACATGTATTGTTTGCAAATATTTTCTCTCATTCCATAGGTTGCCTCTTCATTCTGTTGTTTCCTTTGCTGTGCAAGAGCTTTTTAGTTTGATGTAATCCCATTTGCCTGTTACTGCTTTTGTTGTCTGTGCTTTTTGGGACATCCAAAAAATCATTAACCAGACCAATGTCAAGTAGCTTTTTCCCTAGGTTTTCTTCTTGTAGTTTTACAGTTTCAGATCTTATGTTTACATCTTTAATATATTTTGCCTTGATTTTTGTACATAGTTTAAGATAAGAGTCTAGTTTTATTCTTCTGTATGTGGATATCCAGATTTCCCAGCGACATTTATTGAAGAGACTGTCCTTTCCCTATTGTGTGTTCTTGGCACCCTTATTGGAGATCAATTACACTAAATGTGTAGAGATTTATTTGTGAGCTCTCAGTTCTGTTCCACTGGTCTATATGTGTGTTTTCATGCCAGCACCATGCTGTTTTGATTACTAGAGCTTTGCAGTATATTTTGAAATATGGTAGTGTGATGCTTTCAGCTTTGTTCTTTTGTTGCTCAAGATTGCTTTGGCTATTCGGGTCTTTTGTGATTTCGTATGAATGTTATTATAGTATTGTTTTTCCTATTACCATAAAAAATGCCATTGGAATTTTGGTAGGGATTGCATTGAATCTGTAGATTAATTTGGGTAGTATGGGCAATACTACTCCCCAAGTTAACATTAACATTTAACAATTTAATTCTTCCAACTCACGAACACAGAATGTCTTTCCATTTATTTGTGTCTTTTTCAATTTCTTTTTTGTAAATTTCTTTATACAGAATATTTTAAGAACTTTATAATCAGAAAACAAACCTTTATTTTCCCATTTTTATTGCCAAATTGTTGTCCCACTAATTGCTTTGTTTTTTTTTTCACCCCTGTCACCTAGACTGAAGTGGAATGACACAATCTTGGCTCACTGCAACCTCTGCCTCCTGGGCTCAAGTAATTGCTTTTTATCTCTTCATTTTTTCATTATATTTTCTCGTGATTCCAGCCCCGACTCTAGGAACTGGTTTTCATGTTTAAAAGTCCTGCCTCATCCAGAATCTGTTCTAAATATAAGCATTTAATATACAATAAGACAGATACCACAGAATCATGAGGAAATGAAATCAATAAATTATTTTGGGACCACTTATTAGCTATTTTTAAAATTTAGAACCTCATTTCACATCCCAATTCAAAATAAATTTTAGGTGAATTGAAAATCCAAATCTAACAGTGAGGAAAAATAAAATAAATAGGAGCATGGTGTCCCTTATTTGCCACATTCTATTGGTTAAAAGCAAGTCATGGGTCCCACCCATGCTTAAGGTAATGGGTTTGTAAGAGGATGTGGCTCATGAGAGTCACCTTAGTGTGTGTCCAGCAGGTTGATTGATGCCTGCAACAACACAGATGACGCTCGAAATCATTATACTGAGCAGAAAAAAAGAAACAGATAAAAGAGAGCATTTACTTTTATTCTATTTACATATAAACACAACTGTAAATAGTGTTATCCCATTGGCAGGTGTGATCTATCCCCTTCCCTCAAATCTGAGTGGGCTTATAAAAAAGTGAAAAGGTCAGAAGTGAGGCTATGTGACTTCGGAGGCTAGGTCATCAAAGGGCATACAGTTTCTTTCTTGGTCTCTGGAAAGCGTGCACTTGGAGCCCTGAGTCGCCATTTAAATAATCCAACACTAATGAGGCTGTCATGCTGTGAGGATACCCAAACCACATGGAGAGGTGATATGTAGGTGATCTAGTAAACAGCCCCAGCCAAGTCAGCCATTGAGTCAGCTGAAATCAGGCACCAGACATGTGAATAAAGAAAGTTCCAGATAACTTCAGCCCTCAGCCACTGCACTCACTACAGCCATCTGAGTCTTTCCAAATGAGGCCCTAGACACTGTGGAGCAGAAACAAGACATTCTTCATTGTGCCCCTGTTCAAACTCCTGACTTGAATCTGTGAACAAAATAAAATGGTTGTCTTTTGTCACTAAGTTTGGGGAAGTTTGTTAGGCAGTAAAAAATAACTAGAATACCACCCTACTTCAAACCATCATCAGCTCTAACTTGGACTACAGCAATAGCCTTCTTTCTGATGTCCTACCTTCCTCTGCTGATCTGTCTCTTCTCCCTTCTAATAATCCTCCATACGAGAATAAAATTGGAGCACTTCCTACTATGATACTATTGTAATAACACTTTACAGTTTATCATAAGCTATAAATCTATAGTTGTAAAAATATTAAACTATACAAAATTTAAATATAGCAATAAACGTTGAGTGACATAGCCAATGTAATCAATCAATGAATATCTTAATGGGCCAACTACAGGAAAAAAAAAAAAAGCCCACAAAGTGGAATTAAAACTGTGAGCTCCAGAGGTCTAAGGCATGTTAACAGGCAGAGAGATACTAGGAGATGAGATGAGACAAATAGAAAATAAATAGCAAAATGATAAATCTAAAACCAATAATGTCAATTATCACATCAATAATCACATTAAATATAAATGGTCTAAACAACCAATTAGAGGGCAGCAAATTTTAGATTGGATGAAAAAGAAAGACCAAACTAGTTGATGTCTATAAGAAACTCACTTTAAATATTGAAAAAAAAGATGGACCAAAACTAAAAAGATGGAAAAAAACAAATACTATGAAAAGGCTAAACAAATCTGTAATTTGTTAATATTGAATAAGTGGATTTCAGAATAATAAATATTATCAGGAATAAGTGGGGGTATTTTATAATGATAAATATTTGAGTTGGTAATAAATGAGTTTCAAGCACATGAAGCAAAAAAAAAAATATATGGACTGAAAAGTAAAATAAAAAAGTCCACAATTAGAGTTGGAGACTTTAAACATTCTCTTACAATATTTGATAAAATAAGCAGATAAAAATCAAAAGGATACAGAAGATTTGAACAATACTATCACCAACTTGATGTAATAAATTGATAGAACATTTTGTCCAGTAATAGCAGAATGCACAATCTTTTCAAGTACATATGAAACATTCACCAAAATAGAATATATTCTGGGCCATAAACCAGTTTTAATAATTTAAGATATTTTAAATAATAAAAACTATGCCTTATAATGGCTATAGAATTAAAGTTAACAAAAAGACGTATAGAGAATTCCCAAATATTTGTAATTGAACAATTCTACATAGCCCATGAGTTGAATTACAAAGCTGAAGGGAAATTAGAAAATACTTTTAATTGAATGAAAAGGAAAAGACAACATATCAAAATTTGTCAGATGCCATTAAATCAATGAGGGGAGGAACATTTATAAATTTAAATACTAATATTAGGAAAGAAGAAGGGATTCACGAGGATAATCTAAATTTCCCCCTTAAGAAACTAAGAAAGGAAGAACATATTAACTTAAAGTAAGCAGAAGAAAAGATACAATAGAAAACAATACTCCACATAATAGAAAACAAAATAATAAAAATATTAATTGAATCATAAGTTGGTCCTTTGGAAAAAAATTAAAGTGATAAACTGCTAGTAAAAATATCAAGAAAAAAGAAACATAAATTACCCACAAAAAGAATGAAAATGGAAATATTGGCTGGGCATGGTGGCTCAGGCTTGTAATCCCAGCACTTTAGGAGGCTCATATAGGTGGATCGCTTGAGCCTGAGTTTGAGATCAGCCTGGACAACATGGCAAGACCCTGTCTCTACAAGAAAACCCAAAAATTAGCTGGGCCCACCTGTAGCCCCAGCTACTAAAGAGGCTGAGGTTGGAGAATCACCTCAGCCTGGGAGGTCGAGGCTGCAGTGAGCTGTGACCATGCCACTGCACTCCAGCTTAGGTGACAGAGTGAGACCTTATGAGGTTTTAAAAAAAAAAAAGAAAGAAAAGAAAAGAAAAAAGAAAATATCACTACACATACTACTTTAAAATATAATAAAGGAATAGTATAAGTAGCTTTATGCCAATAAAGCTCAGATGAAAACATAGATGAAATAGATACATTTCTTGAAAGACACAAATGCTCAAAACTCACTGAAGAAAAAATAGATGACCTGTATATAAGAAAGAAATAATACCAATATACACCTATTCTTTCAGAAGATATAAGAGTAAGAAAACTCTCCCACACATCTTATGAGGTCATCATTACCCTCATATCAAAACCACACAAAGATATTATAATAAAGTTCTTGGTCAATATTCCTCATGAATGTAAACAAAAAAAAATTCTTAACAAAATTGTAGCAGTCAAATTCAGCAATATATGAAAAGGATAATATAAAATGACTAAGTGAAGTATCTTGGGAATTCAAAGCTTAGTTTAATATTTGAAAATAAATTAAGATGATTCAACAAATTAATAGAATAAATTGTATGACCATTCTAATAGACACAGAGAAAGCATGTGACAACATTCAACTTCCATTTGTGTTAAAAACTCTCGGCAAGCTATGAATATAAGGGAACTTCCTTAATCTGACAAAGGGCAAAGACCTACAATTCCAGTCACTTCTTTTCAGTATTGTACTGGAGGTCTTGGCCAATACAATAAGGTGAGAAATAAAATGGCACACGGATTAGAAAAGAAATATAAAACTGTCAACAAATCTGCAAAAAAGCTACTTGAACAAATTTAGCAAGGCTGTAGGATAAATATATAAAAATCAATTGCATTTCTACATACCAGCAACAAATGATTAGAAATTAAAACTGAAAAATACCACTTACAATAGCATCATAAAATAAAATATTTAGGTATAAATTCGACAAATGTGAGTACAAGAATTGTACATTTAGAACATTAAAAAATTGCTGAATTTTTAAAACGACCTAAGTAAACGGAGATATTTACTATGTTAATGGATCAGAAGATTCAACATTGGCAAGGCATTTGTTCCCCGCAAGTTTACTCTATAATATAATCCCAATAAAACATAATTTCAATAAAAATACCATTGGGATTTTCTTTCAGAAATTGACAAGCTGATTCTATATAGATTTGATAAAAACCTAGAACAAGTAAAACAATATTGATAAAGAACAAAGTTGAATTTTTACTGACTTCAAGACTTATTATTAAGCTACACTAATCAAGATAGTGTCACACTGTTGTAAAGATAGAAAAATAGATCAGTGGAATAGAGTTCCATAGACTCTCCTTGCACATTTACCATCCCTGCAAATTTCTTTCCTAGTATTTTTCTTTACAGAACAATTATTTTATTTCCAGTCTGTCTTTCTCACTGTGCTATAAGCTGTAACCAGGGTCTATCTTGCACACTGGTCTGTTCCCAGGCTCTAGCATGATGACGGTCATGTATTTGGTGCTTACTGTATATGGCTCAATGTGATATAAAGGTTGTGAATCTACAACCACAACTTTAGTATATAAGGCATGTCACATATCTTCATTTTCTTTAAATCAAGTTAAACGGAACCTTAAATCCACACCCTCACTATCTCACTATCACTGTATTTCTCACATGGATAGTGAGAAATAGAATGTTAATCAACATTGGTTGTTCATGGGGGGGGTGAGGGGGTGGATTCTGGGAAGGTATCCTTACCAACTGTTAACCATCTCTTAAATTCTTCAGCTGTGGGACCCCCAAAACACCACTGTAACATCATTTTACTCTCCCATGAGGTCTTCTACCTGCTCCGACCCCAGCTGACCCTAATCTTTGCAGGCACTGCCGTTTCCTCCTTTATACTCTAGGATAAAATAATAAAATAATTTCTTTAAAAAAACATGAGGAGCAGTTTTTGTTTGTTTGTTTGTTTGTTATTGAGACAGGGGAGACAGAGTCCTGCTCTGTCACCCTGGCTGGAGTGCAGTGGCATGATCATGGCTCACTGTAGACTTTTGCCCCTGGGCTCAAGAAATCCCTTCTGCCTCACCCTCCCAAGTAGCTGGGACCACAGGTGCCCGCCACCACAACCAGTTAACGATTTTGTATTTTTTTGTAGAAACAAGGTCTTAATATGTTGCCCAGGCTGGTCTTGAACTCCTGGGCTCAAGAGATTCTCCTGCCTCGGCCTCCCAAAGTGTTGGGATTACAGGCATGAGCCACCGAGCCTGGCCAGAAGAGCATTTACTTCAAGCAACTTTGACACAAGAAGTTACCTGCTAGTGGAGGTTAGGAATTTAAAAATACAGGAGGAAAAGGCCAGGCACGGTGGCTCATGCCTGTAATCCCAGCACTTTGGGAGGCCAAGGCAGGAGGAACACCTGAGGCCAGGAGTTCTACTAAAAATACACACACACAAAAAAATTAGCCAGGTGTGGTGGAGGGCGCCTGTAATCCCAGCTACTCAAGAGGCTGAGGCAGGAGAATCACTTGAACCTGGGAGGTGGAGGTTAGTGAATCAAGATCCCACCATCGCACTCCAGCCTGGGCAACAAGAGTGAAACTCCATCTCAAGAGACAAAAAAAATACAGGAGGAAAAACACAAAATAATATCTCAATAAACTATTCTTCCATAGGGAAAAAAGAAATGAGCACATGAATGAATGAGTGTATGTATCCAGGTCACTAAAACTAGTGATTTTCTCATTATTATAGCCATTTGCTGTCTCAGCCACCATCATATTTGCATATTCATTGTTTACATTCTCTTTCAAAGGCTTCTCCTTGCTCTTAGCATAAAGACCAAAAACTTTGATGAGGCGCTCAAGATTTTACACGGTCTAACCCCAAGCTTTTTGTTTGCCACTCTCCCTCTAACTCTAAGGCAGCAGTTCTGAATTTTGGCTATGCATTGGATTCAGCTGGGAACTTTTAAAACAATACCAGAGTCATGCCTCATCCCCTAATGATTATACCTAAATCTCAGGGGATGGGGCCCAGGTGTCTGCGTTTTTTTAAAAACTCCCAAGTGCAGCCAGGGTTGGGAATTACTGCTTCAAAGTCTCCAGCTACACTGGTCTTGTTTCTACTTACTTCGAAGTAGAATGATTCTTCCCAATTTTTGAAACTAGGTCAGTCAACTTCATTTCTTTTCCAGCTTTTTCCATCATTAATGACTGATCAGTAATCTTCATACCTCAACCCAACTCTCCTTCTCATGGAAGTCTTCCTGTAACCACCAAACCAGGTCAGATCCCCTGTTCTTTGCTCTCATCACACCTAACGCATTTTCCCCAGAGCATGTACCATGGTGTGTAATTATTTATCTTCTATGATTTTTTATTAACATCTCTCTCCCATGTTAGATCGTCAATCCCACGAAGGCAGTGAGTATTGGGGCGTTTGTTCATAATTATATCCAGAGCTTAGGGCATAATAGGAGAACAACAAAATTTTGCACAATGAACACAAATGAAAAAATCAAGGTGTGAATATGAATTCATACATTCAGAGGAATGTATGAACATACTGGGAGTATGTGATCAAGTATATACTACATAATAAAGATGAGAAATGATATTCTGTTTTTTTGGGTGAAGTTTGAAAGACCTTGAAAATACTTTCACAGATGGTAAATTGACAAGCTTAGTTGTCAAATATTTTCTTGCTTCTAACATCTATACCCAACAACTTTAGTGAATAATTTCAGAATTTATGAGAAATATTTAATATTTTAATTATTTTAGTTTAATTTTCCAACTTGAATGAAGAAAACTTAGTCTTGTGAAAAGAGAGAAAGAAAACCTTGGCATGTGACTGAATGAAGAAACAAATAACTTTCAAAGACTTACAAACTACAGTATTTGTACCTGGGTGCAAAAGTCATCCCCACAAGCACCAAAAACACGTCAAAACAAAATTAGAGTTTCCTCTTCAGGAATTTCTTAGGGGATAGAAACAGAAATTCTGGCATGTATAACATAGCATTTTGATCATTTATTTACTGAAAAAAAAAAATATCAGTTCAGATGTGCTGCGGGTTTTCAGTGAGGTCCGACTTAATCTGACGTATTTCTTTTAGAATTTAATAGACTTGTCAAAAAATCCTTTATTAAGAAAGATAGAATTTTCCTTCAATATGTTTTCTTTTTTCTTTAAGGTGTGTCGGTATTAAAGGACTATAGTTCATAAATCAAACTCTAAGTATGAAAAATATTTAGCACTATTTCTCAACAACTTGCAGGATAAGAAACTGCCCAGATGATAAAATTATAATTTAGAGATTGAGTCATTATTTAGCTCTTAGGGTGTTTTTTCAATAATTAATCATTTAATTGCCTTCCTATGTGACTTTCCTAATTGTAATGCCTGTGGTAGTTATATTAGAATATGTAAGATACCATTTGGTTTATTTTAAAGATCATGGCTGGGTGTCTCTGCTCTGTTCTTTGCAGGGACTAGTATATATGTATTTCACCATGGCACATTTAAGGATAAGCGATATTTGTTAAATCCTTAAACAGCTGTTTCTAATGTTCTGCCCTGTGCATTGTGTTGATTAGCGGCACGTGGCATGGCGATCACACATGGTTCAGAAGAGAGGCTTTCAGAGGCCCTCACCAAGTTCCCCAACACTCGCCTCAATCACAGATGCTCGCCGACAACGTTTCTTCAGCTGTTCTGATAGCTTCTTTCCCCCTCAGTTGACCATTGAAATGGCTGATCTGTTTGCATTGATAGGGGTCATTTAAACAACAGTTATGAGACAAACATTATTGAGTAGCTATTGTGTGTCCGACACTGCATGGAGCCCTGGAAAAGCAAAGGTAATGCATTCAATGTTTTCAGCAAGGAAAAATAATTCTTTGATCACTTAATTGTTGGGGGTTTTGTTGTCAAGGAGTTCATCTTTACCCACATGGCACCTTTGTAGTAGAAGAAAGATAACATTCGTTGGCCATTTATTAAGTGCCAGGTTTTTTTTTCCTTAACAAATCCAATTCTATGCCTCAAAGCACCGCTCTGGGATGAGAATTTTTTAAGCTTCATTTTGCAGATGGGAAAACTGGGGCTCTGAAAGGTTAAGTCACTTGCCTGTGAGTGAGTGGCAGAACTTCACCAAGCTACCTAGGAACAAGTCCCTGGATACTAAGAACTCAGAACAAATGGCAGAAAATGAGTCCACATATCCCTTGCTGAAGAATTGCTCCCTTAGAGGGTCAAAGCAAAATATCACGAATATTAGAGCAAGCAAATTTTGTGACATCAGAGCATAGGGAGAAATAGATGCTTGTGCAAATAGGAGAGGGGTAAAAAAATCCCTTATTAAAAACCTCAAAAACGCAATCACCCTTTCCAAGTGCCAGGCATTAGTAATTTGCTCACCACCCTTCCCTGCAGGCCTGTATGTTTTAACACAACCAATTCTTTTGTATTGCAGGCATGACACCCATTTTTCTGCTACTCGGACAGAGTCACTTAACAATGATACGATGCAAATATTTGTCCCCGGGTGCTAGGCACACTGTATTTCAATCTGAGATCCGTGAGGAGCAGCTTATGAGCCACTTCTAATGGCATTGAGCATCTTCCTCCAATCTACATTCACATCAGTTCCATTTTCAAATGAGTCAAATGGGAAGCTGAAGTTAGCCAGTCAGAGCTTAACACCTCTGATTTATGGTCAGAAGTATCTTAATAGGATCATTCATTTTCCTTTGCTCGTTCAGAACATCTGATGTTACAAGTTCCTGGAAATGTTCGTGTATCCTCTGGTTCTGCAAAAATATAATCTTTATCTCCAAAAGTGACCTTCAAATGAGCAGGAAATGAAAGCCGGCCGCTCTTTCTCAGTCACCTTGCCTTGCTTTATTGATGTGTCATAATGGAAATCTTGAGAGCCAGGAATCTCAGAATTATTATGATATTTTAATCTTTTTAGGTTAAGTGTAAATGTGAAGGTGTAGGGCAAAAAGCATTAGTTTAGGCTTGGCTTTATGAAGTATTTCTTTCTCGCCCTTTTTCTCCTTGTTCAGTTGTTTTAGAGAGTACGTCTCACACGCAAATCCTCAGTTTCTGGGCTTTCATGAACTTGGTCTTCACTTCTTATACCTTCCTCAGTGGCTTGATTTATGAAATTGGTTGGAACAACTTTAAGCACCCCCTTACCTCTCACCCTTTATTCCCCTTCTCCTTTCCTCACCTCAGCACCTCAGCACTAGATCCTTTGTTTCTACTACATATTTAAAAAATATTGCCAAACAAACAAATCTAACTGCACTCTGGTTATTTGTCTCCATTCTCACAGGAAATTTGTGTATTTAAACACCTGCTTTGTTCAGTGTGAGACTGCACATGTCAGGATACAGAGGGCTCCAGGCCCCAAATACTCCAGTTTTCTAAGTAGCTTAGTGTTGATCATGATCTTGCACAAAAGCTATGGTCTTGCTATTATTCTACTTCTTGATGATGAGCTTCCAATCTCAAACCATCAGAGTGATCTTTTTACAACATGCATCTCTAGAATTGGTACTCTAACATGTTCTTTGGTTGAGATGAACCCTTAGTAATGGTTCTGACTTGCTTTACCTAGGGTAATAATTTATCCTCCTGAGGCAGAAATAATTGCTAACTACTCGAATCTAAATGAATCTCAAAGACAATAAAAATTAGGACAAAGTAGTGAATTTATAGAGATGTTCTAGTAAATATAAAAATAATCTTTCTCACATCATGATTTCTTAGCCACAAGATCACCCCAAAATAATTAGTTTTAACTGTGCACTGAGCTTGTCTGAGACAACCAGATTTTTTTTTTTTTTTTTGGTCTCCTATTACCTAATATGTTCTTTAGGAAAGAAAAACTGTCTTGGCTTTTTTAAATTGCTAAATTAATAAATTCTCACTGTAAAAAAAATCAATACAGTAATACACAAAATAAAAAATAAAGACTGCTTACCAATGTCACACTCCATAGATAACCACTTAAAAATTTAATTTCTATCTTTCCAGGTCCTATATAGAAAAGTAGATATATAGGTATAATATTCAGTTACATTTAATAAATATATAATGAACGAATATTTCTATCCTAATATTTGTAATATTTCATTGGCTTTATAGTTTGCATCCTTTTTCTGAAGGCTGTATACTGTGGCAATAACACCAGAAGGACTACCCTGGAATTGGGGGGGCTGACAGCTGTCCAATTGGCCTGTACCGAATGGATTGAGCATCCGACACATTACATTTGAAGGCCTCAAGGAGATATTTTATTATCAGATTTAACAGACCACATACTCTTTCCTTTAGGGAGGTCATAAAATTCCCAGATTATGGGAGCAGATCTTGTGCTCAATTTTCAGTTCTCTGTCTTAAGCTTGAATTCTTTTTTACTGTACTAAGATCTGTCAATGGAACTTTGGTTAAGTTCCCTCCTGTGGCCAAAGACTTCTTTCCTACATATTTGTTTTTATAATAATGTGGTTGTTTTTAAAAAGATGGACTTCCCACCTAAAATAATACAATAAGGGTCATTTTTTTGTTGCTGAAAATATCTATCTGAGCTAATGAGATTGTTAATATAAACTGATGAAGCCAAAATGTTTGTGATAGTTCAATAATAATCATAAACCCAATGGGAAGTTTCCTCGGGGTAGAAAAGTACCTCTCGTAATAGATAATGAACTGTAAAGAGGAGAAGAGCCTGGTTCTGTCTCCTTTTTGTTGACAAAAAAGGGAGGGAGATGACATCTTTATATGTTAATTTGGCATAAAAGTCAAGTCCAGGTAGTGAAGGCGAATCCTAAGTCTTCCGTTTCAAAAACATTTTACAAACTAAAAGACACGTCAGCAGGAAAGACTGTTTGGGGCTTTATTTTCTACTGGTAGCCAGTTTTGGTTAGGTGTTCTGTTCCACAAAGTAGGATTTCAAAATCTCTGTTCCTCTGGGCATACAACTGTCCTAGTCCAGCTACTTTTGGTCAGCTCCTTTCTGTGGTTAGAAACTTTCAGTTCAAAACAGTCACACCACAGCTTTTTTTATTGTCCTCTTTTTCCATTTTATTTCTACTGACTATAATCTTAAGGCATTAGACTCCGTTGCTTGCCTTCCCGTTGTTAATGTCCACTAGAATCGGTCAAGTTTCTCACTTTCCCATAAATAGGGACATAACAGGAATCTGGTTTAGTTTCGCTTTCTCTTTTCTCCTCTCTTCAGAATCAGAGTCAATAGTCAGCAGTTTGCACTAACATAAATCTTGTTATTGTTTATACCAACTCCCCCTTTCTAATGCTATTAGAACCACGGTGGACATAGACCCCAGAGATTTGCTCATCTTAAAGCTCTAAAACTGCACCACTTTTATGACAACAGTAAAACCTTGAGCTGTCACTTCACCCCTACGACTGTTATTCACCGTGATTACTGGCATTTCTTTCTTGCTCATTCCCTCCTGCTCCCATCCCCCATTTGATTGTCTGAAAAAAAATGTTTGGAACAAATAAGGTAACAGAGGAATGACTAGCAATTCTTAGTCGAGCTTTGTAAAACTCCAGGGCTTCCTGTATGGAATCTCTGTTCTGTTTGTGATATATCCATGTACACTTCCCCCTTCCGGAAAACTCATCCCATTATTCTGGTGGGTTTTAATGTGGCTCTGGAAGTGAGAGGGATAAAGAAAAGCATGGCCGCCTTCTTCCTAATGATGAAATGGCTGTGTCCGGCCAGGAGATTGCACTAACTGCATGACAATTTGACCTCACAGACCTAGGTTCAAGGCTGACCACCACTGCCGCCAGGTTATAAGTTTCGGTCAAGATAGTAGCTTCTCTGTCCTTCAGTTCTTCACTGAAAAAAAAGTCAGGTCTACCTCACGGAGCTGCGTTGAGGAGCAAATGAAATAATGTATGTAGAAGTGCATCATAGGCTTGTGAGAACAGAGTAAATCTCCAAAATTAATAAGCTTATTGATTAAAAGAAAGGAGGGAAAATGCTTTGGATATTCAAAAGAACTAGAACTCACCTGCTCAGGCATTTAAAAGTTACAGTCAAATGGTCCTGTGGTCTTTGAATTTAAAGACTGATCTTTTAGAGCATACCTCTAAAAAATTGGAACTACTTATTATTTATTTTTAATTTTCAGTTTTCACTGTGTTGTAGAGTACGAAGGTGGTGTTATCCTCATTTTAGAAATGAGAAAAATGGTATAAAAATATGTAATTTGCCTCGGGACCCATATCAAAAGCTTTCTGACTTGACAGCCAAGATATTTGTCGCACAGCCTCCGGAGAAAGGGGAGGATTTATGTGGGAAGTCCATCCTGAGAAAGGTTACATTTCCTCTAATGTATGTTCATTTTGCATGAACACTTTGCTCTATCCCGGAAGTGTATTAATGGTGTCTTAAATTTTTTCTGTTGTTTCTCTATTAAAATAAATCTGTTTTTAAAATGTTCAGTGTAAAAATACATCGAGAAGCAGCATTCATAAACAGAGAAAATAGAGCAGAGAAACTTCCTAAGTGCCAAAGTCAGCCACACACCTTCAGATTGAAGCTCCCTTTTCCATTTCCTTTTTCTTCTCTACAAGTACAAGATGTGCAAAACATGAAGTTTAAAATGATGTTTATCTGAACACTGGGATGGTGACAGTAGTGTTAGAACTGATTCTTTCCATTGAGTCATAGAAGAACTCCGTTAAAATCTACTGTCCTGCCTACCCAAAAGGATTTTTTTTTTAATGTTCACATTTAAAATTTCACTTGGAGCAATGCTTTGGCTCATTTTTTTAAACAAGTAAGTCTATATATAAACAAAATAACAATCTGCAGGATGAATGAGGTGAATAATCTGTAGACTAGACATGTCTGCGAATTTCTCCTCATTTTGGTCTCTGAAACTGTTGCAGAAATTACTCAGCCTAACTTCAGTTTCAGCCTAACTTCTGTTTCTCAACCAAACTGAAAAATGATTGACCTCAGAAGAATAATCCTGGATACTTCTGATTTACAAGTGGGCCACTTCCGAGAGTCAGTATATATGTAAGGTGTCTGAAATGTAGTATTTACTCTTTCCCTGACAGTGTTTTTAGGAATGCGGCTCAGTTCCCCAACTGGTCTGCAAAAACTTCACTGACAGTGAATCAGGAGATCTAATTTTTTTTATTTAAAAATTTTTGTGGGTACGTGGTTGATGTACACCTTTAGGAGCTCTAATAATATTCCAAGAGCCACAAGCACTCCAGCATCTCACACATCTCTCTGCCTCAGTGGCATCAGCTTTAAAGGGAACAGACTCAGAGGACAACAACTCCTTCACAGAGCAGGTGGATCAATATTTTCGAGGTCCAGTGACTCTGTTATTATGTTTGTTAGATAAAGTATTCCTCTGAATGGGTCACTTTCCATTATGACTAAGAAATGAAGAAATGGTGCCCAGGAACCAGGGGTTTGGGGTTTGCTTCCTCTGATAACTTTTTCTGCATGTAAATTGTTAAGTATTTATTTCTTGGAGAATCACTGTTGGGATGCCTAATCACCATGATCACAGGGCACGGGGATACATGTGAATATGTTGGAAGATGGATTTGCACAAAAGAAGAGTTTCTGAGATTTAGTCTCTCATGAGCAGTTCTCATTTTCAAAACAGAAATAATGTCCTAGGACTTTAAAATGGCCTTTATTGGGCTGTTTGTAAGCCAAATCACCTAAAAATCCCTCAAGTTTGACTTGGGAAACAAACTTTAATCTTTTATTTTGGATTGAGAAAAAATATATCATTTAGTGTCTTATAGAAACTTCTTTGCATTTAAATAAAGGAAAACATATTCACAATTTAACTTAGACGTTATGAAGATTTACTTTCAGCAGATGGTTCCTAAAAGAGGATGAATTAAAATTTACTGGTCTCCAAATGGATATGTAAAGTTAAACACTGGTTTTACATAACCTTTTAGTTAAAAAGTAAAACTTGAAGGTTTAGTCCAAATATCTGAATGGAAATAAAGCCTTACACTCAAACCCAACACCCTCTCTTTATCAAGGACCACGGATATGGTGTAAAGTCCTTAAACCAAAAAGGAAATTGATCCCTATGGCAAAAACAGCAGAATAAGTGAATCCTATTATTAGATGATTATCCTATGCAAGATTTGGAATATATGCCATTATATTTACATTATCGTTCCTTTTAGCCTGCCAGCATGCCCGAGCTGGCTTCCTGTCAGTCTCGGGGATGACTTCCTAGGGGCTGGGGGAGGTGGGGCACATGGCCACGTATGAAGTAGTCTTATCCCAACATTCGGATCTTTGTGTTTCAGAGTATTAACCAGATTACAGGTCATAATCTGTAAAAGCTCCCCTGCTAGTGCCCTGTTTGACTTCTTTCCAGATGAAATCTCTTCAAACAAATCCTGGATCACAATGATACCCTGTTTTGTGCTTGAAGCCAAAGAGAAAAAAAAAATATGTGCATATAGAACGACAAGTATCCGCCAAGGGTAAAGAGCTAGATTGATGAGGTTCTGCATCATCTCTGGAAAAAAAATTGTTCCTGTAAAAGAAGCCAATTGCAACATTTAGGATGAAGTAATTCATCTGGTGATTCTTCTTCCGTTTGAACTTTTCATTTCCTTGGGCTTTTTTAATGGATGCCCAGTTTGAATGTGTCTAGATAAGGACATGACTTATTTATTGGCACTAAGAGCTTTTTATAAATTGAATATGATTTATGGATTTTTAATATTCCCTCTAATTGTTTCTTTACATGAGTTACCACTTTTTTTAAGAGCCAAATTTCATTTGCTTTATGACAGCACATGAGTGAATAAGAAAATTTGGGTTTAAATAAAAAGTTATCCCACTTGGCAACCCAAATCTATTGTCTAACTCATAAAACACTACTGATGGGGATACCCTATTATTTTTAAGGGGTTCATGAAATGGACAGAATTCAACTGTCCTCGTTCTCTGCATGCAGACAGGATATTTATGGGAAAGTATCTAAAAAAAATAGCTTCCATTCTCATTGGAGAGGTCTGGGGTAAAGCTGCTGTAATCAAGCTTGCTTGTTAAATGCCCTCAATTTTTCAGAAGCAATTTTCTGTATCTTTTACTAAGTTTTTTTTTTTTTTCCCAGAGATATACTTTGTAACTCAATCAATGTTTACTAGCATTCTTTCGCGGCTTGGAACTTGCTTCTAACATCATTTAGTAGCTTGTAACTTGCTTCTAGATCAAATAATCTGTTAACATCATTAGAATAATTCCAAGGAGACTAGCCTGCAAAAGAGGCCATTGGTCTCTAGACGAATGTCCTTTAGACTGGAAAGTATTCTCTTCCTTCCCAGTACATCCCTTAGCTGAACACCACACATGCCCACACCGGGATGCCAGTCTGCATGTTATCGTCGTCTACTTCAACCCTTCCTGGTCCATACCTCCTATGTTACTACGTTCCTATCAGTAAGCAAATTCCAAAGATCTTAATCACCTTCAGGTAGAGCTTTGGGCTTCCTCTAGCTCTGATCAGTGTGGCACTGAAGCCAACAAGCAACATAAGACAAAGCAAAGTGAAGAAGCTGCCACCCCAGGAGAAGAGTTTCCCCTTCTTCTCCATTAAGTTGCCAAGGTGTTTCCTTTGCTGGGACCTGCCCAAATCTCCAGGCCCTAGACCATTTCCCCAAACTACAGCCCATGCCTCTGCAGACTGTTCCTTGTGTCCTACTCTGTTCTCTGGCCAGGTACGGTGGGAGGCCAAGGCGGGTAAATCACGAGGTCAGGAGTTTAAGATCAGCCTGATGAAACCCCGTCTCTACTAAAAACTACAAAAATTTGCCAGGCATGGTGGCAGGCTCCTGTAATCCCAGCAACTCTGGAGGCTGAGGTGGGAGAATTGCTTGAACCCAGGTGGCGGAGGCTGCAGTGAGCCGCGAGAATCGCTTGAACCAGGGTGGTGGAGGTTGCAGCGAGCCGAGATGGCACTACTGCACTCCAGCCTGGGTGACAGAGTGAGACTCTGTCTCCAAAAAAAAAAAAGTCTTTTCTTACTCCATCTAAATTTCACTTTTTATTAATACTTTTCATGAAGTGTGATTTACACATATAATACAATTCACTCACTCGAGGTATATAATTTAATACATTTTCATAATTATATGTAGTCATGAAACCACCTCCCCAATCAAGAGATGGAACAATCCCATTCCTTTAAAATGTTCCCTTGTGCCTCTTTATGGTGGATGCCTTCTCCTGACTCCCAGATCCAAGTAACCAGTGACCTGCTTTCTCTCACTGTAATTTTGACCTTCCCAGAATTTCATATAGGACTCATACTTTATGTACTCTATTGTGTTTGGATTATTTTACTTAGCCTGCTTTTTTTAGATTCATCAGTATAGTTGTTTCTCTTGTTTTTTGCTCAGTATATATCACAATATATTTATCTATTGACTCGCTGACAAGAGTCATGTTGATTTTGCTCCACATATTCCATTTCCTCCGACACTGGTTTGAAAGTGAATTCCTTGAGTTTCAAAATGTCTGATCCCAAAACTGAGCTAATTAAACACATCTGTATTGAAATGTAACAGAAAACATCCAGAGAAGCGGAAGGATCCATGGGGTCCTCAAAAAGGAAGGATATTTTCTTGTACTGATGCTCTTTGGGAGATTAATTATTCACGTGTGGGAAATTCATGCCACATTGGAGAGGTGTAGTTTATTCAACATTGGAAAGAACAAAGGCACAGCATGGTCGTTTGTCTCCTCTGCGGTCTCCCTTGATTCTGGTATCTTTTAAAGGTAAACTTAATTTTTCCCTCCTACCTTATCTGCCAGCGTTCCTGAGCCTTGTATCTAGTAGAAGTCTGTTTCTCCTAACGGCCACTTAGATTACAGGTAAAATGTAGTCAGGAATTTCTGCAGTTATTTAAATATGTAAGTCCCACTACAGTTCCTTCACATACGCCCTTGAGTGTTTAGTTTGTTTTCTATCTACCTCAATGCTGACATTTAAAAATCTGATGATCAATTATTTGAAAAGAATTCTTGTTTGAACTTACAGGTCACTTTGTTTAAAAAAAAACTACTCGATCTGAGTTGCTATAGTCATGACGTCTGCAGTGGTTTTCAAGTTGTAGTATGCATAAAATCACCAGAAGTAGCTTGTCAAATGTGAGGGCCCTGAGCCTCACCTTTACAGATTCTGATGAGATATAAGGGTTATAGCATAAGAATATGCATTTTGTAAGCACCACAGGTAATCCGAAGTGACTGATATATAGTTTTCACATTAAGAAGCCCTCAAATGCTAAAGATTTGATACAAAACGCTGGTAAAACTTATTATTTGGCCAGCTACATACATTAGTAAGGACTTTTTCACTTGAAAGTGACAGGTATCCAAATCAAACTGGTTTAAACAAAAACGGACATATATTGACTCATATAACTGGAAAGTATGGGGGTAGAACTGGCTTCAATAAAATATAACCATCTGCTAGCTTTTGGAGGATGTCATCAGGTCTTGATTTCTCTGTCCATCTTCTGGATTTGTTTTCCTCTATGTTGCTTCTTTTAGGCAGACTCCAAGAGGTGGCAAGACAGCCACCAGTGGTTCTATGTTTTTATAACATCTTCTCAGGACTTCATTGGAAAGACAACACTCCTACTACTGAGTTCCCATTGGACTAAATTGTATCACACCCCAATCCCAAAGACAATTTCCACGGCCAGTGGGTAGAATGCTCTGAATGGCCAGGCCAGAGTCAAACTCCTCCTCCTCCAGCCCCCAGATGAGTGAGTATGTATGTAAGTGTGTGTGAGCATATGTTTGTGTGGTTTGGGAGGTGTGGGGAATGGATGGTTCCAATGAATTGGAACACATCCCATGAATTGACTATGGAGTAGGGGTGATTCCACCCTCCTAACAAAAAAGTCAATATGTTGGCCATGGAAAACAGCCCAAGTCTACTACATTACACATTTCACATAAATAAATGTTAGTAAATTACTGTTTCCCTCCAACTAGCTATTCATGGACAATCTTAGATTTCTACCTCCTAGTGACAGAGCAGTAAAGTAACTTGTTCTATATATGGCTTAGGCATACATGCTTAATAAATACATTTTAATCTTGATAATTAGCATTGTTATGACCAAGTAGCTTTTGGAGAGCTTAGCTATTCAAGAATGGATGGAGGACCCCAAACAAAACTGTTTCTGAGAATTAGAGCCTGTTGGATGGTTAGGATTACATTTTGTTGACTTGCGCTTTGAAATTCATGACTTAAACTGACACCACTAGCTGTGATGATGGAGTGATGAATTATCTTTAAGAAAAAAATATCTGCTAAAACCTCATCAATGAGAGGTAAGAGATAAAGGAGGAGGAATTAAAAAAAAATGAATAGCAGAAATAATTGATAGAACCCAAGTAAAGGAGATGACGTCTAAAAGCTGTGTGTACTAATTAAGCCATGACTATGAAAGTGAGATGATTCTGTGTACATAAATGTGGGCAGGTAAGAGGAGGGGGTGATGGAAATGAGAAATCAAAACCTTGCTTTCCATTAGAAAGACCAGACCTGGTATTCCTATAGGCACGAGACCTACAAATGTAAATCGGTTTTATCAGTAACATTACCGTGTGGAATAACTTCATAAAGTCTCATCTAGGAAGACGTTTAACCAATTTATGCTGCAAGTTGTGAAAATTTGTGTGAAAAATCAGACCTTGGCTGTGACCTTGAAGAGTAGGATATAAATAACTCCTACAAGCTTAGCGTTCCAATAATGGAACACTAAACATAAATGGCTTAAGGCTAGGGTGAGCAGTACAGGAGAAAAAAACCTAAACAGTTGTGTTAAAGACTGGCAGGAGATAGAGAGCTAATGACTCTTGATGTCAGTTTTCTATTATTCCAAACCAAATGTGTCTCCTTTGTGAATTATTTCTAAGCAATGACAATTCAAGGTTCGGTTGAATATTGAACATGTGGGGCCCTCTTCCAGGCCTGCAGGCTGATATAGGTTTCACAGGACCAGTGTATATATATGGCTTGTGACTCAGCAGATTCAGGAAGTAGTAACAGACAGTTTTTTGCTTATAACTCATTACCAATGCCTCTGATGACCTAAAATTTTAAACCAAAATGTCTAAAAGTGACGATCTTCAGCTCAGAATAAATAGGACTCAAAATAACTTGATTTCTTGGTTCAAAATTTGAAAGTTCAAGATATATGGTTAAAATTTGGTGGTGATATTCAAAAAAATTTTCCCAGGGGAATGTATTATTCTGTCAGGATTGCATGTGTTTAAAAAATACACAGTATTTTTAAAAATTGTATAATTATATATAAATGTATATTTAAAAAGTTTCCCCAGTGGATACTACATGGTATTATTGTGGATACTTATGTTTTGTTTCTTGGTACTTTTTCTTAGATGAATTGACCATGTATCCCATTTGGAAAAAGCAAGTTCAGTAAAACTATAGTAAATTAGACACCAAGAAAAAGACAAAAGACACGAATGTGACTCTAAGTGATGTTAAGGTCTAGATACAGGATGACATCAGCATGTTGGCAAGAAAGGGAGATACGCAGCAAGGCGAGACTGTCTGATGTCCTGCCTGGGGTGGAACAAATGAAGGCAAATACAAAGCTACAGCAATAAATACAACTGTCTAAAACGTGCCCATCATGGTTATTAGTACATTTATTTTCTGATGCAGAGGGGCCTATTTAATATACACAATTCATATTTCACCTTTCTCTTTTTCCTCTTACGCTTTCGTCTGTGTCAGCCCTGCTCTTGCTCTGACCTTCCACCCATTCCAGGAGGATTCATCTGACACTTGTGTTCTGTAAAAACCTCCTCTCTTTCAGGGCTCCTTTCTCCTCTACTTAACTGAAAGTTAGCTTTTACTTGACCATGAAACCTTCCTTATTACTCGCTCAATGGCTTCATTTACAGATAATGGGTTTTGGGTTTCTCCAAGATAGCAGGTCTGCAACAAGGGCTTGCATTCTGATAGGATATTTTAGGAAGCAATCCAGAGCACAGGGTGGGGAATTGGAATAGTGACTCAGGTAGGAGGGAAAGCCAATACAAAGATGTGTTATCAAACTGATCACTGTGATGGACAGCTGAAGTGCAATCCATCTAGGATGCTCTGAGGAACCTTAAAGAAACCATCTCCATTGTTTGCCTAAGGGATGGAAGAGGGGAGTGCTTATCCACCAGCTAAGTGTTGGTCAAGTGTTGTTCCAATCAGTCTTAACTCCTGGTTTTTAGATCACCCATAAGTGAGTGCCACATCAGTGCATCAACAGAAAAGCTCTGGAACAGAAGACAAGAGCTGAGTGGTGTAGTTGAGCTGAGATGCTGTCTGCTTACACTTATTTGAAGCTGGTTGCTGCAGCAATTCCTGCAGTAAGCAGTGGCTCGAGAGGATATGAAGAGAGGCACATGAAGTGTCCTATACAAAAGGCAACTGATCCCCTGTAACAATTGTTACCCAGTCAACAATCGTCTTCTGGAATCCATGACAGCTCCCTAAACCACTCTCTCCCTCACCTCAGCTTCCAAGATGCTGCTCCAACTTCCTCAATTATGGTGGCACTAAAGCCTCCACCTTTCTCTATAACCTGGGCTCTGTCACTATTTTTTATGGCTTCAGTACACACAGTGATGACCATGTAACTCACTGGCATCACAATTTCTCATCTTCTTAGTCATCTACCAACTTCAGTGACTCTCGGCACAGCCATACCTGTGGTAACAGAATCACCCAGGGCTTCTGTACTTATGAAGCTTGAACACAGGAATTTATTCTTTTTTTTTTTTTTTTTTTTTTGAGAAGGAGTCTTGCCCTGTCGCCCAGGCTGGAGTGCAGTGGCGTGATCTTGGCTCACTGCAAGCTCCACCTCCCAGGTTCACGCCATTCTCCTGCCTCAGCCTCCCGAGTAGCTGGGACTACAGGCTCCCGCCACCACGCCTGGCTAATTTTTTGTATTTTTAATAGATACGGGGTTTCACCGTGTTAGCCAGGATGGTCTCAATCTCCTGACCTCATGATCTGCCCGCCTCGGCCTCCCAAAGTGCTGGGATTAAAGGCGTGAGCCACTGCGCCCGGCCCCGAACACAGGAATTTATAGTGATTATTTTGGTACACAACATTTTCCTTCCTTGTCCCCTCTACTCTTCTCCTTGTTCTGTTGTGCCCTCTGGTGCTTCCCTTCTTCCCAGCCCACGTCCTAGCAACTCTGTTTTGATTTGCTTTCATACCTAGCTTGGACTTCTTGAAATGAACAACCATGTCAATAATATATAGATATTACCTTAAAATCCTACACCACTTTTTCCTACTGTCTGCACTCTTAGTTCTGTGTCCTTGGTTATTATCAAGATGCTGGGGGAAATTCTCAAAACCATGATACCACACTCAGCTACAAATTCACACTCTTTCATCTCTGCTTACACACCAATCTTATTTATGTGTTTTTGAATCCCTGTACTAGTGGATTCCTTGCTTGCCTTTTCTGCATTCCCTAAACTTCAACCCGTAATCTTATGTACTCATTCTCAGTAGAAGCCCTTTATTTCTACTTCACTGAAAAAAAAAGCAACATTATGACATAAGCCACCTCAACTTCTCTTATTTTCATCTCAAACTTTGTAGCCTTACCCAGACTCTCTTTGCGTCTGTCTCTGAGGGAAAATGAGCTTATTTCTCGTGGGGCAAATTCTAACCTTCAAGGCTGTGATATCAAATGAAATGCAACAGGTCTAATATGAGCTTGTTATTCAACTATCTCTGTCGGCACGTTCACAGTCCTCTACGCTTTAAATGGCATTTCTCTTGGATGTGTCACCATCACGCTACACCAATCCATGGCCCCCCACAACGCATCCGTGTATGGAAACAAATCATATTTTCCCTTCTGTGCCCTCCTGGAGGAGTCCTTTCATGCCCACCTGAATCAGAGCCCTGGCCTCCTTGCTGGTCTTCGAGATGCCGTCACATTCATTACCTCATATCATGTCTTTCATCAATCACTATGGCAGTGTTCAAGGATGCAACCTTATATAGTGTTCAGGACCTCTGTAATCCAGCTCCCCACACACCACATGCGCCTTGCACGTCTCCATCGAGTAGGAGGAGTATGTTTCTTAGCACATGCTGTATCCATTACTTGGAACATTTCCGCCCTTCCTTTGGATCATCCACATTCTACTCATTCTCCACAAATTACATCAGTTTGTGTTCATCCTTCCCTTCTCCACATGTAGATCATATATGTAGTCTGGAGTATATTAGACTATGCACTATTTTTATGATTCATTAATTCTTTGTTTTTGTGGCTTCTCTTTAATGAGGGAGTCTGCTCCTTAGGAGCAGAGACTTATCTTATGTATCTTTTATAGTCCCTACAATGGTGGCCACTTATTAAGCACTTACTATGAATATCCTTTGACTTCATTTCAATGAGTCAGAGCTTTCTGTTTGAAAGAGGAACCTACACATGTGCAGCTGAATCTCAAATAGTATAAACCAGCACTTTGGAATTCATAATTGGAATGAATTGGCATGATGAAGATTATCTTCTTATTTTTCACTGAATGTTGGTTGTGAATGACCGAGCTTGTGTGAGTCTTGGACCGTGGGGCTCATTCCTAAATTTACAGTCCCAGCTAAGCACAGTGCCTAAGTGTTCATTCAAAACTATGTCGATGATAAAATATCACAAATATAGCCTGTGTCTACACATCATAAATGCTCGAATTAAAACATGACAATATAACTATCTAAAAACATAAGATCTGACTTTTTAAAAAGTTTATAGAGCTGTTTGACAGCAATAATTTTGAAATTTGATTTAAATATTTGGATTTTTTATTAACAAGATAAAACAAGAATTTTACGGCTCGTATGCTTATGGATGTTTAAGAGTCATAAAAGCAGAAATAATTTAAGCAAACAACACTGCAAGTCTCTTTGCTTTTAAAAAGAAATTTGAGAGCCAGGTGTAGTGGCTTGCACCTGTAATCCCATCTACCCCAGAGGATGAGGTAGGAGGGTTACCTGTGTCCAGGACTTCAAGGCTGCAGTGAGCTATGATCAGGCCGCTGAACTCCAGCCTCAGTGACAGAGAAAGACCCCATCTCAAAAAATAAAATGAAACAAATACAATGGAATTTGATAAACATTGATCTAGTCTAACCTCTAGCCCCATGCAGGACTCTTCTGTAACATCCACATCGTATTCCTCAACAATACTGCCCTCCATGACAGGAAGCTCAGCTCCTCTCAAAGGCACCAACTGTGTTTGGAGTCTGATTCCATTTTTTCAGGGAAATTGAATTTTATAGGAATCACACAAATTTAAATGCCTAGAGACCAGGCACACACGAATTTAAATGCCTAGAGAAATGATGAAAGCAGGCCAGTGTAATACAGTAGGGAGTGGTGGGGGCTGTGGGGACCCATGGGTGCAGGCCTGGCCTCGGGAGAGTGGGTGCTATTCTACCCCAGGGGCATGCTCCCAGGGGAATCAGGGACCCATGTCACCAGCACTTCTGTGACTCAAGAGAAGCTGAAAATCCAATGTTTATGTGAAATCTTGGGATTTTTCAATGTGAGCAACTAATTAAAAGGTTAAATAAGATACTACGCGGAGGGTGGTAAATGAAACACATCTATGGACTAAATCTGTTGTGTGGCCCTTTAGTTTTTATAACTAAGGATTTTAAATCCTGTCTTACAAACTCACCTCTGGAAAAAAATATACTAAACTCAATAAAAAATGTTAAATATCTAGGGCTATTTTTCTCTATACTTACCCCAGTCTTTTAATATTCCTTGAGTCTTTTGAAGCCTAATACAGTTAGGTTAAAAAATCAGTTACACATATCAATATTGAGAGACTCATGGTTTAACAGTTTCCTTAGCGCAAAGGATCAATTTCTTTTATGAGGCCGGCCGCGGTGGCTCACGCCTGTAATTCTAGCACTTGGGAGGCCGAGGCAGGCAGATTGCTTGAGCTCAGGAATTCAAGACCAGCCTGGCCAACATGGGGAAACCCCGTCTCTACTAAAAATACAGAAAATTAGCCAGGCATGTGGCACGCACCTGTAGTCACAGCTACTCTGGAGGCTAAGGCAGGAGAATCGCTTGAACCTGGGAGATGGAGGTTGCAGTGAACTGAGATAGCACCACTGCATGCACTCCAACGTGGGAGACAGAGCAAGACTCTGTCTCAAAAAAAAAAAAAAAAGAAAAAAATTCTGTTATGATTGTTTTGCTTACTTTTGGTCCTTTGTTAAATTTTCATGTGGCAACCATACCTAGTATTCTCTAGTCCTCCGAGTTTTACATCATAAGCAAATTTGATAATCATGGTGTCTATGCCCTCATTTAGATCATGGATTAAAACTTAGCTAAGCTTTCCTAGACCAAGATAATCGATTTATGGTAGGCCACTTGTCCTACCATCCTGACCCCCAACCAGTTGGCATCCATCCCTGAGTCCATGATCTTTAAATCTTTGGAAAAAATTATTCAATCTGCTGAAATCATTATATTAACATCCAACCTATATTTCTCTTTCTTGATAAGAAGATATCAAGGCTGAGTTTGTTAGTCTGCTAAAATAAAAATACATCGTCTAAATTATTGTCCTCATTTACCAAGTTGTTTCCATTTAAAATGGAGCTGAGGTCAGTGCTACTGGGTTGCAGAATTCGGGGGCTTTGTTCTTCTTGTCTTTTGCTCAAAAGGCAACCGCTAAGCATAACTCACATACATGGAATACAATATGGCTGGTTCCCCTGGAGCTGTGTAGCCCTGCGGCCTGAATGAGGTTAATTTGACGATAATATTCTCGAAGCTTCTCTGCGTCTCTGCTAGCTCCTGGCGATTATGTTCATAGGCCAGACTTCAACACAAAACAAAAAAATCACTGACTAACAATTTGGTGGCATCAGATGTCAGACATACCTCAGAATGATTTCCTTTGATAAATACTTTGGTAACATTTGAAGTTATAGAAGTTAACTGTAATCTGGTTATAGAATCAATTTTTAATCTTAGTAAATGCTATGTTACCCTAGAGAAAATCTAAATATTGGTGGTTTTCCATATATATTATTCACTTACACTTAATCAACATATCTACTGTAGTCAAGATGATCTTTTAGAGCAGGGGTTGGTAAACACTCTTGTAAAGGGCCAGATAGTAAATAGTTTAGGCTTTGCAGGCCTCCTATGGCCTGTCACACCTTCTTTTTACTCTTTCTAGCAGTTATAAATGTTTTGATAGCTTGTAGTCTTATAAACAGTAAGTATCATCTCACTGTCTTATGTTTTCTTCTCGGCTTTTGACACTATGGGCATACACTGTCCTAAGTAGTTTTTAGGTATCAACTCATCAAATCCTCACAATAACTCAAGGAATAGGTACCCCTATTGTCTCCATTTTTTAGACTGGAAAACTAAAGCATAGTATGGTTTTGGGGTGAGGGGTTCAGTAACTTGCCCAAGTTTAGGTGATGATTTTGCTCTTGCAAAGAATTTCTTCATATTGTATCTTATATACATTAGAGGGTGTAAATAAATGCAAAATAGTTACAAAGAATTGTTGTTTATTTCTATAAAAGGTAAAGTAGCCTCTGCCTTTGACTTTTTTTCTTTATACCACAGAATACAACTGTGGAAGTGTGTTTTCACTATATTTTGGAAGGATAAACTGGTATGAAAATATTTTAAATAGCATGCCAAAAATGTCTTCACTGTGCCCAAAATGGACAGAGTCCAAATGTTAGTTTAAATTTCATATTATCTACCCATCTTCCCAGAAGAATGTGAAAGATGTTATTGTTTAAGTCACGTAGTCTTTCTGAATAATCTTTTCTTTGTAAACAGTTGGCAATCCCAACTCTGGATTTTTCCATTTAATGTTCAAGGGAAGCTCATTTTTAAGATCGTTTTTAATCAGCATATCTGTCATCTTCTTTTTTAACCTTGACTTTGCCATTATTTTCTGGTACTGGTGGTTATTTGACTTGAAACTTTAAACTGCTGATCACTTTCCTCTTTAACACTGCCGTTTCCTATTTAGTAAGACTTGCATTTCCTCCACATTTTCTCTAACACTGAAAATGAATGGTTGTTTCTAAAAGTTGTAATTTTTACATTAACATTTTTTCTTCTCTGAATTAGTGTTCTTCTGTCAGACAATGGTAGGGAGCTGATGAAGGGTGTTATTTATGTGGGGAAATACAAAAATTAAAAAAAGAGAAAATAACATAATAAGTTTTGTTGTGAAACAAAGGCTTGAAACAAAAATACCTCATAAGGACTCTAACCATGGGGTGAATAAAGAGAAGGAGAAGGGGAAGAAGAGACTGTGTGGGAAGAAGCAGGGATAACACTAGAGATGTCCTCACCAAGTCAGAAGTTAGAGGACAGTCAGAAGCAGGAGACCAAAGGGTTTCTTCAAATTTAAATAGAAAGCCATATCCAGGTACCTGTAAATCCAATTGCTAAAAATGCCTCCAGGCCAGTCCACTGACCCATGAACACGAGGACAGCTTGATAACAGAATGTTTCATACAGAATGTGTGTATGATACGCATTCGAGAGGAAGACCCGCGGCCAGCAGGAGATGACCATATTAAAACTTCTTTTAAGCAAACAGGTATTCACATTTCTTAATCTTTCTTGTGTTAGTTTTCCTTTCTGTGGGCTATTGTGCAAATACCTCTGTCACCCCTAATTGTCCACTTTTTTTTATATATATTGCATTTAAATTATTTGTCTCCTACAAGAAACTTAAAATTATTCTTTTTCAAGAGGGTTCCCCTTACCTAGAGATGATTTTTAAATATAAAGCAGCATAATGAAAGAAATCACGTGGGATTTCAAACCTAGAATCGTTTTTTATTTTAATGTGGACAAAGAAAATGGGCTAAAGAATTAGAAGATTTAGGTACTATTAAATTCAATCCATGAATCTTAATTCACCTATCAAATGTTAAGCATTCTTTCAAGTTTGAAAATAAGTTTCCAATCTTGGTTCGTTAATTTTACACAAACTAAAATTAAAATAAAACATGTTAAATACCTCAAGAAAATTCAGTTAAAAACCTGGAGTTTTTTTTTATATCATCACAGAAATGCAATATATGAAATTAAAAAAAAACCACTTCTGTCCCTAGTTTTCATGGCTTTAAACCTCTGACAGTGTTAAACTTTTAAAAACTATCTAATTTTAAGTATTGGTTTTCCTGACTTGATATTTTAATCTGTAAAACTGCATGTTATTTTTGGCATGGTAATCTAATCAATAGGACAACTTTTGCCAGGTTACAATAATTAGAAAGCATCATTTACAGTAGAATCAACATTAATTTTCTACAATGTAAATTGAATGTATGAAAATAAAATATGGTGTACAAGGAGGATCAGAGCATGGGGTGTATTTATTTATAAGGTGCTTTCAAATCAACTCTTAAGAATGATTTAATTGCCAATTCATTCAAGAACCTAGTTGGTTATGGTTTTAATGTTTTGATGTTCAGGGACAGATTTTTCCTAGCCCCTGAGCTGGTATATATTAAGCAAGTTTCACATGGAAAGGCTCTAAGCAGAGCGTTTTCACATGGTTCACTGCAAACATTGTACGGTGTCCAGTTCAGCACTTGTCCACTAGGAAGCATTGCCAGTCACAACCAGTGAGAAAAAACCTGCATGCTTTTCCACACTGCAACAAACCATTGATTGTACAGAAAGTACTGTCCTAATCGGAAAGGCATGCTGACCTAATCTGAAATGTAGATGGATGCCTGGAAGGTAAATACATAGATATATCTAAAAACATTGACTCATACAGAATGTTACTTATGTGTTAGACACTGGGAAGATTTTTTAAAACCTTTTATTGAAATATCATGTACACGCAAAAAAACTAGGTATAGAGCTCCATGAATTTTTACAAATTATACTTGTAAAATCAGCACCCAAATCAAGAAACAGAATATTATCAGCACCCCTGAAGCTATTCATTCTTCCACCTTGAAAGTAACCCATTCCTGTCCCCTAACAGCATAATGTAATCTTGCCTGTTTTGAAACTATTTCTGTAAATTGAAACGTTACGTATGTACTATTTTGTGCGACTTCTTTCGTTGTTGAGATTTAGCCATATTGTATGGAGTTGTGTTCCTTTTCTTTCTCATTCTATCATGAATATACTCTGATTGATTTTTCCATTCTACTCTTGATGGGCTTTTGGGAAATTTCCAGTTGGGGGCTTGCATACTGTGGCCATGAACATTCTTGTGCATGACTTTCAGTTAACAGATGTATGTGAGATAAAATCCACATTCCATGATCTGGCATTCAAGTCTTTAAAGTATGACTCCTGCTAAGCTTGCAAACCTGAGTCTAATTTCCTGTTGCTTGCTTTGCTCTGTTGCTTCACCTCTGCGGCCCACCACAACCCCGTCTGCTCTCATCGTGCTCCATTCCCTGCATGAGACAGACACGCGTGCTCCCACTCACCTACTAGAAACTACTGATCTAGAATGCCCTTTGCTTCCACGCCTGTGAAATTGCGACTGATTTTCTCCTCCATGAAGGCTGCTTCTTTCCTCCCTTCCATTTGCCCAAGTCACATTCACCTTCTCATCTGTTTTCACATCAATCATCACTAAGTTCTGGGGCCACCTGGCTACATGGTCCCCTAGATGTTAGTTTATGTGTCTAGCCTCCCTGCTTCTTCAAGGTCCTCAGGGGTGAGTGAGGATCGAGTCCGTTCATATCTTCAATGTTGGACATAGATGCCCAGTGAATATTTATTGAATGTATAAAAGAATTTATTATAGCCGAGGAGGCAAAAACAGGCTTTCTTCATAGTGGAATATGAAGATATTACTTTTCTCATTTCTTATTAATATGATCAAGTTTTGTTTCTTTGCTTATCAGTATTTTTTAACTAGGTGTTTGCAATGATAGTACTTCTGTATATACTTTAAAGTGCCATCTCTTTGCAATTATGATGTCCATGAATATGAAGATTTGCTGGGATACAGTGAGACTGAACAATAGGCTTTGAATAAAGGATTATAGACAAAATTCCTGAAATCAAATTTATTTTAAAACATAGAAGCACAGAGAGTTCCAAATGGAGTGTGCATCAAGATGTGCACTCTCTTCATTGCCACTCTTCAGCCTTTGCCTGCTCCTATTTCCATTCTGCAGTGTGTAAAACTGATGCGCTAAGCTAATTATGCAGGAGTGAGGTGTGATTGATCATAGTGTTTGTTGCTTTTGGAGAAGTCTGGAAAATACCCTCAAAATCTGGTATATTAAAAAAAATTCATGTACATTTTAAAATTAGAAATAACGTTAAAAATATAATGCCTGGGCCGGGTGTGGTGGCTCACACCTGTAATCCCAGCACTTGGGGAGGCTGACGCAGGCGGATCACAAGGTCAGGAGTTCGAGACCACCTGACCAATATGGTGAAACCCTGTCTCTGCTAAAAATACAAAAATTTGCCAGGTGTGGTGGCACGCGCCTGTAATCCCAGCTACTTGGGAGACTGAGGCAGGAGAATCGCTTGAACTTGGGAGGTGGAGGTTGCAGTGAGCCAAGATCTCACCACCAACCGCACTCCAGCCTGGGCAACAGAGGGAGACTCCATCTCAAAACAAAATTATATATATATGTACACACACACACACACACACACACACACACACACACACACACATATATATAAAGCCTGGGTAAAACAAATGAAAACCTACAAATAAATCTTCTCTGAAATATAAAGCCCCAAATGATTCATAAGCCCTTTTATAGAAAATAAAAAAAAATTGTAAAGGTATCAATTACTCATAAACGTATAAATTCGTCACCTTTTCCTTAAGGTATTTTATGTGGACACAGTCATCATTCAAAAATTTAGCTTTTAATTTAACCTTTAAAATCTAGGAAGGCTGATTTTTTTTAAATGCTGTTATAAGAATACATTATAAAAACAAGATAGTGGCACTATTAAGACAGAAAAGCCTCCCTGAAGTGCTTGCAATAATTAAGAAAATAACAATGCACTAGAAAAACTTAATTTTAATTTTCCAAACAGTTTTACTCTTACAACATTCCAGATTTTATCAATAAGTTCTAAAGAACAGAAATGTGCTGAACAAAGGGAAGAAACACTTTCAGACAAGTTGCAAAAAGAAAATAAGGATTAAACACTTTTCACACTTTGTTCAAAAGTGTGTATTTTGATTTTGTTCTTACTTAAATAATGCTAAATTATAGTATGAAGCCTACATTAGTAACTATTCTTCAATAGCCACATTATCCAGGATTACTGGCATTAATACTAAATTAGCATTAGCTGGCTGCTATTGTTTATAATTTTTTTTCCACTTTTTGTGAGTTCCGTGAATCTAAACATTGTGTGATCTCCCTCTTTCTCTCAAGGGACATAATGTTTTACAGTGAAAATAACTGCAACCCAGAAACCTGCAGACTTAAAATCAAAATGTGATTTGCTACCAAGTGGCTTTGTGACCTTAGACAAGTCATTCAGTTTTCACTGACTCTTGTTTAAAGGGATTGGGCTGGACCTAGGGCTGTGTGAGGTCTTTTCCAACTCTAATATGAAATGACTCTTTTCTGGACCCGTGTTAAAGAGGATTATGCCTTATAACATACCACTATTCCAGACTCAGCCCTTTCTCTAACAGTTTTGACTTAAGAATCTTCTAGTTGAAAGTAAACCCATCTCAAACAGCTTTAAGCTAAAGAAACACTTTATTGGCTCACATAACTGAAAAGTCCTGGAGTAGATCTAGATTTTTGAAGTCTGGAGGGATCAAAGGGCTCCAAATGTGTCTTCAAAATCCAGGTCCTCAAGTTCTTCTCCTCCACGCTGCTTTCCTTTCACTTGGCTTCATTCTCAGGCAGGTCCTCTCCATGTGGTGTTCTCTTGTAACTCTAGGCTTGCCTCATCTTTTTTTTTTTTTGAAATGGAGTCTTGTGCTGTCACCCAGGCTGGACTGCAGTGATACAGTCTCAGTTCACTGCTACCTCCACCTCCCAGCTTCAGGCGATTCTCCTGCCTCAGTCTCCCTAGTAACTGGGACTACAGGCACCCACCATCACACATGGATAAATTTTGTATTTTTAGTGGAAATGGGGTTTCACCATGTTGGCCAGGCTGTTCTCGAACTCCTGACCTTTAGCGATCCACCACATCAGCCTCCCAAAGTGCTGGGATTATAGGCGTGAGCCACCAAGCCCAAGCCCATTACTGTTTTTTGAAGTGAGAAATAAACATTTGTTCATTAAACAACCGTGGCAGCTATGGAAGTGTGACACTCAGATTGCAATTGGCTAATCTCCATCTGCAGTGACTTCAGGATCCACCACAGCACCCTAGCTCAGACCACACTCTTCCTGCACAGCCCCATCCTCACGACTGAGCATGGCAGGGTTCTAGGGCCTGATATTTCTGCCCAATGCTGTGCTCCTCTATGGGCAATCTTTGATTGGAAACTTCCCATTGGGTTGGCCAAGAATTGGTTAGGTCTGCATGGCAGTCTGAGGCTCTCCAATTTGCTTCCTCCCATTTTCTCACACACTTTCAGAGTACATCTAAAAGTCTGAAAGCTTTCCCTGTCTAATCCCACTTTCTTGCCCTGTATCTTTCACAAGTGTTACCTCCCAGTTAACGTCGTGCATTCCTGGCTCTGTCTCAGCATTTACCTCCTGGGTGACCTATACTGGTGGTAAGATGGGCTTTCAGGCTGGGTCATTTGGCACTCATCTAGCAATGAGGACCCCATTGTGGGTGGTAAACAGAGCACACATAGTTCCTGGCACGAGGTGCTGACCCCACTGCTCAAACCTTCACAGGCAGTGACCTAGGACAATGTTGCAGTGGAAGGGAACATCGTGCTTGCTATAATGATTCAGGACTTTGAAAAAGGCTGAGTAGGAGATGAGAGGGGAATAATGCATACAAGGGGAATAATGCATACAAGGACAATAAAGTTGGTTTGCTGTTATTAGATCGAATTGAAACCCTGCAGAAGAATAATGAAAAGCTAAGGGCAGTTAACAAACTGAAAACTCAGTGAGAGGTCCCGGAGGCCTCTTTGGCAGCTTAAAAAGCAGCCTTTACCTTCAGAAAAACCTGAAAACCAACCTCAGGGCTTGGAATCCCTGAGCTTCAGAGATGATGAGATGCTTAGTAGAGGCAGGACTAATAATCGAGCACCAGTTGGGAATATGAGAAAGCTTGAATATTGGATAGGGACATCTGAGTTGATATCCTTAAAGAGTTTGGTTTCCCAGATTCCTCAGAGCCTGTGTGGGGAACCCATTCATCCCTGTTAAGAGCTAGAGCTCTCTGCATGTGAGGAAACACTGGGAGGGCTTTCTTCCCAGCAAGGCATCCGGGGTGTTCACTCAGGGTTTATCTGCACTTCTGGCTGCATGTTGATACCTAGGATTGAGTTCAGCATAACCCACATCTGCGCTGGCCTGATTACAGAGACAGCAACTGTGTCCAAAAGTTGCTACAAAAATTAGTCAGCATCTACCAGCAGAAGCTGGGAAAGTACTCCTGGGATTGGATTTTGAGGTTGCTTGACAAAGGAGACCAGAACATAAGATTGGATGAAAGAGAGTTTATCGACTTAGGGGCACTCTCTTGGAATATAGGATTTCACCCTGGCAAGGACCTCAGGTACGTGATATATAGCCTTTGATTTAGCAAATATGCTGCTTTTGATTCTCATCAAGAAAGGGGAACAGAAAAAGTCCACATCTATATGGTATGGAGAGCAGAATGCATTCACAGTTTTGCCCCAGGGCTATGTTAACTCTGCCATAACATAGTCCTAAGTGATATGAACCATCTGAAGAGGCCTCAGAATATCATGTTTACCCATTGCATTGATGATATTATGCTGATCAGACAGACAAATTGAGTAAGGCACATGTACTACAGAGGGAAGGAAATAAACCCTTTGAGGATTCAGGGGCCTGTCACATGGGTAAAGTTTTTACGGGCCCAGCAGTCAGAGACATGCTGAGACGTTCCCTCTAAAGTAAAAAACAAATAAACATACAAAAAACAAATTGTGGCATCTTGTATACCCTACAGGAAAGAAAGGAGCACAGTGTCTGGTAAGCTGCTTTGGGTTCTGTAGACAACACATTCCGTACCTAGAAATACTCCCTCAGCTGAAATATCAGGCGACGGGTATCAGATGCACACTTCATGTCCAAGCAGCCCCGCTGCTCAGACCACATGATCAGGCAGACCCTATGATTTTGTTTAGTGATGGGAAAGGATACATTGGCTTTTAGGGAAAAGCCCAGTTGGAGAATCTCAATGCAGATCCCTGGGATTTTGAAACAAATCCAAGTCATCTGCAAAAGAGAAATACACACTTTTTCAAAAACCATCAAAACCAATAGAGATGATAAGGGAGAAGGAGGAGAATGGAGTGGAGAAGGGAAGTGAATATCAGTTGCAAGAAGGACTGCCTTCGGAAGAACAACCCTTGGGAAGCCTGCAGGGCTGCCCCCTGAATATTTATGGAGAAGTAGATCCAAATGGCACAGGAATGGCCTGTGGCCGCCAGGGAGGTGTGCTAGATGCCATCTCTCCTTAAGAAAGAACCTGCTACTCAGCTGTGAGGAGTACAGAGGGTTGACAGCTTTCTGAAGCAGTATCTTTGGAGTATGTTACAACTTTTGAACCAAGGCCACACTCTTCCCTGATGGTCCTCAAACAATGACTGTACATGATGAGGGTGCCAGGGCCAGCCACTTCTGCCAGGCGTGGGGGAGTTCCTTTAATATGCTATGTAACTCCCTACTTTTCCAGCGTCTGAGTCTCTTTGCTCAATTCTGTATCCTCCCCACTTGCCTTTCATAAATCTCAGCTCTATGTCTGGTCTAAAAAGCCTTCTCCCCAAATCCTCTTGCACTCCTGACTCCTGAACAGACTGGGGTGATAAGTTAACCTCCAGGAGCCCTTTCTTTACTATTTTTCACATTTGTAAGAAAATAAAATGTAATCATTTTTGCTGTCTTCCAGTTACATCATGCAACAGGTCTCTTTCAGGACAGTTTCTAATTACATGGTGAGAAGGGCGTCCACTCCATGGAAGGGCAAGTATTCATGTGAGAATTATGGCCTCTTTTAATGGTAAGCATAGTTTTGCATCCTTAACTCCTGTTTCCTACATCATTCTGGAGTTAAAGTCTCAAAATATTACTTGAATTATTTGTTAGTCTCTTCCTCTGTCTCAACAGTACCTTTGTAAGAACTTTAAAGTCATTTTCTTTCACTGGTATTTAACGAATGCTGATTTTAAGGGGGATCTAGTTTCTTTTTTTTCTCATCCTCTTATTTTTTCTTCCGCTGGTATTAGTCTTTTCCGTTGCTTTTATTAAGCTATCTTTGAGTTCAGAAGGCTGAGAGATTATTTTCTTTTTTAAAGAAAGCTTGCCTACCAGCCAGTTTTATATTTTTCCCCAAGAACTCAACAGTCTAATCTTTTTCCCATTTAAAATGAGAATGAGTTTAGCAAGAAATTGACTTGATGTTAGGACAGGAGCTCCGGGAAGCTCTAATCTCAGTGACAGCCTTAACAAACCAATCCCGCTCTCTGGCCTCGTACATATTGAACAGGACCTGTTCTTTCTGGCCCTCCAGGTAGGAAAGTAAGCCTCTAAAGTAAACTGGCGAGGGCTCTCTATTCACTCTTTTGGTTTGTTCTTCTGTACTTTCAGGATCTTGGGTCTTTGCAATATATTCCCTACCCTTTTAGAAGCAGAAGAATGTAAAACAGGAAGTGGACTTTGGTTGCTTTTGAAATGTTTGCTCTAGTTTTACTATTAGGGCAGCTCTCAAACCAGTGACATTTAGAAATTTCTTGAAATTCGAGTCTTTAAAGAAATATTTTGTTTTTGTTTTCTCTTTCCACAGGAAAAAAACTAATGACGTACATTTTGTGGGCTAGGGAGAGGGAGTCTTGCCTCAGAGAAAATAGTATTATAATGATCTGTAACATTGCTTATTGGTTGTATCAGTAAGTATCCATGCCAGTGACCCTCAGACTTTGGAGTACATCATAATCACCTGGAGAACATCTTAAAATACAGATTTCTGACCCCACTCTCAGCATGTTTTATTCAATAGGGGAAGGCCGAGGATTTGCATTTCTAACGAGTTCCCAGGTGATGATAATGCTGGTCCTGGGACCACTCTTTGAGAACCACTGATCTATGCCATTGCTGTCAGAACCCAGTAGGAGAAAAAAAAAAAAAGCTCAAATTTCTACGAGCATTGTTCATTGAACTAGGGGGTTATGACTGTTTTATATCATAACTGAATTAACTTAATAGGGAAAGTTATAAACTCTGATTTTAGAATAAATAATTATTGAGATAAAATCATCATTTATCTTCTCAGTCTGGTGGGTGACATTGCGCTCCTTTGTTTCTTACAAAAATGTATATGTGGTCAATTATTTGTAAAACAAAAACTGGAAACTAAAAAGTATAAGCTATGTTGAACACTCTTCGGTTGTCTCAAATACTTATTGGAATCAATAGTAGATTATGAAGTTTTTTTCTGTGAAAGTAAGGATTAATAAGATGCACTTTATAGGATTGTTACGAAGGTTAAAACAAAAAGTATATACAGAATGCCTAATAGTGTCTGACAGTATCAGATAATCAAGAAAATTAATGTTTTATTTTCATTCCTTTAACCATTTCAACACCATTAATTCTTTTTTTTTTTTTTTAACACAGAGTCTCACTCTGTTGCCCAGACTGGAGTGCAGTGGCCTGGGCTTGGCTCACTGCAACCTCCGCCTTCTGGGTTCAAGCCATCCTCTTGCCTCCGCCTCCCGGGTAGCTGGAATTATAGGCACGTACCACCATGCCTAGCTAATTTTGTGTTTTATTTTATTTTATTTATTTATTTTCTTGAGACAGAGTTTCGTTCTTGTTGCCCAGGCTGGAGTGCAATGGCAACATCTCGGCTCACTGCAACCTCTGCCTCCCAGTTCAAGCGATTCTCCTGCCTCAGCCTCCTGACTAGCTGGGACTGCAGGCACATGCAACCATGCCCAGTTAATTTTTGCATTTTTAGTAGAGATGGGGTTTCACCATGTTGGCCAGGCTGGTCTTGAACTCCTGACCTCAGGTGATCCACCCACCTCGGCCTCCCAAAGTGCTGGGATTACAGGTGTGAGCTACTGTGCCTGGCCCCATTAAATTCTTTATGATGATATTTTTAAAAAATATATTTGGTACTGAAAAGTGAGAGAAATAGGAGAGGGGAAGTTACAAATTTTATTAAATGTTAGATTATGTTTCATTATACATTGCAATAATTGGAATTGGGGATTTTTTTAAAAATTTTATTTTTTACAAAAAAAATTAGATAATAGAAACAAAGCCTTCAATACAGACTAGGCATGCTAGTTTAGACTACTATTAAAAATTCAATTTTTTTTATTGACTCTATAGCCAAATCCATGTAATACTACCAATAATAACTTTTCCATGGAAGTACGTTTGCATGTCAGAGACTGTGCTAAACACTTCATATTGCTTACCTTGTTTCATCTTTATAATAACCCTGTGAGGTATCTTTTCTGACTTTTACACATACTTGTTCATTGGTATCTCCTCTTACCTCTAGTGAAAGCTTTGATGACGAACAGGGGCTTCGTTTTATACCCTACTGTAGCCCTGCTGCTTAAAAGAATACTTGGCGGCCAGGTGCGGTGGCTCAAGCCTGTAATCCCAACACTTTGGGAGGCGGAGGCGGGCGGATCACGAGGTCAAGAGATCGAGACGACCATCCTGGCCAACATGGTGAAACCCCGTCTCTACTAAAAATACAAAGATTAGCCAGGCATGGTGGTGTGCACCTGTAATCCCAGCTACTCTGAAGACTGAGGCAGGAGAACCACCTGAACCAGGGAGGCTGAGGTTGCAGTGAGCTGAGATCGCACCACTGCACTCCAGCCTGGGCAATAGAGCGAGACTCCATCCCGAAACAAAACAAAACAAAACAAAACAAAACAACGACAACAAAAAACTTGGCATATGGTAGGTGCTTAAGGAGAGTTTGTCAAAATAAATTCATGCATCAATGAAAGGAAGTATGGAAGTTAAGCAATTTGCCGCAAGACCCTGGCCAATATTAAAATCCAGGAACTCTCACTCAAGTTTTCCCCGTCCTGACCCTTCACATGCCCTGCAGAAGATGAACTTTTCTCAACTATTTAAAAAATATCTGAGGCATTTGTATTACTTTCTTTGCAGCTTTCAAATGCTAAGAATAGTGTATGTAATATCAAAATGTTCTTTGAAAGAAACCTGTAGTTTAGGTAAAAGTTCAAAATAAACTCAGGGTGAAGGTAAGAGCATCTTTTATAGAGAAGACTGGAGGAAACAAGTTACTCTGAGGCCTGTCTTTGTGTAAAACGGTACTGAAGATGGCATGACATCTGGTATCACCAACAGGGGGTTCTCTCTTTCCCAAACTGTTAAATGCCTGCAGTCTCTCCTTCAATGAAGGGTGTGGTTGATTTCTCTAAATCCCACAGAGTATAAACATGGTGATGGAATAAACTTGATCCTTGTTATCCCTCCCTCATATTATGAATATAGGCTAAAGGAACAATAGATGACCACAGTATTATTGATGTGCACATTTCCCTGAATTTAAGTTCTAAATCATAAATTAAATGAAAATCATACCTCATAATACAAAGTTTCTTTTTATACTAGAATTCTTAGAAATTTGTCATCTTCTTCCTTTTAACAAAAGGAAAAATGTCACCACATTTTACTCCTATCTCTTCCCCTTTGGCTGCATTGAAAATCAGAAACATCTTTATCTGCTTCACTGGTGAATACTTTCAAATTTGGTTATTTCAAATAAACACTGTTGAACTTAATCCTCATAAGCTTTAGTGAAGAGTTACTTCTAATATTTTCATTTCATATAAAGTGGATTTCTATTTGTCTCTTAATTTTAAGTGGATTTTTGAATTGAACTGTCTCATTCTACAATAATAGAACTCTTGATTTTTATCTGGCCACATCACTCTGTATACGGACTTCATTTCCTAGCTTATTCCAGCCATTTGTGGCCATGTGACTAGATTTTGCCCAATGAGATGAGAGAGCAGTACATGTCATGCCCGAAACGTGTTCTGAAGGGCAGTGTACATGCCCTTCTCTCCCTCCCTCCTGGTACTTCTGTCCTGCAATATGGATGTGGTAGCTGATCGTCTTGGACTGTGTGGATTAGCCGAACACCCCTGACATGGTGGAACAACAAGAGAAAAGAAACCTGGGCTCCTGAACCATCTACTTTTAAATGCTAACATGAGAGAGGAACAAACTTCTGTCTTATATAAGCAACTATTAATTTGGGTTTGTGTTACACAAAGCTAAGGTAGCTTCATCTACAGTATATTTTCCTTCTATATTGTTTAATATATCTTTTTAGAAAAAAGTAAAAAAATAAGGAAATCATAATAAGCCAAGATCTTTAGCAACAATGAAATCTCCAAGTGAAGATACTTTATATCACTTTTCAAGATCAAACAAAATAAGATTGCTGGGCATGGTGGCTCATGCCTGTAATCCCAGCACTTTGGGAGGCTGAGGCGGGTGGATCACCTGAGGTTAGGAGTTCAATAACAGCCTGGCCAACATGGTGAAACTCTGCCTCTACTAAAAATACAAAAATTAGCTGGCCGTTTTTGCATGTGCCTGCAATCCCGGCTACTTGGGAGGCTGAGGCGAGAAAATCGCTTGAACCTGGGATTGGCGGTTGCAGTGAGCCAAGATCACGATACTGCACTGTGGCCTGGGTGACAGAGCGAGACTCCCATCTCAAAAAAAAAAAAAAAAAATTGACAAAACTTTGGTTTCGATGTTTTCCCTCGGATATAGTAAGTTGTAATTCTCAGTGAATCCTCTTCAAGTTTATAGTTTTTGTTGGCCATAACCACACAAGTAACTTTGTAGGAGGGATCATTCAGTCAAAATAAATAGAATTAAAAGTTTTGTTAGTGTATTAGCTTTGTGCAAAGGTACACAGATAAAATTTCTATACATATCCTTTCTTGATCCTTCCAGGCACAGAGACTGAAAAGCTGTCTGTATAAATAAACAAAAAAGCATATTCTTCTAGAACTTTCCATTATGTATATGTCTGACAGGGTATAATTTTGGGGCAAGATTATATTCATTTCTATGTTAGCTGATTAATTCTTCAGTTGTTTATCACCTGTTTGAAATATATCCTTGATTTGATTATGAGTCACTGATAATAGATAGTGACCTAACTTCAAAAGGTTGTCTTACCCTATTTGGTCTGTACCCTGAGCAGCTGTCCAGGGTACTTAAATAAAATTAATTATTGGAATACTTAAGTTACAGATCTTTTTCCTTATACTTTTGAGTAAGTGAAGATGCTTTGCACAATAATTCAGTTTGTTTTTCCATTTTGAACAAGAACCTGAGATCCTCCTGCCTTAGAATAGTGATAAACATAAAGAAATTATTTGTGGTTGCCTGTGGAAACCATGTTAGAAAGATCACACGCTTTGAAAACAGTGTTATGATGTGTTGTTTATGATATAGAGATGATTTGGTTAAAGATTATGTCTATATAAGTTATAAATTTAGAGGAAATGGACCCCCTCTGACCCTCAGTGCAAAAATTTCTCTTCTAAATACCTAGAAGGTAGTCTTCTTGTCTGCTAAAATATGTGCCAGGTAAGGGATGCTCAGCTCTTTCAGAGGTGGCCCTATTCACATTCTGAATGATGGAAAACTTCTTTCCGATATGTAACTTAATCTAGATCCTTATATATTTCATCTTTCCAGCCTTCTGGAATATCATTCTCACTTATGCATTCTCATACCTTTCTCAGAGAATAGAGAAAAAATGAAGTTCCTGACCTGAGATCTTCAACATTAAGTAATTGAGTTCCTTTGATCAAAACAGTACCCACTTCCTGGATGATAATAATAGTATAAAGGAACAAAGTACCTATTTCAGGTTCTAGATAAAATTGAAATTAAAGAAAATGTGGTATATATACACAATGGAGTGCTATTCATCCATAGAAAGGAATGAGAGCCTGTCATTTGCAATAACATGGATGGAACTTGAGGCCATTATGTTAAGTGAAATAAGTCAGGCACAGAAAGACAAAGTTGGCATATTCTCATTTATTTGTGGGAGCTGAAAAAATTAAAACAATTGAACTCATGGAGATAGGGAGTAGAATGATGCTTACCAAAGGCTGGGAAGGGCAGTGGGGTAAGGGGGAAGTGGGAATGGTTAGTGAGTACAAATATACAGTTAGATAGAATGAATAAGACCTAGTTTTTGATAGTACAACAGAGTGATTATAGTCAACAATAATTTATTGGACATTTAAAAATAACTAAAAGACTATGACTGGATTGTTTGTAACACAAAGAAAGAATAAATGCTTGAGGTGATGGATACCCCATTTACCCTGATGTGATTATTATGCATTGTATGCCTGTATCAAAATATCTCACGTAACCCATAAATAGATACACCGACTATACCCGCAGAAATAAAAACTAGGAGAGGAAAAGAAATTCTAAGTACAACATTGATAATAACCCATTCATAATTATTTGATAGTAATGTAATATAGAATTGTAAAGTACATTTTCACTCTTTTAAAAATTACAGCAAAGAGAATTTTAATTTTTTAATTTATTAGTAATAACAACTTGAGAATTGCATAGTATTAAGGCATCATTTCTTGGAGTGTGGGCTGAGGACCCTTTTGGGGTGCCTATGAGGACAAAACTATTTTACAGTAAAACTAAGACATTATTTTCCCTTTTCACCATAGACAAAAATTTAGCCAGCTGTGGTGGTGTATGCCTGTAGTCCCAGCTAATCAGGAGGCTGAGATGAGAGGATTGCTTGAGCCCAGGAGTTCCAGGCTATGGTGAGCTATGATTTTGCCACTGCAGTCCAGCCTGGGTGGCAGAGTGAGACCCTGTCTCGAAAAAAAATCACGCATGAACAAAAAAATCTATAGGTCAATGGATTTTAATGGCTACGGTTATGAATATCTTATTACTATTATTTCAGATCCCACATTATGACTAACTTTTAAGAAACTACTACTTGTTGAGTTTTGGTGTAATAGCAAAGAATACCCATAATTATATGAAAAAGCAATGATATTTGAACTTAACTCTTTTCTAACTCCATATACGTGTGAGGCTGGATTTTCTTCATGCACAATCAAAACAACATAGCATTATAAGAGATTTAATACAGAAGAGATATCTGTCTTCTACTAAGACAGATATTAAAGAGAACCAATAATATAAAACAGTATCACAGTTCTATTTTTTGTTTGGGGATAAAATAATTAATTTTTTATAAAAAAGTTATGCTGTGTAATGAGTTTATCATTGTTATTTTAAAATGAAATAATAAGTTTATAGGTTTTAAATTTGAACACAGTAAATATTCATAGATGTGATATATATAATCCAAATCTCTTTCAGTGGCTCAAAAATATTAAAGGGGACTTGAGACAAAAATGTTTGTGAATCATTGCACTATGTAATACTTTAGTGAAAGATTTCAATTATCCTTACCCTCATTGATTCAAAAAGATTTGGAATAAAATCCAAATATTCTTATTTCCAATAATAACCAATATAGAATCTGATATCCAAATTGTATTTACACTTTGTGAAGCTATTTTATTTTATGCCTCTACACTTCTTGTATATGATTGATGCCAGAAGATTACTAACCTTTATGTAAAGCAAAACTTCAAGCCTCTAGAAAAGTGCTCCTGACTTCATGGAACACTTGCAAGACTTTTACATGGCATCCTTCTTGACTTTGATGAAAAAGTTAGTCACTCATAATTTCAGTTATATTGTTGTAAGTTTAGAAGAAATAACTGTTTATACTTGTCAACCTTCATAAAGAGAACACGTAAATATTTTATAACTTGTCTGAGTAATCACCAAGAACTTTTCCATCACCACGAAAAAAAACTTGGAAGAGAACTTAGACATTGGTCTTCTGGGAATGATTACCTTACATTGAGTAATTAACATGTGTTAGGCACTGTACTAAGTACTTTACATATACTTTATATCAATTAATGCCTACAATAATCCTTTAAGATCTATATTATTAGTTTCTTTCTTTCTTTTTCTTTTCTTTTTTTTTTTTTTTTTTTTGAGATGGAGCCTCACTCTGTTACCCAGCCTAGAGTGCAGTGGTGTGGTCTTGGCTCACTGCGACCTCCGCCTCCCCGGTTCAAGGGATTCTCCTGCCTCAGTCTCCTGACTAGCGGGATTACAGGCACCTGCCACCACACCCAGCTAATTTTTTTAGTAAAGATGGGGTTTCACCATGTTGGCGAGGCTGGTCTCGAACTCCTGACCTCAGGTGATCCACGCGCCTCAGCTTCCCAAAGTGCTGGGATTACAGGCATGAGCCACCGTGCCCGGCCTATACTAGTTTTACAAATAAAGGAACTGAGGCTTGGAGAAAGTAAACAAATTGGTTGAAGTCACTTAGCTTGTAAATGGTAGAATCACCTTCAACTCAGAGAACATAATTCACACCCTGTGTCTTGACCATGTTTGATTACTCTTCTCATCTGGCTTGGCTCCCAATCCCCATGCCAGTTTTGTGCATTTTACATAAATCTATTGTTGCCCTTATGATATTTTGTTGCAATTTATTTGTTTACTATCTACCTCTTCTAATAAACTATTGACTCACTAAAGGAGGAAAGTGTGTCTGGATTCCCACCACACAGGACACATCTATTCTTGCTGGATCGAATTAATACCAGGTTGCGGACGCAAAGAGAGCTTAAATAATATGCCTTTGACTGCTCAGTCAGTGTGTGTAGCAAAGTTGGGATCTTCTGTCATAAACACTCTAGGTCAGTGGTTCTCAAATGTGCGCCTGGGCCAACTGCATCAGCGTCACCTAGGAACTTGTTAGAAATGCAAATTATTGGTCTCACTCCAGATTTACAGAATAAGATTTTGTAGAGGTAAGCCCCAGAAGCTTGTGTTTAAAAAAACCCGTCTTGTAATTCTGATGCACCCTAAAGTCTGAGAATCATCTCTCTAGGGTGAAGGAACATAACAGTTTAATAAAAACAGAAAGGTTTACTCAGCATGCAGCTTAATAAATCCATTTGTTTGATCTGCTGTATTATTAGGCTTATGCAATATTCTATTTTATTGAAAATGAAAAATTCATCTCAGAACTCTAATGTTTTTATTTTGAAAAAAATTCAATCCAAAGCAATTAGCTATCCCGTTAGTCAATCAGGCATTGAATTAATAATTTTATAATCAATAAGAAAATTCAGTGAAGAGTCCAATGGCTACATGGGTATGCCTACTAGGAAGAACCAAGTGAAGTAGAAACTCAAGTTCCAGTTAGCACTGTGTATAATTTCCAGTGAAACAAAAACTAGCCATGATCCGCAGATCTGTGCTGCAGGTACCAAGTTATGTCTTAGTAGTTCCATCGAAGTTCTAATTACGCTGACAGTAATAGAAGCAGCAAACTACTAGAACCAACATTTAGGACCCTTATATTCACAGGAAAACACCAAATCAGTTCTCTAGAAATTAGAAATATTTCAATCTCAACATCAAATCCACTATCATGAGAAAATAAGCAAAAGAAACTTAAAAGATTGTTGTTTAAAGACAAATTTGTCTTTTAAATATGTTAAGAGTAGTTATTTTGCCTTTAAATCAAAGTTCATTTATAGTTATATTGATTTGCACATGCTTTAGAATTATGTGTGCCACAACGTGTAAATATTTTAACTAAAATCCTCATATGGATTTCTGAAACCCTTCCCCACTAATTTTTCTAAACAATGTCTCCTCCCCTACTGCCTGCTACTGAGTTTAAAAGCTAAAAGACTCTTCTAACTATACCTCTTCTTTTTCTAGCTATATATTTATAAAGTCCTCTGAGAATTAGTTTAGCATAATAGCTTGAGATATTTCAGTTTGATATATGTAGTACTAATATGAAAAAATCCTCAGAACTCTTTTTATATATTATATATGGATGTACATATATAATAAAAATTTATTAGCCATTATCTCTTAATTCCTCAGTTTCTCTTCTGGAATACCAAGAATGATTATATTGCTAAGTTTATGGTTGTTTTCCTCCCCTGACATTATTGTTTTGTTTTTGAATGTACTAAGGACATATTAATAGCATGGCAAATTTAGCAGTAAGAGCTAGAATTCCATTTGGATTGAGGAGCAAAGATGGAAAATTGGTTAAATTAAAGATTTAAGCCCTCTACAGAATGTAAAAATCTTCTTCCCAAGATACGATGGAGGTACTGTGTAATACTAGTTCATGGCTTCTCCCGTAATAAAGACTCAACTCTCAGGTTGTTGGAAATTATGAGAGTTTCTTTATAGAAAAAAAACAAAAACAAAAAACCCTTTTTGCAGCATAATCACTTCAGTAAAAACATCTAACATTTCAGAGAAAAGCATTTTTTACTTTATCATTACCTATAGTATTTTTATTCTACTTATGTTGTTTTGCTTTACCTTTTCCTGATCTCTGTATGTATTTTTTTCTTCTTAAATATCTGACCAAATTGAAGCAAAAATTAGATATATTCAGGTTTTGTAGCCTTCTCTCTCCTACCTGTCATTGGCACCTTCTGACAGAAAATAGTGAAAATTCAAAGTCAAACAATTTAAGTACATGGAAATGAATTTTTCAGAGACTAGATATTAGTATTGTATGAGTAAAAGGCACAGTTGTACACTGACAAGGATAAAGATATAAATATGTAACTGTGTATCTATATATCATATGCATGTATTTGGGGTTAAAACATCAAATAATCCTTTTCCAAGTCTCTACACGCACTGAAATTTATATGTTGCAGGGGTATAAAATGAGAGAGTATACAGTTTAGTGCTAACTGGAGTCCTTTTGGTTGGGTGAATGCCAAAGCAACTTTCAAAATATTTCAAAACAGCTGCCAGCATGTAAAGATTTTAACTGAAGGAGCAGAGTAATGAAATCTGAATTACTAATGAGAGAATAAACTTATATTTTGCTTAAGGTCCTTAATGAACATGGAGATAAGCAGATCCAATAAGGAATTCGTCTCTCATGCATGCAAACCGACCTTCTGAAACTACACATGTAAGGATAAAATACTGAAACAGACTTAACATTGCGTTGTAAGGTAACCTACTATGCAAATCTTCTTTGAGTATTTTGTGTATTCCTGTTTTAGAAAACAAAGTTTCTGGAGGGCAGGAGCCATATTAATTCTCGTAAAGATGGGTAATTGAAAGCTTGGAACTTTGAAGTTGAATGTGCTCATTAAACTATTTTAATAACAAAGTATAATTGAAAAGGCTTCAGCTTATGTAGTTTTAAATGTCCAACAACAAATCTCACATTTTCTTTCCATTGGGGCAATTTTGCCCTTTGGGCTTCCAAGAAAAAATTGCCCTCCAAAAGTGATGGGAATCAGGCTGATACATTTTCAAGCCAACGATTTTGTAAAATAAGTAGTGAATAAAATGTAATTGCTGGCCTCTTCTAGTCATAGAATTGGTATTGAAACAAAGAAGAGCAATAATATTCTTTGTAAATATAACTCATTGTTGACTGTGCAGAAAGACTTTAAAAGGGAAACTAATCTTCTAAAAGTTCTGCACTTTTGGCCACAGACGGCTTTTCCCTCCTTTGACTCACTTGGCACATTGAGGCTGCCTCTGGATGCACAGGATCAAGGTGGAGTATTGCATTACATTCCTGGAGTACACATGGATCCAGGAGCCACTTGCTGGAAGCCTCCATCAACTGGTTGGCCTAGACTTCTGTGGCAGGCACAGCACCACCCCACAGTGGGGCAACAATTAAAACAAAAGCTATTTTATAGAAAGGCACCGCCTGCATTGGGGTTCATTTTTAGCCTCATTCATGAGTCATTTACATACTAGACTTCCTTTGGCCTACAATACCGCCGGCCTTGACCAATGCAGTCAGAGAAAGAAACTTTTCCCAACCCCTAAAACATTCCTGACCTCTCTCGAATTGACATAAACTCCCATTTCTCGCCCTGAGAAAGCCTGCGGAGAGCCAAGGAGTGATATTTGTGATCTTTTCAGAGCAAGAGAGGTAGGGAGGAGAGCGCGCTGAGATCCAAGTCAACCTGCGACGCCCAGCGCTGTGTGCTCCGCGTGGGATGAGGACCCACTTCTGTGATCAAATCTTTCCCACCAGCCTGGCCTTCGCCCCCACGCCCACAATCCCGGCCCAAAGACCTTGCGTTTGGCCTCTGCACAATAAGTATCTCCGAAATGAATGCCGTTAAGCTAGAAAATGATCTCTTCTCGGGAAGGAGGGAGTCAGGACCTCGGTTAGGTCTTCAACAAACTCGTGGGATCCCTCACACAAGGCACAGATGCTCATTACGATTCTTTTTACGTGCAACACGTGGGGGACGAAGCAGTTTCATATCTCCTGGTATTATCTGCCGTCCAAAGCATTTTCTTTGAAAGGAAAATGGAAACGCAGCTGCGCCGTGGGCCCGGCCAGCGAGAGCTGGGGCTCCCTCCCTCTGTTTCCCAGCGGCTGCCGGGTGCAGGAGGCGCCTCCGGAAACTGACTTGGGTTAGGGGAGTTCAGAGGTTGCCCCAGCAGGCGCGGGACGCCGCCAGGGCGAAGGCTCGTCTTTGTGCGGGTTGGCTGTTTCCCGAGAGCCATCAGGGTGGGAGGGGACGCCCGGGTCTGCGGCAAGGGCAGGCGTCTGGCCCCTACACCGTGTGCGGGGACGCTAGGCTGGGCGGCCTGTGTCACTCTTGGCCTTGGCAACTTCTGGCCAATCCGCCCTGCCCCTCTGGGTCCCGGCGGGCCGGCTGCGCCCTAGGCTCAAAGGGTTAAGCAGGTGCCTCTCCGGGCGAGGCGCTATTGGCCGAGGGCTGGGGCGGCGCGGCCGCGGTCACCACGCTTCGCCGATCCCAACTTGGGTTCCTGCGGAAGGCAAGGCGGCCACTCGTCCCCTGGCTGCGGCTGCGGGGCCCAGGCCTTGGCGCGCAGGGAGTGGGAAGGAGAAAAGGACGAGAAGGGGCAAGCACCAGCCGCACCAGCAAAGGGGGCGAGGGTGGCGCGCGCAAGATGAGGGGAGCTGAAGCCCTGCATCCCGAAGGAGGCTGCGCCCACCGCCCGCAACTCCACTCCAGGCTCGCCAGCCGGAAGAAAGAGGAGGAAGTGGGACAACGGGGGTCCTGGGCAGGGGTAGGGGAAACGATCAACTCCCACTGCCCCCACCCACTAGTCGAGTTGGAATGCAAGTCGTCACTTAAAAAGGCTCACCCAAACCGCAGGCATACCTCCTCACCCCTTAAAGAAACATTGATGTAATAGTGTGGAGAAGTAACTGAGAGACGCGAGGAAATAAATGCACGTGTTTTCTCTTTTTGTTTCCCTGGTGGTTGGAATTTGCAGAGTTCGTCTCAGTGGTGGCTGCTAATTTATTCGTTTCATCGGTCGAAAGGGGCGTATAGAGGTGGGTCAGCGGGGCACAACCGGATCCCTCTAACCGGACCTCACCTCACAAGTTTGTCCTGGACCAACCCGCCCGCCCACCAGCAGAGGGAAGGGCCCATTCTTATAAGGAGAACAAACTCTCCATTGCACAAAAGCGGCTTCTTTTTTTCTCTCCGTCTTTGCACACCATCCCTCCTCGATAAGTATCAAGTTCTCGAGGAGCCCAACTTGCGCTTGGCAGCCCTCGCGCTGCCTGATGTGCATAAGACGGGCAGAGAGGGGTTCCGGCCAGGAAGGGAGGCTCTACGTCCCCATTCCTGCACACGCGGGCTGGCTTCCAGGTTGCTGGAAGCCGCGGGAGGCGCGAGCTTGCCTGGATGGTGGTTATTTCTCTAGAGAAAGGAGGAGAGAGAGAGCGCGCCTGAGTCTTGCACTTTGGGTCGGAAGTGCGCGGCGTGTGTGTGTGTGTGTGTGTGTGTGTGTGTAGAGGGGGGCGGGAAAGAAACGCACCCTCCGCTGCCGGTCATTCCCTTGCACCGGCCAAGTCCTCGCCAAGCCTCCCGGTGCATCCTTCCTCCGCCACCCCCTCCCCTTCTTCCCTCAGCTGGGCTCGCGCGGCGCAGCCGGAGCAGCCAGTGAGAGCAACATCCTGGAAAGAGGGGGGAGCACCGCCGCCCCCCAAAAGGGAAAAAAGGCCCCACCCTGACACGTTTTGCTGTTTGCAAGTCCCTCGCACGCCCCCCGCACCTCCTCCTCGCGCTTGCGGCCCCCCCCACCCCCAGCCCGCTGCGCGCACATCAAAGCTCCTCTCCGCCGCGCACAGTGGCCGCGGCTCACTAATGGGATTGCAGGCTGGTGCCTGGCTCCGCTGCTGCCGCCGCCGCTGCTCGCGCTGCTGCTGCTGCCGCCGCCCGAGCCCGAGCCCGAGCCCCCGCCAGCCAGAGCCCAGAGCCGCCGCGCCCGGGGGCCGAAGCCGCGGCGATGATCCGAATCTTTCCGGATTTCAGCGTGCAGGTGACGGCCGCGGCGGCCGGCGGGGCGGCCGCGGGGGTGCCGGCCGGCGCGGGCATGGGGAGGGCCGGCGCCGCGGCCAACGGCACCCCGCAGAACGTCCAGGGCATCACCTCCTACCAGCAGCGGTGAGTAGTCCCGCCTGGGCTGGGATAGTGCCCCCGCCCCGGGGTGCTGGGGTGGGACTCACTTTGCCTCCTGTTTTGTGTCTTACAACACACATGCACATTGCCAGGGCTCACTTTGCCTGCCCCTCGTTCTACAGATGAGGAAGAAAAACACACTTCACTTTGGTGGATTGAAAAGCACTCCAGTGCGCTGGCGAAGTGAAATCATCCTTTGCCCTTTGCCTGGCCCCAAATCCAGAGCTTCAGCCCCGAGTAGCGGAGGAGTTGCAGCGAAGTCTGAGACGCCGCACAAGGTGCTTTTGCAAAGTTTAGGATCCTCATCCCTTTCCAGTGGAATTTTCTCAATGCCTCAGCCGGATGCGGACCCGCGCATACGGACAGCTAGGGGGGCAATTGATCACTGGAGGCTGATTGATCATTTGTTTCCAAACAGAATAGGAACGATTTTCATGTGTAGCTGTAAACTTGCAATTCTACATAATAGTGTTATCATGTCACCTGTTACTACAGGGAAATACAGCATGAAATCCGAGTCTCTTCGGCGCTGTTAAGTATTCATCTTAAACGCATTATAATGCAAATGCATAAGATTCAGGGATACAAGTTAGGAAGCAAATTTTACAAAGTCAGGCTAGGTGGTGAGAAGGAAGTTTTAAAGTATTATTTGTAGTTCTCTTAAACGTATTTATAGATTTTTCTTAAAAATTACGTATTTGACATTGAAATAGTAATTTGATTCAATAAGGAAAGAAAGGGAAAGCAATTTACCACTACCAACAGCTTTAGAACCCTGAAGTTTTTCCTGAAGGACAACTTTTGATGTTCCAAGATTTTACTGAAAATGTAATCCACGAAAATGCGCTGAGAAAAACTAACAATGTACTATGAAAGGTAAACTCCCCATTTGTGGGGCTTGGTTTTATAAAAGATGGAAGAAAAAAGAACACATGAAAGTGTGAAATTAAATATTTGTGTTTCCCAGATTGCACATGATTAAACATCTGAGAGATTTGCCAATGGCATTTAACTTAAAATATACACAATGCATAATTCAAATAACAGTTCCTATTTTTACCTTGTATTTCAAACTTCATTGATTTGAGAACCTTTGATTTGAACCAACAGTATTTAAACTGAAAAGGTTAAGATAATCTATCACTGCCATATTTTGTGCCTTCCAAGCAATGGCCCAGTGACCAGAGCAGATTTTGCATAACACACTGAGTGTTTTCCAAGTTGATGTCCAGTATTCCAAATATTCTGTAGAAGACTTCATTATATGCTCTGTGTACTGTCTGAAGTTTTTTTTTTTTTTTAAAGAGTTTGGAAAATAACTCAAAAAGGGGCTATTCCTTGTCAAAGGGATTTTTGATTTAAATTATTTTAGTCTTGTTTTACTTCAGTGATTACAGGAATCTTTAATACAAAAGATCTGGGACTCTTTCAAACATGAAAGACTAGAAAAGAATTAGATTTTTCCTTTTCATGGTTCAGGTATGTTTTTTTGGTCACTTATACAACATTTAAATGACAATAGTATCTGGCGGTCACTTTAACTAGGAAGTGCAGGCAATGGTCACAATAGTATGGTCTGTGAAGTAGGGAGTCAAGGGTCAGAAATGTCAGATGGCCTTTGGAAGATTTCAGGGACCTCCGGGAACTTGAGCTAACTTATACCATATAAATTGGGCATAAAAGGGTGGGGGATTAGGAATTTTCTGCCATCAGGTTTGCTCTGAGTGTTGTTATCCTTTACCATAAAGATCACCTCAGAGAGAATTTTCCCTCAAGGCAGGAGCACCAGGGGCAGTCCCCTACAGTCTGCCACCTCAGCACTGAGAGCTGCACTGGTGCTTTCCACTTTCAACTTTGAATTTGGGCACCTTATGAAGTCTCTGAATCCCACTGCAGTTCTAAAGACTAAGGCTTTTTTTTTTTTTTTTCTAGCATCTCTAAACTTTAGCCTTTGGGGTGTATTATTCCCTCCTTCGATTTTTATGTTATATTGGCAGAAGAGAAGATGATAGCTGTGAAAAATGTAGCCTTCTTTGATTTTGTTACTAAGACATGATGACACCTGTTACTGTCTTTTAGTCAAAATAGGGGGAGGGGGGCAGAGAGTGAGCCGTGTAGGTCAAGGTCATTGGCAGGTGTTGGAGGTAGGGTCTGAGTCAGGAGTCCCCTGTCCTCTGGCACCTCAACAGGATTGTGGGGTTCTGAAGGACAGACTTAGTTTCCGCTTGGATTTGTTTCCATCTGGATTTGTTTGTTAAGTGAATGGTGACATATCATTTTACCAAAAAATTATTTTTAAGTACTTTTGAGGAGTCCGCCGCGGGAGTGACAGGAGTGGGGGGTTTTTCAAGCAAAGAGTGGCCTCTTGGGAGACTACAAGCTTCTCTCATTTGTCATCTTCGGGCAGAAACCCCCTAGACTGGGTGTCCTGGAGCCAAAACTTTGAACTGGCAACTTTTTCCCTTCTCTGCCAGCCCATGTATATCTTGTCCATAACACTCTCCACTCCAGTTCATTTCTCATTCTCTCCTACCTGTAGAGTGTACTCCAAAGAGAACTTAAACACCATCATGCAGATTAAACACCTCTACCACGAAAAACATTTATGTGTTCCTTTGGAAGTTTCCAACTCCCAGCCCTACTTTACTGGAGTCGTAGAGACCGAATGGAGGACCCCTTTTCAGGTCTTTATTTTTTTCTTAAGCTTAAAGTCAAATGCAGAACCTCACACAGGACTGATGTTTTCCATCAGGCGCTTTCATTCATTCAAAGTGGAAATGCTTTGGGAGTCCTTTCTACTTGCCTGGTTGACACATGACTGACCCAAGTCTCTGCGTAAAAAGCTGTCCACACGCTTCTGATTGGTTTAGTGGAGAAAACGCTCTGACCAGGGTCTACCCAGGTAACAGGATTCTAGCCCGGGCCCTGCACTGAGTAGCCAGCCTTTCTCTAGGCCTTGCTGAACTGTCAAACCGGGGTGCGGCTGGGCTAGATCCCAGAGGGTGGCAGTCCGGTCCCAAGTCCCGGGACCCGAGTCGGGAGGGGCTTCTGTATGTGAGTTTAAACGCGCGGGGATTCACCTGTGAACCCTGGGGTCTGCACTCCTGTACGTCCGTGACTGATGCAGATGCTCCGGCTTTGGGAACGCTGCTGAGAGCGCCAGAGCCACAAGGTGCTTGTGCTGCTGCTGCACCGCCCACGGGGCTCTTGGGCCCATCTGCTTGGGCCAGCGCACCCCCCATCCGTATTGATTTCCGCTGCCCCCAAGGAGCTCCCGGGACTGTGTCCTGCCCCAGCTCGCTCCTGTGGCCTCCCAGTTCCTTTTTCTGTTTCTTTCTTTCCTCCTGGCTGCAATACTCCAGAGAAGGGAAGTGTTTGAAACTGCAACTGAGTGGCGTTGTTGCGCCGGCAGCCGAGCCTCCCAGTCCCCCAACGAGAAAGAGAGAGAGAGAGAGAGAGAGAGAAATTGAGAGAGAGAGAGAGAGAGAGAGAGAGAGAGAGAGAGAAGGGGGGGGAGGTGTGTGTCTGCGTACGAGAGAGCGCTCTGGAGCAAAGCAGCTGGAAAATGCCCAGAAATACTTTCACAGCGGTCAAGCTGGAACCCCCCGCGTGTCCTCCCCCTTCCCGCTCCTCCCGGCCTAGACCCCGCGCCCCCCGCAGGGAGGGTGTGCGCCCCACCTGCCACCGGGCTGCTCCGGGTGGTAGAAAGGGGTGACGGGGGACGGGGGCGGGGGCGGGTGGCGGCGCGGGGGTGAGAACCCGGAGGCGGCGGGGCCCTGGGCCGGGCTGCCCGCGGGACCGCGCGGCCGCCTCCCCCCGCCGCCGCCGCCGCCTCCCCCTCCTCCTCCTCCGCCGCCGCCGCCGGTCGCCTGTCTCCGCGCCGGGCATGCCTCGGGAGCCGGGGCGGCCCGGGCCGCGGGCGCTCTGCGGCGCATGGACGGCGGCGGCGCCGGGCGAGCAGCGGGAGGAGAAGGCGCAGGCGGCGGCGGAAGCGGCGACCCACGGCTGGGAGCACCGGCGGCGCGAGGGGACGGCCGGCCGCCCGCGAGGCTCCGGCCCCACTACTTTTCCGTAGCCTCCCCACCTCAGCAGCACGGCCGCCGCCGCCGCCGCCGCCGCCGCCACGGCCACGGCCACGGCCCCGGCCCCGGCCACCGCCCGCCGGGCAGCCCAGAGCGCCGCGCACGGCCGCACTCTCCCGCCACCCCACGCACACGCACACCCCCGCCCGCCCACGCCCCCCACCCGGGAGGGGGGAGAGAGGCAAAAAGTAAGAGAGGAAAAAAAATAGCAGGAAGATGGCGCCCACCAAGCCCAGCTTTCAGCAGGATCCTTCCAGGCGAGAACGGTAACACTTTTCTGTTTATTGAACCTGCCGCCGGGCCGCTGCTCCCGCCGCCGCCGCCTCCGCCGCCGAGGGCCCCTCTCCGCAGCCCGCCCGCCTCCTGGGCCGCGAGCCCGCGGGGACCTCGTCTGGGCGCAGCGCTCGCCCGGGGCCCCGCGCATTGTCCCCGCGGCGGCTGCGGCAGCGAGAGGCTCTGGCGGCGGCCGGGCTCTCTGAGCAGTCGCACCTCCTCGGCTCGGCGAATAGAGTGACTCACTGACAAAAAAAAAAAAAAAAAGAAGAAAGAAACAGAAAAGAGAAAAAGAAAAAGAAACAAACAGATGCGAAGGCGCTGCCGTGTGACGGGAGCAGCAGCGAGGGTGGGGGGCCGGGGATCCCCGGGGCCGCCGCAGGTCCCCTAGCAGCTGCTCTCGAGGAAGGGAATGAGGCTGGGGAGGGGGAGGGAAGGCGGCGAGCAGGGGGAGGAGGCGAGGAGCAGGAGGAGGAGGCCGGGGGCGGGGAGCGCGGAGCTCGCGCCAGGCCCGGAATGTGTCGCGGAGGGGCCGGCTCCGTCTCCGCGCGAGCAGCTAGGCCGGGCCGAGCCCAGAGGAGCGCGGCCGCCGCCTCCCTGCCTCCCGGGCTGCGCCCTCCGCTCGGCAACTTGTGGGTCTCCCGCTCTGCCCTCCGCTCTCATCTTCCCCTCCTCTCCATACCCCTCCCAAAGGAAAAAGAAAAATAAAGAAGAAAACCCTCAAATCCAAATAAGCAAACAAACAGCGAGATCCAAAATGTGTCAGCAGTTGGAGCATCTATGCCCCGTTAGTTACTGTTTGGGGATCTGTGTTTTAAAAAGTTCCTGGTGAGAATTGCATATCCAAGCAAGGGGCTCAGTCGAGCATGTCTATTTGAAGTTAGTTAAACTAGTACAGCCACAGGGAAAGGGAGTTTGTGTTCAAAATACCCGTAACTGTTCTACGTGAGTAGCATTGATAGATTTTCAGAGTAACTCAGCACCCCCTCCCCATCACCACCAACGTGGTTTTCCCTCCTGCTGTCCACCCAGCCTACTTTCTTTGGAATCCTATTTACTATTAATTGGCAACGTTAATGACATTAATTGCATATAGCATATTGGTTTGAGCAAAGTGGATATCTCTTTCTGTCTCCGAAGAGGAAAGGCGCAGTAGGAAGTATGAAACGTCACCCACTGATTCATGAGGAAAACAAATACAGTAAGATATATGCACCCCCACCCGCAGCAGGCGCGTTGATTTTCCTCACAGGCTTAAGTGAACTTGAAAAGAAGACAAAGGATGTGCTTAGTTGCAAGATTTAATTATTATAACATAGTTTTATTTTTGATGCAACATAATATTTAACCTATAGCTTACATCAGAAGACGATAAGGGGATATTCAGACATCCATTCATTTAAAAGGCTTCTATTGTACTGTTGCTTATTTCTTTCATACGATAGGGAAGGCACAATTGTCAGGATTAAGGAAATACTTTTGTTAAGTAGATACATAATTGACTAATTCTGAACTCTAGATGATTCTGTAAACATCATATATCAGAGAGTAAATCATACATAATCCAGTTTTTAAAGATGTTAAATGTGTATAGCATTAACTATTGCTCCCAAACTGTAGAAAATCTGACAACTCATACAGCTAAAATGAGTATTTACTTCTTAAGAAGTATCAGTGTTTCATGAAGAATTCACACTTTACTCTTGTAGTAGAAAAAATAATTTCTCAGAGCATTGTGCAAGGATTTTAAAAATTATTTTTTATCTAACATGAAGATGAATACTTTTTGAAATCTGAGGTTTATAATTGGTTTTCTTCCCCCTCCCCTCCCCTCCCCTTCCCTCCTCCCTCCCTCCCTTCCCCTCCTCCCTCCTTTCCCCTCCTCCCTCCTTCCCCTCCCCTCCTCCCTCCCTCCCTCCCTCCCTCCCTCCCTCCCTCCTTCCTTCCTTCCTTCCTTCCTTCCTTCCTTCCTTCCTTCTTCCCAGTTCTGTTGTTAATAAATATGTTTACTGGGATGGCCCCAGTAATCTCTCTAGCAAAGGCCTATTCGTGTGCCATTTTAGGAATTTCTCTGAGATAAGAATCTCGGAGATAGAATTAATTTCTAGGGGAAACTTCATAGCCTGTGCATGAGTGCGTTCTTTATCACCTGTCTCCATTTGGCATTCGAAGAAGGTAAATCAAAGTGTGCGATTTGTTATTCTGCTCCACTTGAGAGCTGAACTAAATAACACTTGGTCTGAAATTCTGATTGAAGTTGTAGGAGGATATACTGTATTTAATTTAATGCCCTTTAATAGCATCTTCTTGTTCAGCTTGGATGCTGTCATTTTAAAGGTTGGATCTGAGAAGGTTTAACCTGTATGGAGAAGGAGGAGTAATAACAGCGGGGTGGGGGCAGGAGCACTGTGGAAGATAGGAAGGAAGGAGTTATAAACTAAACCTTTCAAAAGGCAACAACCGCAAACTTGGTCCCTTATCCAAACAGTTGTTTTATGCCCCAAGGGTTCACTTTGTTGTCAGGGTTTTAAATGCTCTTAACACTTTAAGTGTAAACATTACACATGTAAGTTGATTTGGCTTTGTAATGAGAAATGGGAAATCAGATGATTTGTTTAGGAGGGGGCTGTTTTTCATACTTGCTTCAAGTAAGTGAGTAATTCCACCTTTATTTGCACATTGTGCCTAGAACTTGTTGGTTAACAAGTATTTCCTTGTAGCAGTTGAACACAAATATGTTTATAAAAGATGACTTTCTGTGGATATGTTTTAAATGGTATCCTCCTATTTATTTAAAAAAATGTTTTCAAAATCATTGATTTCACAGAGGCATTTATGGACAGTTTATTCTTTACTGCTTTTCAAATATATTAGTAATCTGAAACTTACAGAGAAAAATATATCTTTTGAATTGTCTCATTTATTTATGAAATGTCTAACCTGTGTATAGTAATACAGTACCAAAGTCATTTCCTTATAGTAATGTTTATAATGTAAATTTCAGAAAAATAAGCTCGTTCTTGATAATGTCTTTGGTTACTATTTAGTGCTCCTTACATTTCTCTGAATTACATATACAGAAAGTGTCTCTTTAGAGCCTGAAAGAACAAGTTGAAAACCTTGTGTACATAAACTTGTTTGATTTTCTTTAAACGCCAATAGACTGCAAATTATATAGCACTACCACAAAGTTTTTCTACTATGTGGATGTATAACCAAAAAAATTAGACAGAGAGAAGTGTCAAGCATGTGATATGCCCATGCTGATTTGCAAAGCGTATCCCAGTAGCACAAGGCTTTTGGTTTAAAAAGTAAAGGTGGTGGAGACTGGTTTTTGGAGGTATTTCTATCTACAGTATAAGCTTAAATAGGGGTGATAAATGATTATATGCATTGTCTAACACTTGCTTATATATATAAATAGCTCCACAAGATTGCTTAAATGATAATCGAAAATATGAAATAGGATGGCCTTCATATCACAAGGCCAAGGGTCTACAAATGGAAAAACTGAAATAATGAAATATTTCCAAGGCAACAGACTGTCAACAAGAACTGTAATGCATGGGCATATCATGATCCACCAGAGAGGATATTAGATCGTATAGCTCCAGAGCCAGGAGTTATAATGACCTTTATTATGTAAGACCCTCCCTCATTACAACATCTTTTCAGATTTCCAATTTCTGATTTATGAATTGAAAGACATATAACTACTCCACATGTGCAATATGCCAATCACTAGATTTGATTCCTTACAGTGAGCAAATGAGCAAACTTGAATTCAACATTATTCGATACTTTTTTTTTTTTAAAGTTACATGAGGTGTTTTCACCTAGTAGTGTTATTAGTAAGGTTTTGGTTTCTGTGTCTTTATATAGTCTTAAAAATATGGCTAAAAGTGATGTGTAATTAATATCTCAGCAATCAATTGGTAAGACTTATACTGTACTTCAAATATAATCCAGAAATTGGAGCAGTTTGATAATTTTAGTCATATGAATTTTGATCTTCCCCTGTAATTCTTCTACCCAATGGCTGGCCCTATACTATAATATAGCTATTTTATGAGAAGGCCAGAATACTTATGAACCACCTTACTCCTCTTCCCTGCCCCAGATCCTGGTCTGGGATTCAGTGCTATGTTACAATTGTGTCTGTTTGAAGTAGGACCTGCTGCTAGGATCCCCTGCTCTGTGGTGAGGTTTTCTATGGCTTCTGTAAAGCAACACTTTTGGGGAAGCATTATTTATTTTCTTAAGCAGTAGGTCTTCATATTTGGGGATTTCTTTTTTGTTTCTTTATTTCTTTTCTTTTTCTTTTTTTTTTTTTTTTTAGACAGAGTCTTGCTCTGTTGCCCAGGCATGCTGGAGTGCAGTGGCACAATCTCAGCTCACTGCAACCTCTGCCTTCAAATGATTCTCCTGTCTCAGCCTTCCAAATAGCTGGGACTACAGGCACATGCCAATACGCCCAGCTAATTTTTGTATTTTTAGTAGAGATAGGGGTTTCACCATGTTGGCCAGGCTGGTCTCAAACTCCTGACCTCAGGTGATCTGCCTGCCTCAGCCTCCCAAAGTGCTGGGATTACAGGCGTGAGCCACTGTGCCTGGCCTTTATTTGGGGATATTTATGGAGAATATATTACAAAAGTTTCAAAATCCTTTTAATGCTTTCCTCTACTAACTTCCTTAAGTGCTTTACTATTAATAATGACCCTAATGTAACCTTAATCTGTTTTTGTTTTTCTACAATTCTAGTAAACCTATGTCTTATGCAAAATGTCACTAAATTTAAAGAAAATTAACACTCATGAAAGCAGAGGTAGCTCCTGCCACCTCCATGCTATGTTTACACAGTCACTTTTTCTGCGTATAACATTTAATCATTCTAATTGATTTTTTAAAGTTCTGCATTGTATTTGGGCTACAGTCTAACTTCAGGTGTTTTATAGACGTGTCTTTAATTGCTTAGGATGAATAAGGCTGAAACTTAGTAAATAAGTTAGTATGTTAAATTTTACTTGATTAAATATTATTCTTTAAATTTTAAATGCTATCAAAATTGCACATAATGGAATATGTGAAACTTTAAATATATCTATGATTAGTAAGAACTAGAATTTATCAGAAAATCCAATTGTTTGCATTCGGTGATGTTAGTATTTTCCCAGTAAATAGTGGCCTTTTTTCCCCCCTCATTGGTCAGTGTAATAAACCAACTGTAACTGAATGGTATTTTTACTGCGCTGAGCCTCATTAGTGTGAATAGGATGTTTGCACTATTAAGTTTGATAGAATAGTTAGAAGAATGTGTAGTAATATTAGTAATACTACAATGCATAAACAGGACATGGCTTAGTAAGAATAAAGTAACTGCTACTGTATCTGAAATGACTAGGGCAGTGACAACATTAAACAATAGTTGAAGTTTTCTGTATACATTTGTAAAACATCACGTCTTGGTGAATTAATTGAAATACTGTGGTCTTGTATGTGAAATCAGGGGAAGCAAGATGAAGATCTTATGTTACTATGGCCCACAGTTCTCCTGGCCCTAGACTGTAATGATTGACTGGTTCTTTCATTCAGCTTCATTTATTGAACCTCTACCATGGACCGTGGTTATGCGTGCCAGGTACAGTACTAAATATATACCTTGTAAGAGCAGTT